>NC_000018.10:76647017-76948373 GCF_000001405.40 Homo sapiens
AACTTTACTTCTAAATGTATGTAGAGAAACTTGCTTTAAGTTGTGATTCTATGATATGGTGTTTTTAACTCAAGTAAAAAACAATCTAGTATGAGTTGTATGTATTAAAAGCGATGTTGAGTGAAAAAATTAGCTGTAAATATGTCACTGTCCTTTACGTAAAAATGAAATAATTGTATATCAAATTTACATAAAAATAATTAAAAGCAAGAAATAAACATATTCATGATACTTGTCACCAATGGTTAGGAAAGGAAGACTAGAGACAAACAATGGGATTGGGATGGGAGAAATAAAGAGGATCTGAACTTTTCAAAAAAAAAAAACAAAAAAACAAAACAAAACAAAACAAAAAGCAGAGTCTGGCCACGTTCTGGTAGAGCACCTGTGCTGTGCTGGGGTCCACTTCAGCCCCCTGCCGCCTCGGATACTCCCTAGTCCAAAGGCTGGAACGGCAAAGTCACCCAAAAAGCAAGGAGCTGGCAGCCCGCCTGTCCATCTGGGCACGCCATCCGAGGGGGACTTCAGATCTCTGTCAGCTGGAGATCTCCGGCAGGGGTGGCTAGAGGCCCTGGCTGGGAGGTCTGGCCCAGTGAGCAGGAATGGCGTCAGGTACCTGCTAAGCAGCAGTCTGGCCGTGTTTTGGTAGGGCAGCTGTGCTGTGCTAAGGGATCTCTTCCGCCCCAGGTTGGCTCAGACTCTCCAGAGCCTGGAGGCTGGAAGGGCTAAATCACCTGAACAGCAAAGACGGTGGCCCACCCCTCACCCCGGGAGCTCCTTCTTAGGGAGGTGCAGGGCAGTGCTGGTAGCTGGCTGGAATTCCAAGCCGGGGGGCCTTTATCTTGTGGGGTGCTGTGGAAGTGGGGTCTGCAGGCTGCTGCTGCTCAGCCCTCTGGATTCAGCCTCTTTCCTAGGGGTATGTATGGGAGTCTAATCTCCCTCTTTGCCAGAGCTGCAGCTACTTTTGCCAGAAAGCCCAAGGATCTAAGGCTCCAGGGTCTCCATGCATGCCTGAGCAGCTGCTCTGCCCAGGCTCCAGGCAGCTCTGTGTCAGACTGAAGACCCAAGGCCCTGGTGAGGGGGTTCACAAGGAGATCTCCTGAGCCAAGGGTTGCAAAGATCTGTGGGAGAAGCTTGCTTTCCTGGGCAGCTCATTCACTCCCTGCTTCCCTGGGCGAGGGAGGATGTCCTGGCTCCATGTTGCTCCCCGGGGAGCCGTTGTCCAGTCTTCCTTCTCTTCATTCTCTGTAGGGTCAAGTTGTTTCCTTGATGAATCCCAATGCAAGGACCTGAATGTTTCAGCTGCAGGAGTTGTATTTACTCGCCCCTTCTGTTCCTCTCTGTGAGAGCCACGCACACTAGCTGCTTCTAGCCAGTCATCTTGGCCCATCTCCCCAGATATTGGTGTTAACATTTTATTACTTCAAGTGAAGTGTGGATATCTCCCTCCCATTAGTTTGTGTTACCTTCGTCACTTAAAAAATAATCAACATGATTTATACAACACAGGAGGGGAAGGATAATCTTTGGGATGTGTACATTTCTACTCTTTCAATTGTCCTTTCTTACTTCCTTATGCACCAAGATTTTTACTTTTATCATTTTCTTTCTGTTTGAAAAACTTCCTTTAGCCATTCTTAACCCTTTTCCCATTTAGAAAACCAAAAAAAGTGCAGTTCACTTCCAGATCTCATTTAGTTTTACATAAACACGCTCTTGGAGTCTGAAGCAAATCTGACTGACTCTCTTTCTTTCTTTTTTTTTTTTTTTTGAGACAGAATCTTGCTCTGTCACCCAGGTTGGAGTGCAGTGGCTCGATCTTGGCTCACTGCAACCTCCGCCTCCTGGGTTCAAGCCATTCTCCTGGCTCAGCTGCCCCAGTAGCTGGGATTACAGGCATGCACCACCATGCCCAGCTAATTTTTGTATTTTTAGTAGAGACGGGGTTTCACCATGTTGGCCAGGCTGGTCTCGAACTCCTGACCTCGTGATCTGCCCGCCTCAGCCTCCCAAAGTGCTGGGCCACCGTGCCCGGCCAAACCTGACTGACTTTCAATGTGAAAATAAAATATAAATGCTGTTGTTGGAGTTGTTTCTAAACAGAACTAACTTCAGAATTGCCTGAATCATCAGATTCATGTATTTCGGAAAAATAGGATTCATCAAAAGAATCTTCTTTGGGAATGATGTTAACATCACATGTAGGAATGCTACGTTTTCTAGGATTTGACATTTTCAGCAGTTGAAAATTACTATATTTTGTAAATGGGAATACCACTAACTAAATCCAGAATGCCCTAAATAGAATGATGTCTTTTGTTTCCAAAAGACATCATTTTACAGTGATGCAAAAATAATAATAAAAGCAAGATATTTCAGCCGGGCATGGTGGCTCACGCCTGTAATCCCAGCACTTTGGGAGGCCAAGGTGGGCAGATCATGAGATCAGGAGATCGAGACCATCCTGGCTAACACGGTGAAACCCCGTCTCTACTAAAAATACAAAAAGTTAGCCAGGTGCGGTGGCTGGTGCCTGTAGTCCCAGCTACTCCGGAGGCTGAGGCAGGAGAATGGTGTGAACCCGGGAGGCAGAGCTTGCAGTGAGCAGAGATCACGCCACTGCACTCCAGCCTGGGCGGCACAGCGAGACTATGTCTCAAAAAAAAAAAAAGATAACTTGTGGCAAAATTATATCGGGGTAAACGCTGCCGCTGCAAGCACTGCTGGCGAGTATTCTTGGGGCAAATGGGAAGAGGGTTAAAGGTAAATATCTGGTGACAAATTCTTTTAGTTTTCCTTCATCTGAGGATGTCTTTATTTCCCCTTTATTCCTGAAGGATGGTTTCACCACATATAGAATTAGCAGCAGACAGTTTTTTTCTTTCATCTCTGGAAAAGTGTTGTGCCACTTCTTTCTGGTCTCTATGGTTTCTGATGAGAAATCTGCTGTCATTCAGAATGGTGCTCACTTACTGTGAATGTGTTATTTCTTCCTGGAACTTTTCAAGATTTTTTTCCTTGTCTTTAGTTTTCAGACATATATGGTTCCCTGGCATGAATTTATTTGGATTTATTCCCTTTGGGGTTTTCTCAGCCTCTTTAATCTGTTGGTTTATGTCTTTCACCAAAATTTGGAAGTTTTCACCCATAATTTTCTTCAACATCCTTTTGTCTTCTTTCTTCTTTCCTTCTTGAAATCTAATAATACAAATGTTGCATCTTTTGTTATTCTCCCACGAGTGCCTGCAACTCTGTTCATCTTTTTCACTCTATTTTCTGTTGTTTATTTTGGGCACGTTGTTTTGCTCAATCCTCAAGTTTGCTCTATTTTATCTTCTGCCATCTTAACTCTACTAGTGAGCAAAGCTTGTTACTATTTTTTAACTTCTGCAATTTCCATTTTGTTCTTTTTTGTAACTTTTATTTTCTGGATCAGATTTTCTAATTTTTTATTTGTTTTAAGAGAGCCTGTAATGCTTGTTGAAGCAGTTTGACGATGGCTGTTTGAAAATTCTTTTCAGGCAATTTAACCTCTGATTCAGCTCCATGTCAATGTCAGGTGACTGTAATTTCTTATTCAAGTCGTGGTTTTCCAGAGTCTTGGTATGACAGGTGATCTTCCACTGTATCTTGGACATTTTAACTATTATGTTAGGGAACTATGGGCCCTATTTAATTCTTTTGTTTTAGCAGATAGCCATCCTGATTAGGTTTAGGCACACAGATCTTCGCCTTTTTTCGTATGCTGTGGTTCCAACGACAATTTAATCTTCAGAGCTTTTGTGGAGTTATTTTGGGCTGCTCATTTTTTTTGTACTGCTTGATCTCCCAATGGTCCCTACTGGTGCTGCCTAAATAGGCAGATAGTTTCCCCATGCTAGGTCCCTGGTGCCCACAGGTTGGGGAAAGGAGTCTGCAGACAGTGGGGATGAAAAAACTTCCTAGGCTAGGTGCTTGTTGCAGTAAGTC
The DNA here is from genome assembly GCF_000001405.40 of Homo sapiens. Taxonomy (NCBI): domain Eukaryota; kingdom Metazoa; phylum Chordata; class Mammalia; order Primates; family Hominidae; genus Homo; species Homo sapiens. The sequence goes on from NC_000018.10 coordinate 76,650,987, forward strand.
CTTCTTGCCTGTGTCTCCCATGTCCCTGGTTAGGGGAGGGGAGGCTCAGGTCCTCGGGGAAGTGATTCCTCTGGTCACTTACTAGTGGGGCTTCTGAGTGATCCTTCTTCTTGGTGCTGCTGGGCTTACCTGGTGTTGGTGGTGGGATTCCACAAATCTGGGGGAGGAATGAAGCTACCTGAGCCACCTTCTGTGGCTAGGTTGTGGGTCAGAGTGGATTTTCTTTCTCTGCTGGATGGTGGGTTGTAAGATGCCCTGCTATTATTTTGTTTCTCCAGTCCTGGGACCTCTAACCAGCTTGCCTTCTTCTTTCCATCTTCTAGCGGTCTCCTTTGGTTGTCTCTTGTATTATGTTCAGGGTCTATAGTTTTACTTAGTAGAAGGAGCAGGGAAAACAGCATCCTTCCCATAAGAGCCTGGACTTGAAGTCCTCATTGGACCCCTTTTTATTAGGGGTGAACCCCTCTAATAAAACCTTCAACCAACTTCTTCTTAAACATTATGAGACAGCATTGCATTGACTAACCACACATAAAACAATCAGTAGCAAGGGAAGTAGAATTGCCAAGATTGACTTACAATAACCAGCATCCACTTACTGGGTTCTCAAGACCTGAATAAATCAAGAATCTATTAGCAAAGAAGGAAAAATAGAAAGTTGGCCAGCAGGCTGGGCGCGGTGCCCATGCCTGTAATCCCAGCACTTTGGGAGGCTGAGGTGAGCAGATCACGAGGTCGAGAGATCAAGACCATCCTGGCCAACATGGTGAAACCCCGTCTCTGCTAAAAATGCAAAAGAAAAAAAAATGGCTGGGCGTGGTGGCAGGCACCTGTAGTCCCAGCTACTCAGGAGGCTGAGGCAGGAGAATCGCTTGAACCTGGGAGGAGGAGGTTGCACTGAGCCGAGATCGTGCCACTGCACTCCAACCTGGTGACAGAGGGAGACTCTGTCTCAAAAAAAATTACTAGGATGATGCAAATAAAAATCCCAACATTTATCTTAATAATTATTATTGATGCAGAATTTGGGGTGAAAGAGTGAGTTTGCTATCTATAAATAGGATTCCCAACAGTATCCTCTTCAATTTCCTTCATCAATGTTTTATAGTTTTCATTGTAGAGATCTTTTACTCCTTTGGTTAATTTCTAGGTATTTAATTTTAGTTGTAGTTATTAATATTATAGATGTGATCTTTTTTTCAGATTTTTCACTGTTGGTATATAGAAGTGCTACAATTATTTGTTGATTTTTTATCCTGCAACTTTACTAAATTTGTTTATCAGTTCTAATCATTTTTTGGTGGAGTCTTCAGGCTTTTCCAAATATAAGTTCATATCATCCACAAACGAGGATAATTTGACTTTCTCCTTTGTGATTTGGATGTCCTTTATTTCTTTCTCTTGTCTGATTGCTTTAGCTAGGACTTTCAAGGACTGTGTTGAATAACATAGTGCTGATTGAATAACATAGTGATGAAAGTTGGCATCCTTGTCTTGTTCCAGATCTTAGAGAAAAGGATTTCAGTTACTTCCCATTCAGTATGATACTAGTTGTGGGTCTGTCATATAGGGCTTTTATTATGTTGAGGTATGTCCCTTCTATACCCAGTTTTTTTTTTTTGAGGGTTTTAAGTTACAAAGGGATGTTGAATTTTTTCAAATACTTTTTCTGTGTAAACTGAAACGAACATATTATTTTTGTTCTTCATTCTGTTGATAAGATGTATCGCATTGATTGATTTGATTTGCATACGTTGAACCATCCTTTCATCCCTAGGATAAATTCCACTTGGTCATGATGAATGATCTTTCTAATGTATTATTGACTTTGGTTTGCTAGTATTTTTGCATCAATATTCATCAGGATTTTTTTAATCAATGTTTATTAGGGATATTGGCCTGTAGTTTTCTTTTTTAGATTTGTATTTGTTGGTGTAGGTATCAGGGTAATACTGGCCTTATAGAATGAGTTTGTACTCTATTTTTCAGAATTGTTTGAGTAGAATTGGTGTTAGTTCTTCTTTAAATGTTTAGTAAAATTAGGCAGTAAAACCATTCGGTCTGGGGCTTTTCTTTGCTGGGAGACTTTTTATTATGGCTTCAATGTTGTTATTTGTTATTTTGGATTTCTTCAAGGTGCAACCTGGGTAGGCTGTATATGTCTAGGAATTTATCCATTTCTTCTAGGTTTTCCAATTTCTTGCCATATGGTTGCCCATGGTAGCCTTTAATAATTGTTTCAATTTCTGTGGCATCAGTTATAACGCCTCCTTTTTCATCTCTGATTTTATTTATTTGGGTGTTCTCTCATTTTTTTCTTATTGAGTCTGGCAAAATTTGTCTATTTTGTTGACCTTTTCAAAAAAACAACTTTTGATTTCATTGATTGTACTGTTTTCATTTAAGTTTCATTTCTTTCTGCTCTGATCTTTTTTTTTTTTTTTTTTGAGACGGAGTCTCGCTCTGTCGCCCAGGCTGGAGTGCAGTGGCGGGATCTCGGCTCACTGCAAGCTCCGCCTCCCGGGTTCACGCCATTCTCCTGCCTCAGCCTCCCAAGTAGCTGGGACTACAGGCGCCCGCCACTACGCCCGGCTAATTTTTTGTATTTTTAGTAGAGACGGGGTTTCACCGTTTTAGCCGGGATGGTCTCGATCTCCTGACCTCGTGATCCGCCCGCCTCGGCCTCCCAAAGTGCTGGGATTACAGGCGTGAGCCACCGCGCCCGGCCTCTGATCTTTATTATCTTTATTTCTGTTTTGTTTTTTTGAGACAGAGTCTTGCTGTGTCACCAGGCTAGAGTGCAGTGGCGTGATCTCGGCTCACTGCAGACTCCACCTCCTCAGCCTCCCAAAGCGCTGGGATTACAGACATAAGCCACCGCACCTGGCCACCAGGCTTTTTATTACCATCAGTTCTCATGCAAACTAAGAGTGACAATTCGCACAAGTGAGACTGTCACCAAGCCATTTATGAGAGATCTGTCCCCAAGACCTAAACACCTCCCACCAGGCCCCATCTCCAACACTAGGGAACCAACTTCAACATGTGACTTGGCAGAGCCAAACAAACTATATCCAAACCACAACAGTTCCTGAAGGTGAGGTGTAGCATTTGTGTCTTATTTGAGGGATCCTTTATACATTCTGCCCATAGCAGTGTTGTCTGTCTGGGAATTAATTTTCTCAAAAGGCAGTGACTGTGTCTGTCACATTCACTTTTTGCTGATTCAGCAGTGGTGCTTGAGAACTTCCAGACTGAGTGGAAGGGGTGAGAAAGAAGGGAAGAGCAGGTCTCATGAGTGCACCAGGGAGCCAGGTACTGAGCAGTTAGGAAGAAAGACAGGTGGTGTGTGACAGACTGCCACGGTTACCACTTGAGACTGTCATTACCACAGTTACTACTGTTACTACTTGAGACTGTCATTATGACAATTGCTACTCTTACTACTTGAGACCATCATTATGACAATTACTACTGTTACTACTTGAGACCGTCATTATGAGACTGAATGAAGGGGGATGAACATAGAAATGAAAACTTAAGACAAAAGAAACTGTTTTAAAGGAAAGGGCCAGGGGAAGAAGAGAGCTCCCCGCTTCTAGTGAGCAAAGGCAGCAGCCCTGAGCTTCTCCAGCCCTTTGTATTTATTGGGTAGAAAGAACAGGGAGGAGGAGGTGAGACTGGTCAGCTGCTTAATTGATCACAGGTTCACATTATTGCTAACAGGCTCCAGATGCGTCTAATCCCAAGCAACACTTGTGCCTGGGTTGTGACTGCCCTCAGCATTCCTTCTGGGCTGCAGATGCAGTTTGTCAGTTTGCCAACATCCTGCTTTCATGAGAACAGTTTGCTGTTTACCCATATGGCCTCCAGTGGTGCACTGAGTTGATCACGACCCTCACCCTTTTGGCCTTCAACAGTGGTGGCCAAGGGACAGACTCTGGCGTCACAGGGTCCACTCACTGTGTCTCAGTCTGTTTGGGCTGTTATAGCAAAGTACCATAGGCTGGGTGGCTCATTAGCAACAAAACTGTATTTCTCACAGTTCTAGAGGCTGGCAAGTCCACAGTCAAGGCAGATTTGGGGTCTGTTGAAGACCCATTTTCTGGTTCGTGGATGGTACCTTATTGCTGTGTTCTCACGCAGTGGAAGGGACAGACAAGCAGTCTCTCTTGGGGCCTCTTTTATAAGGCACTAATTCCATCTATGAGAGCTTCAGCCTCATGACCTTATCTGCTCCCAAATGCCCCATCTCCAAATACCACCACCTTGGGAGTTAGGATTTCAATGCTTTGGGTGATGTAAACATTCACACCACAGCCTTGTGGGACACTGGGCAGGTTACCTTCAGTGCCTCATGTTCATTACCTGTGCAGTGGAGGATCGTAACCACACAGGGCGAGAATAAGGCATAAGCAATATCACTAAGGACACCGCCTGGCTAAGAGGTGGCACCAGGAAGTGACTACAGTTTCCATGTTACCTGCATGTGTGCCCCAGGAAGGTCCGACTTTTCCTCTTGGTCCACTTGATCGCCTATTAAGTAGTCTACACACTGTTACAATTTGCTAGTAGTACATCAACTACAAGTTGATGCAATGAAGTTGGCCAAAGGAAAAACGAGGGATCTGGAGTCTGGCTGGATGCCCTTTCCACGGGCTCTTCCCAGAAATGGCTGTGTCTCCCTGCTCCTGGTCCTCCAGGACCCATCTCCTCCCCATGATCCTCTCATGAGTTGTCTTCAAGAGGAGGTAGCCCTTTGCTATTTGAAACCACACAATTAATGGAGAATGCTGGAACGTACTCAACACTAAATCTACTTTATAACTTTTTAGTGTCTTTTATCTGGTGTCTCCAACTTCTGTAAAAGGAAAAGAATTTCAGCCCTAACCAGAATAGCCTTCAGTTACTGATGGTATCAGTAAACACCGAGGGCTTTGCTTGAGAAGATACAGCCACTTCTGGCCATAAATTCATTTTTCAAAGACCCCTTGCCTATAATACCTGGGCAAAACCACTCAAGAACAAATGGTATTGTTCACATTAAACAAAAAAGCAAAATTTCCAACAGCACCACCCCTGCTCATGTCCCACATCTATGGAACCAGTTCTTTACTTTCTGAAGCACAGAGGAGTTTTACTGTCTGGACATACCCAGCAGGAAAGGGTCAATCGTTGGCATTATCTGAGGAAGTCCATGTTTCCCCTTATATGACACCAATAACCAATTGCTGTCGTGAGAGATTTTTCCACATTAACTCACTTAATCCTCATAAGAACCCTATAAGGTAGGGACTATATTTAGCTCCATTTTATAGGAAAATGCGAGAGGAAAGCTGCATCACTTGCCCGATGTTACACGTCCACTAGACGGTGGTTGGGGGACCCGGGTTTGGACTGAGCAGCTCCTGCCTTTGTCATCCATGGCATGCACCCTCTTGCTCGGAGGAGGTCCCCTGCATCAGCCCAATCCTGGCTTGGAAAAGTCTCAACCTAAAATGAGTGAGAGCAGTTTGAGTATCGTGAGTAAAATTTGGAATAAATTAAAGATTTAATGTTCCCTTATTAACAAAACATAACTAGCTGTGCTTCAAAAAGAAAAAAAACACTTTTGAATATTGAAAAGGCATTTCTTTTATTTACATAATGATCTATATCCAGATGTACAGGAAACAAATCCCAGGTTATAACAATACCTACAGCTCCGAGAAAGATACCTCTTATTATGCTGTATTTCTAATACAACTGATTCTAAATACAATTGATCCTCTTAAATTCCATTTTGAAATATTTTCCCCATCTGCTTGCTTACAATCTATTTTTCAGAAGCAACTGAGTATACATTCGACATAAAACTGAAATATTTACTCAAAATGTCAATGCATACTGCTCCTGACACATTTATATGAAGGATAATTTCTTGGTGATTGAATAATTTTTAGGACTACTTTTTGAAACATCCCTTGTAAGTAATTTAGACCTAGACTGTATTTCCTATAATGTTAAGCACTCAGTAACTGTTAAGAGGCATAAATCAGCTTACTTTGTAAATTAGTTTAAGTGATCGCTGCTCCTAGGAAAAACAGAGACTGTTCCCAGTGCCCCTGATGACAGATGGGGGCCAGGATAAGGAGCATCCTGCTCTGTGGACATCTTCTTTTCACTTCTCCCCCTGCATACTTCAAAAAATTCCATTGTCGCTTTTTAAATTACACAAAGGACATTCTAGCAGTGTTATGACTGAGGAGTGCATAAGGTAAATATAGGAAAATACAGATCAACAAATTTGTATAAAAGCATATGTCAACGGCTCCTTCAAATAGGCTCCAAATTGAAGTAGTGGAAGTAACAGTTAACTTTTAGTTGCAAAAGATTAAGAGTCCTGCTCTCTCTTGTGGCACCTCTCTTCCCATTTCTCTGGAACTTTTTGCTTCAATGTAGCTCCATTTATTGTCATGGTGCTTAGGCTGGGGCACTTTGTTCTGGCCATGCAGTTATCTGGGTCTGGATCAGTCCCTTTACTGCAGCCTTTATTGGTACTCAAAGGGTGAGGCTCATAAAAAAACAGGACCAAAGAAATGCAGCCACCACAGCTCAGGAGCCAGGCTAAAGCAGGAAATGATAATGATCTCTACCAGGGCTTTCAAGAGCTCAAAGTACTGTAAGAAAATGTGAATCACGGACCGTCTGAAATGAAGCCCCTCCAAGTCAGGATGGAAAGGAGGTGCCGCCATCTAGGAGAAATGTGTGGAGTAGACGTGGATGAGCAAACCATCTGGAGTTTTATCAGCGTCCTTCTTGTTCCCTGGAAAAAAAAAATGTAAACTTTGCACAAAAAACACCATTTATTATTTATTTTTTTCCTTCCCTTCCCTTGGTAGCTTTCTGAAAAGACCAGAGCTTAATAATTCAATGATCATAAAAATTTCTTCAACTTAATGAGAAATTCAGTTCTTTCCTTGCAGGGCAAAAAATCTCTCACATTCTCACATTGTATCATGGCAGGGAACACTGCATCCGTGTGGAGAAACACCATGATCCGCTGAATAAAATCTCTCAGGAAACCTGAAGCCACTCACTAGACTGTGCAAGGCGGATTAAGATCGAGGGCGACATCGCAGTAGAGTCTATATATAGATGCCCACATGATGAAGAGCTCGAGGAAACCTTTTCTGGTCAACTCACCAAAGCTTTCAGCTACATCTGGTTATGATGGGGCATGAAACTCCTGTTACATTCTGGAAAAACAATTCAGCTGACCACAGACCACCAAGTCGATTTTTGGTCTACACTGGAGAGAACTTCCTCCCTTAGAACGTTGGAGGAATCAGACAGAACAAGGTCTGTTGCTCATCTGATCTCTAACAGGGAAGAGATCATGAGAGATTTAGAAATCAGTCTCTTGGAGGTAGATGGGTTAGAGGAATGAGTGGCAAAAAAAAAAAGACACAATATATAAAGGGAAGAAAACTGAAATCAGAAAAAGAAAGAAAAAGAACTTTCAGAAATATATGTTCTATTTAACACAGTGGATTGACCAGATGGATTTTATCTTCTCTTTTACCTAAAGCTCTGCATAATAGTTTTAAAGATATTATTCATAATAACAAAGAAAATGAGAGGAAAAACAGCAGCCAGTGAGATATTTCAACAAGGTACAGAAAGCAGGAACAGATGAGAGGTGGTAAAGTACAGGGAACGTGTCTACAGCTGAAGATGTGGACAGGAAGAGGTCGTTTACCACAAGGAGCCCAACAAAAAGGGTCTCCTTCCATAGCTGGGCCACAGGGGGAGCTCTTGCCCTCCTTCTCCATCTCACAGGGGTGGGGGCGCTCCATGCAGGGGGCCCAGGAAGAGTTTCCTCAGTGCAGGAGCCCCTGACCACCTGCTCCCAGACAATCAGAAGCCATGGGTGGGCGGCCTTCCCCCGACAGGGGAAATGAATGATGCCCCTAGCCCACAGGCCCTGCCGTGACTCAGTCTGGTTTTTAGTACCTTGGTCGTCAATGTGAAAGGACAGTCTAGCACCACAAAAGATTTGATTTAAAAAAAATAATGAAAGTTACAAAAATTAACATAGAGGAAGCAGTCTATAAAGAGAGCAGAAAAAAACTTTTAAAAAATCTATATTAACATCCTTAGGCAAATGCTGCATTCATAAAACAGCAAGATGAACGCACACGTGCACGCAGACAGAGACTAAATCACAGCTCCTGGAATTTGTAGGAATGACAACTAAAATAAAACAAAATTTCTGGCCAGGCGCAGTGGCTCACGCCTGTAATCCCAGCACTTTGGGAGGCTGAGGCGGGTGGATTACAAGGTCAAGAGATCGAGATCATCCTGGCCAACATGGGGAAACCCCATCTCTACTAAAAATACAAAAATTAGCTGGGCGTGGTGGCGGGCACCTGTAGTCCCAGCTACTCAGGAGGCTGAGACAGGAGAATAGCTTGAACCCAGGGGGCAGAGGTTGCAGTGAGCTGAGATCGCGACACTGCACTCCAGCATGGCGACAGAGCGAGACTCCGTCTCAAAAAAAAAAAATTCTGTAGAAGGTCTGAAGGATGAAGTCAAGTAAAAGTTCACAGAACTAACAAGTGCCCAAATGTAAGAGACCTGCCAAGGACCAGCAGAATGAAAGGAGACATGATCACAGGTCTGTCGTCATGGAATTCCAAGACGCCATCATTCAATAGATGATCTTGAGGGCTTTAAAATGGGAACAACAAACAAGCAGCTCCCAGGTGAAAAGGCATTAGAATGGAAGTGAGTTGCTCAGTCGCAGGGAGGCTGGAAGATGCCGCAGTGCCTTCAATATGGTCACTGTGGCCTGTATTGCAGCCTGGGAGACACAGCTGCCCAGGAGTTGATCTTTGTTGAGGCTGCATGGTGCGTGTTCACAGGGGTCCATTATGCTACTCTCTCTTTTTTTTATATATGTTTAGAGTTTCAAAAATAGAAATTTTAGGACCTACTGTGAAAACCAGCCAAAAACAACAAGGCAACAATAGGAGAAAGTGAATGAAGCCAGCGTTGCCGGTACACACAGATGACGTAAATGGATCGGGTCAGTGGTCAACACCAAAAGAACGGCCTGGAGGAGGGTCTGGCTCTATTGGACATTTTCTTTGATAAAAATAAAAAGTAAATAGGGAAATGCTAAGTGGAAAGCTATAGTAAAACTGTAGTTTTATATCAAACCATAAAACATGAAGGTAAAATAAAGACGTGTAGTCCTGCCGGGCCCTCAGAACCGTGCCCCTCTGCACCCTTCTTAGGATGCTACTGAAGGATGCCTACCTTCTGGAGGAGAAGAGGAAGGCCCCAACCCTGGGAAACAGGGTCCCACAGATAACAGTAACAGTGGGAGGGTCCAGGAGTGACTTCAGCTGCTCATCAGGTCCAGGGAGCGATCAGTCCAGGCTGATCTGCCCCTCCAAACACTCCATCTGCCCCCCGCCCCATCTCCCTTCCCATCTGTCTACAAGAACACAAAGAGGGGCGAAGATAAGGCAAAGGGATGGGGCTGTGGGTCCTAGGTGCAGTAGACACAGCTATGGCTCCCAATCAGGTGTCTCTCCCAAAACCAAGTTCATGGGGTGCACACCAAATGGGGACTCACAGTGATTAGAGCTGTTTTCATAGGAGAGAGGGGTCCCAATCCCCAGGGAGATGCTGGCCCAGCCAATCCAGTTGTATTTGGAGGGAGAGACCAGAATGGGGAGGAGGAGCAGGCAGAGGATGTCTGTACCAGCTGCCATCACTGTCTCCACTGTGAGGATGGTTCATTTTCCTTCACCAGTTGGCCTCCTTGGGAAGTAGCCAGGAATGGTTGGTGCCTCTTCCAAGAAGGCCTGGCAGCACGAGGGGCTTGTTGCAGCAAGAGGCTGGGGGTGAACAGCCTCAGGCAGGTGGGGCCCCGCCCTGGAGGGGCTGGGGACAGAGTTGGAACAGGCCATCTGGAGTCAGCTTACCTCTTTAGGGACACGAACAGGGACACCCCTCACCCGTACACTGCGTACATCCATACTCTGAAGAATTCACGCCATGCCCAGGGGGGACCAGCATCCAGCCCCCTGTATTGGTGTGTCACCTGTGTTTGCCACAAGAACGGCAACATCCAAACTTCATCTTCCTGAAGTCACAATTCAGCTAGATCACAAAAACAGGGTCTTCGCGAGTGGTGCAGCTGTAAGGTGGCAAAGCGTATGAGGACTCCACAGCACAGGAGAAATAACAAACACTCATATACTGCCAGGTCTACTAGGTGAAGGAAAAAGGTTTTTAAAACTCCCTTTCTGAAAGAGGAAAGCAAAACAACAGAATGTATATATTTTTAATGTTTGAATTAATTATCTTTGCTGAAGAATGCTTCTGTGAACATCAAACTTGCATAACCTCCATATAGATGCACGGGTGGAAAAGCAAATTAATAGAGGAAGACGAATAACCAAATAATCACTTTGCAAAGGGTGCGTTTGCTCTGGGGAAGTCTGATGTTTTACACTCCTGGCCATTTTACACATTGGCACACATCAGTCACTGTGGGACACAGGCAGTCACAGGAGAAGTCCCAGAGGACAAAGAGAGTCTCCGGAGGATTTTCAAAGGAGACACTGTGGCCATTGTTTAAAAGAGATGACCTAGTACCCAGTTACAGACTCTTCACCTTTGAATCAATACTTGGAAAGATCCTGGAACAAATAATCAGATACTCAATTGGCCATCAACTAGAAGGGTGGAAGATGCTAGGAAGGAACCGGCAAATGTTCCTGAAGGGCAAATGGAGTCGTGTAACCCAAGGCCCCACTTCAAAGCTTAAGAACACAGGGAACCAGAGGCCGTGGCTCAAACCTGTAATCTCAGCACTTAGGGAGGCAGAGGTGGGAGGATCTCTTGAGCCCAGGAGTTCAAGACCAGTCTGTGAAACATAGTCAGATCCCATCTTTACAATTTTTTTTTTTAATTAGCCAGGAATGGTGGTGTGCCCCTGTGATCCCAGCACTTTGGGAGGCTGAGGTAGGAGGATCCCTTGAGCCCAGCAGTTCAAGACCAGTCTGGGAAACAGCCAGATCCCATCTTTACAATTTTTTTAAATTAGCCAGGAATGGTGGTGTGCCCCTGTGGTCCCAGCACTTTGGGAGGCTGAGATAGGAGGATCGCTTAAGCCCAGGAATTTGAGGCTGTGGTGAACTATGATGGTCCCACTGCACTCCAGCCTGGGCAACAGAGTAAGACCCTGTATCAAAAAACAAAACAAAGCAAAAAAGAATACAGGGTGCCAAGGACCCCTGGAGGTCGAGCACTGCAGTTGCCAACAAACTTGCTAAGGTAAGAAGTATTGTAGGGTATTGTGATACATCTCTTAAGCACCTATAAATAGTGTATTTAGATACAAATCTTTCTAAACATGAAAGATAAAATGTAACACATATACAATAGGGTATAAGGGCTGAAGAGCAAAACCCTAGCAAGACTGCACCTGAGCAGCTAGAGCAAAGAATTCGAGGGCCACACAGGGGTAACCAGTTTCCTGACATAAAACTATCTGTTCCTTACCCAATTCCAGAGAGGTTTGCAAATACTAATCCAACCATATCAACCAAGAGAAGGGAAGGCAAGTTGCAAAGTGAATGCCGGAGAAGAATTACTCCTAGCATTTGTATTATTCTGTTTAATAACAGTCACAACAAAAACAAGGGCTAACGTTATTTGAGCTTGCTAATCTGCCAAAAAATGTCCTAAGCACTTTAATCTTTTAACCCACATAATCAGTATAACAACCCTCTGAAGGTGAACTCTTATTATCCGCGTTTTACAAATGATCCAGCTGGGGCCCTGAGAAGTAGAGCAGCTCGTCCAAGACCACACAGCTCAGAAGAGAAAACAACATAGTTCGCCAAAACCAAAGAACACAAGGAAACTTTCATGCTTTAATGTTCCTCAAACTCACTCACATGGCATGATGAACTGATAAAGATATCCCGCTAAATATAATTAAATGTAACATTTTGTGCTAGATCAAATAGTACATTTGCTTTTACTCATTTCAAGTATAAAAAGCAACAGGTATTAGAGAAAATTAAAAAGCATTTTTAAATTTTTTTATTATACTTTAAGTCCTGGGGTACATGTGCAGAATGTGCAGGTTTGTTACACAGGTATACATGTGCCATGGTGGTTTGCTGCACCCATCAACCCGTCATCTACATTAGGTATATCTCCTAATGCTATCCCTCCCCTAGCCCCCACCCCCTGACAGGCCCTTGTGTGTGATGTTCCCCTCCCTGTGTCCATGTGTTCTCATTGTTCAACTCCCACTTATGAGTGAGAACATGCAGTGTTTGGTTTTCTGTTCCTGTGTTAGTTTGCTGAGGTTGATGGTTTCCAGCTTCATCCATGTCCCTGCAAAGGCCATGAACTCATCCTTTTTTATGGCTGCATAGTATTCCATGGTGTATATGTGCCACATTTTCTTTATCCAGTCTATCATTGATGGGCATTTGGGTTGGTTCCAAGTCTTTGCTATTGTGAACAGTGCTGCAATAAACGTATGAGTGCATGTGTCTTTATAGTAGAATGATTTATAATCCTTTGGGTATATACCCAGTAATGGGATTGCTGGGTCAAATGGTATTTCTGGTTCTAGATCCTTGAGGAATCGCCACACTGTCTTCCACAATGGTTGAACTAATTCACACTCCCACCAACAGTGTAAAAGAGTTCCTATTTCTCCACACCTTCTCCAGCATCTGTTGTTTCCTGATTTTTTAATGATCTCCATTCTGACTGGCATGAGATGGTTTCTCATTGTGGTTTTGATTTGCATTTCTCTGATAACCAGTGATGATGAGCTTTTTTTCATGTTTGTTGGCTGCATAAATGTCTTCTTTTGAGAAGTGTTTGTTCACATCCTTCACCTACTTTTTGATGGGGTTGTTTGCTTTTTTCTTGTAAATTTGTTTAAGTTGCTTGTAGATTCTGGATATTAGCCCTTTGTCAGATGAATAGATTGCAAAAATTTTCACCCGTTCTGTAGGTTGCCTGTTCACTCTGATGAGAGTCTCTTTTGCCGTGCAGAAGCTCTTTAGTTTAATTAAATCCTATTTGGTAATCTTGGCTTTGGTTGCCATTCCTTTTTGTGTTTTAGTCATGAAGTCTTTGCCCATGCCTATGTCCTGAATGGTATTGCCTAGGTTTTCTTCTAGGGTTTTTATGGTGTTAGGTCTTACATTTAAGCCTTTGATCCATCTTGACTTTATTTATTTATTTTTTTTGAGACGGAGTCTCACTCTGTTGCCCAGGCTGGAGTGCAGTGGCACAATCTCGGCTCACTGCAAGCTCTGCCTCCCGGGTTCATGCCATTCTCCTGCCTCAGCCTCCGGAGTAGCTGGGACTACAGGCGTCCACCACCACGCCCGGCTAATTTTTTGTATTTTTAGTAGAGACGGGGTTTCACCATGTTAGCCCGGATGGTCTTGATTTCCTGACCTCGTAATCTGCCCACCTCAGCCTCCCAAAGTGCTGGGATTACAGGCATGAGCCACTGCACCCAGCCTTGAGTTAATTTTTGTATAAGGTGTAAGGAAGGGGTCCAGTTTCAGTTTTCTGCATATGGCTAGCCAGTTTTTCCAACACTATTTATTAAATAGGGAATCCTTTCCCCATTGCTTGTTTTTGTCAGGTTTGTCAAAGATCAGATGGTTGTAGATGTGTGGCATTATTTCTGAGGACTCTATTCTGTTCCATGGTCTATATATCTGTTTTGGTACCAGTACCATGCTCTTTTGGTTACTGTAGCCTTGTAGTATAGTTTTAAGTCAGGTAGCGTGATGCCTCCAGCTTTGTTCTTTTTGCTCAGGATTGTCTTGGCTTTATGGACTCTTTTTTGGTTCCATATAAAATTTAAAGTAATTTTTTCTAATTCTGTGAAGAAAGTCAATGGTAGCTTGATGGGGATAGCATTGAATCTATAAATTACTTTGGCCAGTATGGCCATTTTCATGATATTGATTCTTCCTATCCATGAGCATGGAATGTTTTTTCATTTGTTTGTGTCTTCTCTTATTTCCTTGAGCAGTGGTTTGTAGTTCTCCTTGAAGAGGTCCTTCACATCGTGCCACTGCACTCCAGCCTGGGCCACAGAGTGAGGCTCCAACTCAAAAAAAAAAAAAAAAAAAAAAAAGACAACAGCATTTCTTCCTCTTGAGTTTTCTAAATTACATTTAACAGTTGAAGCAAAACATTATCACTGTCTGATGTGGTTCTTAATGCAAGTAGAAGGAATATTTAAGTCAATTAAGGGAGGATAAAGGGACTTTAAAAAGTGACGATTTCTACACTTCACTCAAACTGTGCTGACATTTGCACCGGAAGACGGCGCTGAGTTACGTATATGTAATATAATACGTACAGCAACCAAAAAACAATGGAGACAAAGAGGTGTACTCAAAAATTTATAGATCAATTAAAATGGAAATCTATACAATATTCAAGTAACCCATAGGCAGGCAGGGAAAAAAAAAAGAAGGAAAAGAAAAATAGGAAACAAACAGAAAACAACAAAAAATAACTAAATAAAATGACAGACATAAGCCCTAACATATTCATAATTACATTAAATTTAAATGGGTTATGGCCAGGCACGGTGGCTCACGCCTGTAATGCCAGCACTTTGGGAGGCCGAGGCGAGTGGATCACCCGAGGTCAGGAGTTTGAGACCAGCCTGGCCAACATGGCAAAAACCCATCTCTACTAAAAGTACAAAAATTAGCCAGGTGTGGTGGCGCATGCCTGTAATTCCAGCTACTCCGGAGGCTGAGGTAGGAGAATCCCTTAAACCCAAGAGGCGGAGATTACAATGAGCTGAGATCACGCCTCTGCACTCCAGCTTGGGTGAGAGAACAAGACTCCATCTCAAAAAAAAAAAAAAAAAAAAAAAAAAAATTACTGGTTGTCAGGGGTTAGGGATGGTGGGGATAGGGAGGGAAGTGGCTTTCACTGTAAAAGAGTACCAAAGGGGAGGTCTTTGAGTTGATGGAACAGCTCTGTATCTTGAATATGGTGGAGGTTACACAAATCCACGCCTGTCTTAAAATGGGATGGAACTATACACACACACTGTAGCAATGCCAGATTCTTGGTTCTGATATTGTACTATAGATGTAACAATTGGGAGAAACTGGGTGAAGGTTATGTGAGATGTCTCTGTATTGTCTTTGCAACTTCCTGTGAATCTATATTTCAAAATAAAAAGTTAAAATTAAACAGCAGAAGTCTTACCAGGAAAAAGTACAAAGTAAAGAAAAAAGTAAATATTCTGACAAGATTAAGCTGTCCTGGCTGAGTATAAAAGACATACTGATTTAGCATAGAAAGAGTAACTGACTGAGCTGAACGCAGCCAGCAATCGAGCTCAGCCCTGGAAAACCTGCCATGACCCAGCAACGGTCTTCAGAGAGTCCGACAGGCACAGCATGAAGAACGATGCTTGTTTCTTTCTTTGGCATTACTCAGACTTTTGTTAAAAATGTGTACAGCTTTTGATTTTATACTTTTAAAAAGATGTTGCTCTATTAGTCTAAGATAAAAAATAATTAATAAGTGGTATAAGAAGGCTAAATAAATTAAGGGGGAATTTAATAATAAGATGGCAGAGAATGCTTGATTGTTTCTTCAAATTAAAGATGAATTTATAAAAAGGAGTACTGATTAGTTTTCATGCATCTGTAATAATAAACAATTAAAGCAAGAGCTTTAAGAGGTATGTATAGCACCGTTCTCACACTGCTATAAAGAACTTCCCAAGACTGGGTAATTTATAAAGGAAAGAGGTTTAATTGACTCACAGTTCTGCATGGCTGAGAAGGTCTCGGGAAACTTACAATCATGGCGGAAGGGGAAGCAGGAATCTTTTTCCAAGGTGGCAGGAGAGAGACTAGTGAACAAAGGAGGAACTTCCAAAGACTTTTAAAACCATCAGATCTCATGAGAACTCACTCAGTATCACGAGAACAGCATGGGAGAGACTGCCGCCATGATCCAATCACCTCCCACCAGGTCTCTCTCTCAACACCTGGGGGTTAGAATTCAAGATGAGCTTTGGGTGGGGACAAAAAGCCTAACCATATCAAGGTACTTTCATAAAATTCTCATTTAACTTTAGAATCTTGCACAATATTATGCAATACTCTGCAGTTCCATAACTTTTTATTTTTTTGAGATGGACTCTCGCTCTTGTTGCCTAGGCTGGAGTGCAATGGCACAATCTCAGCTCACTGCAACCTCTGCCTCCTGGGTTCAAGCAATTCTCCTGCCTCAGCCTCCTGAGTAGCTGGGACTACAGGGGTGCACCACCACGCCCAGCTAATTTTTGTATTTTTAGTAGAGACGGTGTTTCACCATGTTGGCTAGGCTGGTCTCAAACTCCTGACGTCGTGATCTGCCCTCCTTGGCCTCCCAAAGTGCTGGGATTACAGGTGTGAGCCACGGCACCCAGACAGTTCCATAACTTTTATGCAACTCAGACATGACCAGGAATCGCCTGCTTGTATATTCAATGAAGTCATTAACTTGACGGTCCCGGGTTCACCCACCTTTGCCCACCCAGCATGGCCAGCAATTCACCTGAAGTTTCCTCCCAAAGACTTCTCAGCATCTCTGAGGAAGTGCTCCGGGTTTACTCCGGGTCAGCTGGCTCCAGCTACCATCTATCTGGCTTCTAAGACAGCTCCTCCTCACGCTGCCGCCAAGACAGTGCCCAGACTGACCAAACTCCCTGCCCCCTGTTGTGGCTGTGCCGAGTGGTCACAATAACCCCTGTGGTGCTGGACTTCACGCAGAGAGTGGGAAACGCCCTCAGCTCAGCGGCCCTAAAGCTGCTTCACTGCTCCCGGGGCCTCACAGGCTCTCGGTGAAAGCATTTGCTGATGCATGTGGTAGGATGGGGAAGGGTATTTGGGGCTGTGTGTGTGTGTGTGCCCGCTCACACGCACATGTGTACATACATATCTATGTCTATATTTGCATATACACATATATGTATATATAAAAAATAGGCCGGGCACAGTGGCCCACACCTGTAATCCCAGCACTTTGGGAGGCTGAGGCAGGCAGATCACGAGGTCAGGAGATCGAGACCATCCTGGGTAACATGGTGAAACCCCGCCTCTACTAAAAAATACAAAAAATTAGCCAGGTGTGGTGACACGTACCTGTAGTCCCAGTACTCCAGAGGCTGGGGCATAAGAATCTCTTGTACCCGGGAGGTGGAGGTTGCAGTGAGTCATGATTGTGCCACTGCACTCCAGCCTGGGTGACAGAGCAAGACTCTGTCTCAATCAGTCAATAAATACAGTACTCTGGTAGACATCACCATGTTTCCACCTGCTCTGGGAACAAGGCGCTCTCACTGATGAGAAGGAGGACTGCTGGATTTGCTGTGTCCTTGGGCCACAAACCTCTCAGCCAAGGAGCCTCCAACCTCCTCCCCGAGCCGAGCGTGGTCACTGCCTGCTCTTCCTCTAAGCTGCCTCTTCCTGAACTTTTTTTCTGCTCTGGTGAGCAATTCTGACCCATTAAGGCTGGAACAGGTGTGCAGAGAGAGAGATGGACTTCCCACCAAGGAACACAGGACGTCCCGCTGGAAGCAAGTTCCACTGCAACCGTGGGTCCTTCAGGAGCATGACTGAGGAAACAAGAAATGCAATGCCATTGAGAAGGCCACTAGGCAGCCCTGCAACCCGAGAAGGAGTCAAGATATTTGAACAAAGCTGGGGAAAGCCAGCTCTTTGAGGCCTGTCCTAACTTCAGGGGAGTGAAAGAGATTCCAGGGGAGGAATAGAGGCACTGAGCCACAGGGTCTTCACAGAACATGCTTCCGGGAGTGCTGCTGGTGCTGACAGAGTGACATCCCTGTGCTAACTCAATCATGAGGGTGTTGTTGAGAAAAGCCTCCTACAATTGGCATATTACTTTTGTCAATCATCATGTTTCCCTTTTTCCCACAGTTGCCAAAGGACTCAAGGCTAAGTTTCGTATTTTGTTAAAGTAAATTTTGTGTTTTGTATTGAATTTCTGACGTTTATTTTAGCCCTTTTCTCAATTCATCCTCACACTTTGTCTTTATTGATTTTATTTTTTCCAGTGCCCAGAAGAGGGCAGAGCCTGGACATCCTAGAAAGTGGTCTTCATGACAGAGGATTCCTGCCAATGACTTGGATGTAGCTTTCCAAAGCTGTGTGAAGAAATACAGCTTTGGCGTGACTAATGAGGACAGATGTGGAATTTCTGCTCCTGAGAAATCTTTAAACACAAATAATATACTATTTTTTGTTCCGTACAAGCTAGAAATTTACCTAAGGACAAGAAGCTAGTCCTGGTAATATCCCGTGATCCTTTTTAGTTGTAGTTTCCTATGGCTTAGCAATTCATCGGAATATGAAAGTATTCAAGGCCAAGATGGTGGCTCACGCCGGTAATGCTAGCACGTTGAGGGGCCGGGACAGGTGGATCACTTAAGGCCAGGAGTTCAAGACCAGCCTGGGAAATATGGTGAAACCCCATCTCTACTAAAAATACAAAAATCAGCCGGGAATGGTAGTGCATGCCTGTAATCTCAGCTACTCAGGAGGCTGAGGCACAAGAATTGCTTGAATCCAGGAGGCAGAGGTTACAGTGAGCTGAGATCGCAGCACTGCACTCCGTCCTGGGTGACAGAGCAAGACTCTATTAAAAAAAAAAAAAAGTATTCAAGGGCGTTCATATTGTTAAAGTGATAACATCTCATTTTTCATAAAAGTTAGATATGATTTAAATCATTAATTTAAGACAGAGTTTTTCTAAATTTTAGACGAGCAATATTAACTAAACATACGCAACACTTATGATCATATAGAAATACAAACACAAGTCTGTTGGCTTTTAAAGAACAAAATGCAAGAACTCCAAATAGACTATGACCACACTTTTGTCTGCTTTTAACACTGCGTGAAGCTAAATGTCCTGCCACATTTTAGTGTATGTAATGTGTCAAAACCAAGCAGTATCTTACATTAAAACATTATTTGTCAACAATTCATGCTTTTATCACATAATTTTAAAATAAGTAGAACAATAAAAAATAATTAAATGGAGAACATCACTGTTTCCATGGGAAAAGTCAAAATGTGTCTCTATAGATTATACAAATCATCAGTGTTTGTGTTAAGATGGAAGGTATAGTACAATCTTCAATGACATACTGACCAAAAAACACCTCTTTAAAAAATTACTTCTTCATGACGTACCATGCAAAAATGATTATATAACTTTTAAAATTCCCTCAGGGGCTGGGCACGGTGGCTCACACCTGTAATCCCAACACTTTGGGAGACCGAGGTGGGCGGATCATGAGGTCAGGAGATTAAGACCATCCTGGCCAACGTGGTGAAACCCCATCTCTACTAAAAATACAAAAAAATAGCTGGGCGTGGTGGCAGGTGCCTGTAATCCCAGTTACTAAGGAGGCTGAGGCGGGAGACTCGCTTAAACCTGGGAGGTGGAGGCTACACTGAGGTGAGATCTTGCTACTGCACTCTAGCCTGGGCTACAGAGCAAGATCCTGTCTCAAAAAAAAAAAAAAAAAAAGAGGGAGAGGTGGGACCCCTTAGGGGCAGGTAACCAGAAACCAGCCCAAACAACTGCTCTCCTGTTCTGCCCATGGGATAGATGAGGAAATCATAGACGGCCTCTGCCCTAATAATAGCGCTTCACATTCTAGAAAATAGCGGTCATTTCCTAAGCCGCTGTCCTCTCCAGACAAAACAATCTTCTTTTGATGTTTTCTCTGAGGCCCTCTTGTCTAAACTTTGATGAAACGCAATTAGGAAACACGGAGAGGCATTATAATTTATCTGTCCATGGCTTCGTCTCAATGATAAATTTTTCTAGCCTTTGAATGTCATTATAAGTGTTGTTCATTATCAGAATTTCCAATTACAAAAAGGTTAATGCCAAAAGCAGAGCGGGTGGCAACAGGGAGGAAACTACACTGTTTGGAAAGGCTGTGTGTTCAAAGGAACGTTTCCCACTCGTTTTACCAAAATTGCCTCGGATTTCTTGGCCTCTCCTCATGACTTGGAGTGGTTCTGGAGCTGAGATGGGGTTTCCACAGTTTCCTTCCCGTCCTACCCCCCAGGGAGGGGAGGGAACATCTCATTGAACTTCCCTTCAGCTTGGACCTGCTCTTGGTATCACTAAGCTCTCAACTGAAATGTAAAATCTTTTTATTAACTTTGAAAACATATGTACTTAAATTTTAAAGATCCAAGTAATCCAAGTTGAAAGAAAAACAATCCTCCTACCAATGACTAAAATTAACCATATGTGCTACAGGGATGATCAGTCCAAAAACAGGCCCTGGTCATCCCGTTCTCGGTTTGTGATTAAATTTACAATTGAATGCCAGAACAGGTGAAACTGTGATCCTGTGTAGGATGTATCCATACTTGGAGAGTCTGTAGGTTTCAAACAGCTGATGACACACTTAGATTCAATTAAAATGTGTGCTGCAAGACAGATAGTAAAACCACACTAATTATAAATCCTGAAAAGCACTTTTCTTTGTTTTTACTATTTTAAGGTAAATAAGTTTCTCATGTCCTGTGGCTCCCCTCCTTGTTAATGTTGTAAATGACATGTGAATTTTTTGAGTTGTCTTTTTTGGTCTTCAAAGAATCTCCATACTTCATTTCACTCCCCATTGCAACAGTCCTGGGAAGTTGGCAAAGTGCTACAAAGAGCTCCACTGAGGACACGAAGAGCTGAAGCTCAGGGCGAGAGATCTGCCCAGACTCGGGCTCAGGGAATGCAGAACCCAGGTCTTTTCAGATGCATCTCTCTGGGCTGTTCCTGTCTTGTCTCAAATCCTCATATTGTCAGAGGTGTGTGAACCAGAGCAACTCCATCTTGAATAGGAGCTGGGTAAAATGAGGCTGAGCCCTACTGGGCGGCATTCCCAGATGGTTAAGGTATTCTAAGTCACAGGATGAGATAGGAGGTCAGCACAAGATACAGGTCATAAAGACCTTACTGATAAAAACAGATTGCAGTAAAGAAGCTAAAACCCACGTAACCAAGATGGCGACGAGAGGGACCGCTGGTCATCGTCCTCACTGCTACACTCCCATGCCATGACAGTTTACGAATGCCATGGCAGCATCAGGAAGTTCCCCGATATGGTCTAAAAGGGGAAGGCATGAATAATCCAACCCTTGTTTAGCATGTCATCCAGAAATAATCATAACAATTGGCAACTAGAAGCCCTTGGGTCTCCTTTGTCTATGGAGATAAAGGACAAAAAAAAGGGTTACCTACGCCTAAGGGGTCCCACCTCTCCCTGTCTTTTTTTTGTGTGTGTATCTTTTTTTGTCTTTTATTCCTTTACTTTCTTAATAAACTTGCTTTCACTTTACTGTATGGACTTGCCCTGAATTCTTTCTTGCGCCAGATCCAAGAACCCTCTCTTGGGGTCTGGATTGGGACCCCTTTCCTGTAACAATATGGCGATGAGTTACTTTTAAGCAAGTTATGACCTCAGAATCTGTTGAACTTGAAATAAAGTTCTGTCCCCTTGTTGTTATTTAAATGTCCCTCCCCAAACTCATGTTGAAATGTAATTGCCATTGTAAGAGTATTAGAGGTGAGGCCTTTAGCAGGCAATCAGGCCACAGGGCTGTGTCCTTCTGCATGGGCTAATGCCAGCATAAGAGGATACACTGGGCCACGTGCCTCTCTTTATCTCACCGTGCTCACTAGTCCTTCCACCATGTGCTGACGCAGCATGAAGGCCCTCACCAGATGTGGCCTCTGGATCTCAGACTTCCCAGCCTCCAGAACCATGAGCAAATAAACTAATTTTTTTCTATAGGTGACTCAGTCTGTGGTATTCTGTTTCAGCAGCAGAAAATGGAGCAAGACTCCCTCTTCTAGCAAGAGATATGCAACTCACTTATCCAGAAAACCATAACATGGGCATCACCCCTGCTCCCTAATCTTACCGTAACCTGGTGCTGCTCAGCCTTCCTATGTGGGTTTTTACCCCAACTGTGACTCTACTTTCTGATTAGTAGCTGCTTTTCTTTTTAAATTTTATGACAATGTATAAACATTTACTGAAAAGACAAGTTTAAGAGCATTAATAATTCTACAAATCTAGAAGTTTTTCTTACCGTTTTGCATTTTATTGTCTAATCTGTGCAGATGCATCAATATTTTATAGTCTCACCATGATGAGTTGGAGGAACAACCGTCAACGCTGCCTGTATTCATTTCCCAGGTTACCATAAAAAATCACCACACACTGGGTGGCCGAGAATGACAGAAATGTATTCCCTTCCAGTTTTGGAGGCTGCCAGTCTGAAGTCAAGGTGTCAGCAGGCCCATCTCCTTCTGAAGGTTCCGGGGAGGATCCTTCTGGGTCTGGTGGCCCCAGAAATCCTCGGTGTTCACGTTCCCTGGCTGTGAACTTGTCATCATGCTCTCTGCTGCTGGCGTCACGTGCTGTCCTCCCTGTATGTCCCTGGGTCAGGGCCTCCTACTGTAGGACAGCCTCATCTTAACTCGATTTCGTTTGCAGACACTCTATTTCCAAATATGGTCACATTCACAGGGTCAGGGGTTAAGACTTAAATGTGTCTTTTGGGGGGACCCCACTCACCCCACAATAGTGTCCTGTAGTCGCCTCAGTGTGGAGGTGATGAGCGGGCAGCCATTTGTCAGAAGCTAACAGGAGGCTCCCGAAAGATCCATCAGACTTTCCTAAAGCAGAGAGCAAATCCAAAGGAAGCCCACCCCAGTCACCACCCACCCCGGTCACCGCCTGCCCCATGTATCATCACACGGCTTGACTTGCTGGTGGCAACCGTCCTTACACCAAGAGAGGAAGTGTTGTGTGTTCTCAGCTCATTTATTATAGGAAACCAGGCAAACCAGGCAAAGCAAATTGCCAAGGGCCAAAGGGCATGGTGAGAGCCTAAGGACGCCAGAAAAAAAATGTAACTGATTGAAATATAATTGGGTGATGGATTTACAGCTGCGTTTTCCTTAAGGGTTGCCTTCTGAGTAGTGTGAGAGACGCCAAGTTCCCCACTTCACAACGGACTCCGCTTTTGTGAATCTAAAGGAGAAGCTGAGAAGCCCCAGTTCACTCCTGATGTGATTTGGCTGTATCCCCACCCAAAATCTCGTCTTGTAGTCCCCATAATCCACATGGGTCAAGGGAGAGTCCAGGTGCAGGTAATTGAATCATAGGGGCGGTTTCCCCCAAGCTGTTCTCATGATAGTGAGCGAGTTCTCACGAGATCTGACGGTTTTTAAGTGTTTGGTTGTTTCTCCTGCGTTCATTTTCCTTACTGCTGCCTTGTGAAGAAGGTGCCTTGCTTCCCCTTCAACCATGGTGTAAGTTTCCTGAGACCTCCCCAGCCATGGTGAACTGTGAGTCAGTTAAACCTCTTTCCTTTATAAATTACCCGGTCTTCGGCAGTTCCTTATAGCAGTGTGAAAACGGACTAATACAGCTCCCAAGCAACCAACTTGTGACTTTCCTTCTATCACAAATGACCCCACCTGACCAGGGTGTAAACGGCTTGGGAGGAACAGCATTTCTTCCTGGGGCGAAAAGGAAGGGAGTGCTGAGAGCAGGGTCGCAGGTCCCCACACCAGGTCTGAATCCCTGCTGGCTGCATCTGCAGGCTGGAGGGGAAGTGGGCCCTGGGTGCAGGACCCCTGCAGGAGGCCATCACAGGGTCCCTCCTGGGGCTCCAGGCAGGAGGAGCCACAGGCTCTCAAGGTCGCTGGGACCCCGTACCTGTGGACCTGAGCCTCTCACAGCACGTGTGTCCCCCACTGGTCTCTGTTTTCCCTAATGAGGTTGCTCCTGGTCCTGTCTTAGGATCTTTGACCCTGAGTGTCACTGTCTGGAACTCTTTCCCATGAGAACTGCTCAGGGCTGTCTTCATCTCCTCCTGCTTCAGGTCTCAGCTTCAACGTTCTCCCTCATGAGCCCCCAACCACTCTGTCTAAAGGCCCTCCCTTCCTCACTCCCCAGCCTTGTCTGCTTCCTTTCCTGGATGTCTTTCCTTCCTGGGAAGTCTACACAGCTTCCCTGTTGGTTTCTTGCCTAATAAAAGCAGAGCCTCGTGGGATTCCCCACAGTGTCCCCAGAGCCTGGAAAGGTGCCTGAATGCAGGAGGGCTCAGGGCACGCAGAGATGGCCTCAGACAGGAGCCGGCAGAACAGCCCACACAGCAAGGACTTCTGCTCCATCATCCCAGCTGCCATGTCACACTCAGCTCCCAGCCTGTGCTGCCTCGGGTCTGCTCTCCCGGGATACAGTGTCCCATTGCCAGCCCCCGCCCCACACTGCTGCCCCTACGCCCATCCTGCAGGTGTTCTTTGAATGGACCCTCCAGCATCATTTGCCCAATCCTGATCACTGTCCCGCTCCACCTGGGGCCATATCTTCCCCACTCTGCCTCCTGGCCCCTGTACAACTGGCTCCCCAGGCTCCAGTGGGGCATGGAACCCCAACTAGCAAAGGAGACAATTCCTTTCCCATGCAGGCCAAGCCAGTTACAGCCCCGGAAGCTCAGTCCCAGGACTCTGCTAAGAGCTACCCCGAGCAGGTGACAGTCCTCATGACAACAGCAACAGTGATAGCTGGTGTATACTAAGTGTTTTTGGGTCCCACCCACTGTCCTGAGCCACTCACGGATATTAGCTCCCTTATTTCTCTAAACGGCCCCATAAAGCAGGCTGCCTCGTCTCTGGGTGTGGCGGTGGAGATTGCAGGGGTTGCTCTGAAACAAGCGTTTGACTCTTGTGCCCGAGAGCTCTGTGACCGGAACTGGGAACCCTATACTTTTGTCTTCTTGGACAGCTCATTTCTGTGTTCAATGCAACAAAATGTGGGATTTTTTTCCCCCATAAATAGTTCAAAGAAGCAATTGTCCTGATGTGGTAATGTGACTTTCGACATAATGGAGATATTTTCCACCCTTATTTTTATAATTAGTGTCCAAATTGCTCAAAGATAAAGCAAATTTTGCATTTATGAAGTTTAAAAGCAAAGGGTTTCTAACCTGACATCTAAACTTTTCACAATTCCCATCTTCACCTACCCATCAACATCCATTTAACAATGTCAACATCATACTCCCACAGTGCCATACGTAATTTTCCGAACACGGGAGATTTTTAAAAAGAGTTGTTGGCTGGGCGCAGTGGCTCACACCTGTAATCCCAGCACTTTGGGAGGTTGAGGAAGGTGGATCACCTGAGGTCAAGAGTTCAAGACCAGCCTGACCAACGTGGAGAAACCCCATCTTTACTGAAAAAAAAAAAAAAACAAAATTAGCCGGGCGTGGTGGCACAGCTACTCGGGAAGCTGAGGCAGGAGAATTGCTTGAATCTGGGAGGCAGAGGTTGCAGTGAGCCAAGATCGTGCCATTGCACTCCAGCCTGGGCAACAAGAGCAAGACTCCGACTCAAAAAAAAAAAAAAAAAGAGTTGTCAGTGTAGTAGCATAATTTTTATAACTGTGGGTAGGGATTAGAAATCTGGAGAAAGAAGTGAAAGAGAATGAAGCAAGCTGCCATTTAAGGTTTCATATCTCAAGAAGACATTAAGCAAGATTGTTTTTCAATTTAACAGCAGAAGTTGCTGTCCAAATTTGTCAAAAAAGAAAAACAAATCCTAAATTGTCGGCCAGGCACAGTGGCTCACGCCTGTAATCCCAGCACTTTGGGAGGCTGAGGCAGGCGGATCATGAGGTCAGGAAATCGAGCCCATCCTGGCTAACACGGTGAAACCCCATCTCTACTAAAAATACAAAAAAATTAGCCAGGCGTGGTGGCGGGCGCCTGTAGTCCCAGCTATTTGGGAGGCTGAGGCAGGACAATGGCGTAAACCTGGGAGGCGGAGCTTGCAGTGAGCCGAGATCGGGCCACTGCACTCCAGCCTGGGTGACAGAGCGAGACTCCATCTCAATAAATAAATGAATAAATAAATAAATAAATAAGAACAAACCATTTTAAAAAGAACATTTTTGACCTCCTAAAAGAAATCCTGTACACATTAGCAGCCATGCTGCAGTCCCTAACCCACTCCCATCCCCACCACTCCACTTTCTGCCGCTATGGATTTGCCTGTTCTGTGCCTTCTGGGTGAATGGGCTCATGCAGCATGTGGTGGCTTGTGACTGGCTCCTGTCATGTGGCTCAGTATTTCAGAGTTCATCCATGTTGCAGCATGTCAGTACCTCATTCCTTTTTATTGCTGGGTAATATTCCATTTCACAAATATACCACAATTATGTTTATCTCTTCATCAGTTGACTGTTGGGTTGTTTCTACATTTTGGCTATTTTGATTAATCCTGTTATGAACATTCACGTGCAGGTTTTTGTGGAAACGTGTTTTCATTTTTCTTGCATATATACCTAGCAGTAAAGATTTATATTTACTGAGAAAAATCTTCATCTAATCAGCCATGCAAACTTGCATATTAGCAGTAAGTGACATTTCATTTTTCATATAATTCTTGATTCTTTATAAAAGGAGAAAAATAAATTGGCACTTGAGTTTTTTGTGTGTTTGCTTTTGAGTCAGAGTCTCGCAGCGACACCCAGGCTGGAGTGCAGTGACACCATCTCGGCTCACTGCAAGCTCCGCTTCCTGGGCTCAAGCGATTCTCCTGCCTCAGCCTCCAAGTAGCTGGCATTACAGGTGTCTGCCACCATGCCTGGCTAATTTTTTTTTTTTTTTAAGTAGAAACAGGGTTTCACCATGTTGACCAGGCTGTTGTCAAACTCCTGACCTCAAGTGATCTGCCTGTCTCAGCCTCCCAAAGTGCCGGGATTATAGGCGTGAGGCACCGTGCCCAGCAAGTATTGAATAAAGATCTCAGTTCATGTGTTTTCCTTTATTATAAACAGCACAAATGGGTCCTTCCTCGCTCTGAGCAAATGTATGCATTTATAGCAGTGCCACAGAGAGACTTATATTTTATCTGACATAGTCAAGAGTGTCCTAAGAATACGTTTATCAGGTAGTTGAAGTCTTCATCTTTTAAAATATTTACCATTTTTTCATTAAAATAACAAATAGACATTTGTCTTCGAGAGGCACATTACCTCTAGTGATTTCTAACGATTTGCTACAATTGCTAATGTCTATTACCATGTGATTTCCACACACGATCACAGGAACTACTGAAGACTTGCTTTAGGATCTGCCCAAATTAGCAATGTCTCCTCTGTCTACATCAGACCTTATTTGGATTCTTCTCATTTTGGTGTCTATTCCAAGACTCCCAGGACTGGGACCTGCCAAGAGGTGTCACATGTCTCCCGTCCCCGCCAGAACTGGTTTATGACCAATACTGCTTTCAGTTCACTGCGTGGGGCTACAGCTCCTCAATTGTCCAAAAGGTCCTCGGTTCCAGAGTTGGCCCTGTGCCATGGAGCGAGGCGACCAATGGCAGATAGACTGGCCACAAAACCAAGTTCCTTTTCAGTTACTTTTTCCCAAAGCAGAAAAGTTCCTTTTGTCTCATTTGGGGAAAAAAAGGGGGCAGCTTCTCCGCAGTGTGCCTGGGGAGACATCCCTCGAGACACTTTGGGTTGTAAGGGGTACCCCAATCAGGCCAGCTAACAGAGGGAAGGGGATTTTTTTTGGCTACGTCAATAAATGCAGCAATAACATGGGTGCCGGGTACAAACTGAAGGCAGCTCTGAGGGTGATTCTGGGAGCCCAGTGGCTCTGTTCCCACCAGTGCCTGCCGTCCTCAGGCTGGCTTCCACGGTGTTGCCTGCTCCTCATCCTCAGCCCAGGACAGGGAACGTTCCTTCCCGCAGTGGCTGGGCTCTGGCTGGCTGAACCACATCAAGTCTCAGAAGCCAGGAGAATGCTGGAGAAGGTGGGAAGGGAGTGGAAGGGGGTAAGAATGAGTGCGCTGGGTTCAATAACATCCACCCCAGTTCATGGCCACCTCACTAACATCTGAGACTGTGACCTTATTTGGAATAGGGTCTTTGCAGACATAATCAAGTTAAGAGGAGGTCATACTGGATTACAGTGGGCCCTGAATCTGACGGCTGGTGGCCTTAAAAGAAGAGGGAAACGTGGAGATGAGAGAATACCATGGGGAGAGTGGAGTGATACATCCACCAACTGAGGAGTGCTGAGGGTTGTGGGAGCCACCAGGAGCTGGAGGAAACAGGGAAGGACCCTCCCCTAAAGATTTCAGAGGGAGCACAGCCTTCCCACACGTTGATGTCAGACTTCTGGCCTCTAGAACTGTGGGAGAATCAAATCCTGTTGCTTTCAGCCCCGTAGTTTGTGTAACTTGTTCTGGTAGTCCCATGACACTCGCAAGTGGAGAAGCAGCCACAGGGGCTCCCAGCAGGCAGTGACAGCCGAGGGCTGCAAGCTCGCTACCTCTCAGTGCTCAGGCGCCCTCCACCGCCTTCCAGGGAAGGCACAGCTCTGCTAGAATGCTACCCCCAGCAATAAATGTCCTTAACCTATTGTCACAATGGTTCTAATAACAAAGAAAATTTATTCCACCATGGGGCCTGAAATTTCATCTTGGAGCCCCCATTCCCAGTACTTGACATTGTTTATCCTCTGTGAATGGCTGAGGCCACAGAGCTGATATTTTCCTCCTTGCAGAAATAAAACCTGGTGCTCTGTAGTCAGGGAGGGACTCGGAGCCCTCTCCACCTGCCTGGCTGGGGCAGCACCCTCAGTTCCTCCCCCAGATACTCTTTCTAATACACTGTGAGCTGAAAATTCATGTAACCAAGCTTGTGTGAATTGTCTTTGGGTGTAAGTAGGTTGGAAGTGACAGCCTGAGGGCTCTATTATCAGCAACAGGCGTTAAGATTTAGTACCTGAACTTTCTAATATTTAAATGGACTCTTCAGAGGTCTTTAGAATTTGCTTCCTGATTCTGGGTCCTGTTGCCCCTGGTGCAGAGAGCTGTCCCTGCACCTGCCTGGGCTGATTCCTGACTCCAGCCCCAGCTGCAGAGGCTGTGAAGTGCTGAAGCTCAGCCCTTCCTCTGTTACGGAAACACCAGGGGTTCAGTTTAAGTCCTGCTGTTCACTGCAAAGAAAGCCAGTGACTGAGACAATGAGGCTTGCCAAGGAAGAAGGTTTTCATCGGGCGGCGGCTGCAGTGGATGAGACGGGAGATCAGTCTCAAAGCCATCTTGCTGGCCGACTAAAGTTAGGGGTTTGTATCGCAAGGAAGAAATGTAACAATGTATGGGAAAACAGGAACTCGGGAGGGGTAAGGAAGCAGGCATGATGCATGAGGGGCCTGGCTTCTCACTGTGTGGATGCAGTGATCTGGTGAGTTTCAATTCTTTGATACTTTTTCAGAGGCCTCGGGGAGTCCTTTCCCAGGAAGGAACTTAGATAAAACAAATGTAAGTTTCAAGCTTTAAGACAAAAAGGGTCAATTTCTATGTGTATCCCCGCCCCCCCGAAAAAACAACAACTGTCTATGGGACTGCTGGGTAAGCTTCAAGCTTTAAGACAAAAAGGGTCAATTTCTGTGTTTATCCCAAAAAACTGTCTATGGGACTGCTGGGTTGGTTTCACCTCTCACACCCCAGCTGCTCTGGGGCCATGGAGCTCACAGCCTTCCCCTCCACTCTTCCCTCCCGCTAGGGAGCTAAGCCTGGGTGAGACCTTGCACACCTTTCCCAAGGGTCTCCCTGGCATTCTGCAGGTTCCTTTGGGTCGGTGGTTTTCAATCAGCATAAATTTCTGGAATCCCGTATTGAGATGAAGCCGGAGGACCTGGTCTTCAAAGGTCCTTAAGGGTCTGGCTCACAGAGTCACAGAGGCGGGGGCAGCCCAGGCTCTGCACCTGCCCAGTGCAGGAGGCAGATTCTGGGGCTCAGCCCACATGTTGAGAATACACCTGAGGTGGCAGTGCCTACCTTCTGCTGCTTGGCCTCTGAAAGAGGTCATGTTACTCCCAAGTGATTTTTATTGATCCTGGGTCTTGTCTTGGCCTCCCCCCCACTTTCCCCCATTTCCTCTCCTTGAGCAGGCATCTATTTTTTTATGTTTTTGAGCTGGAGTCTCGCTCTGTCACCCAGGCTGGAGTGCAGTGGCACAGTCTCGGCTCACTGCAAGTTCCGCCTCCCGGGTTCACGCCATTCTCCTGCCTCAGCCTCCCGAGTAGCTGGGACTACAGGCGCCCGCCACCACGCCCGGCTTTTTGTATTTTTTAGTAGAGATGGGGTTTCACCGTGTTAGCCAGGCTGGTCTTGATCTCCTGACCTCGTGATCCTCCCACCTCAGCCTCCCAAAGTGCTGGGATTACAGGCGTGAGCCACCACGCCTGGCCTTTTTTGTATTTTTAATAGAGACGGGGGTTCACCGTGTTAGCCAGGATGGTCTCGATCTCCTGACCTCGTGATCCACCTGCCTCAGCCTCCCAAAGTGCTGAGATTACAGGCGTGAGCCACTGCGTCCGGCTGAGCAGCCCTCTAAGTCTCCACCTGCTGTGACAGGTTAGCAATGAGGCCCGGCTTCAAGTTCTTCAAAGGAGGGTCTACAGCCCAAGTCAATAGGGAGTAACTTTGCTGCTTTTATTTTTTTTAATGTGGTAAAACACATAACGTAAAATTTATCCTTTAACCGTTTTTGTTTTGTTTTGTTTTGTTTTTTGAGACAGGGTCTCCTGCCACCCAGGCTGGAGTGCAGCGTCGTGAACATAGGTAACTGCACCCTAGACCTCCCGGGCTCATGTGACCCTTCCCCATCAGCCGCCCGGGTAGCTAGGACTATAGGTGTGCACCACCATGCCCCACTATTTTTTTTTCTGTAGAGATGGGGGTCTCACAATCTTGCCCAGGCTAGTCTTGAACCCCTGGACTCACGCAATTCTCCCAGCCTCCCAAAGTGCTGGGATTACGAGTGTGAACCACCGTGCCCGGCCATTTCATCATTTTTAAGTGTGCAGTTCTGTGGCACTACACACGTTCACACTGCTGTGCAGCCATCACCACTCTCCAGCTCCAGAACTTTTCCATCTTCCCAGACTTAAACCCTGTCCCCACGAAACACAGAGGCCTCACTCCTCCTCCCCCAGCCCCTGGCGCCCCTTCCACTTTCCATCTCCTTGGCCCTGACTCCTCCGTGTTCCTCACCTGTGTGGCTCAGCAGCACGTGTCCCTCTGAGACTGGCTCACTGCACTTAACACAGTGTCCTCCAGTGCATCCGTGTCATAGCATGGAGCAAAATTTCCTTCCTTTCAAGGCTGAATTTGATGCCATCGTTCAGGTTTTTTTTACACAGCAAAGTGTGCAAACCACTGAGGACAGGGCTACTGCTGCCGGCCATGACCCTGAAGCCGTCTGTGTCCCAGCCCTGCACAGAGCTGGCCTCAACTGCTGCTCCCATTCCCTACTTCTCCTTCTCCCTACCTGGGAGCAGCTGCCAGGCTACCGCACAGGGTATGGAGAGGGAAGAAGCACCTGGGTGCCTTTTTTTTTTTTTTTTTTTTGAGACAGTCTCACTCTGTCACCCAGGCTGGAATGTGGAGTGCAGTGGCGTGATCTCAGCTCACTGCAACCACCGCCTCCCAGATTCAAGCAATTCTTATGCCTCAGCCACTCTAATAGCTGGGATTACAGGCACACACCACCATACCCAGCTAACTTTTGTATTTTTAGTAGAGATGGGGTTTTGCTCTGTTGCGCAGGCTGGTCTTGAACTCCTGACCTCAAGTGATCCGCCTGCCTCAGCCTCCCAAAGTATTGGGATTACAGGCTTGAGCCACTGCACCCAGCTCCAGCCCATTTTTTTGAGACAGGATCTCCTTCTGTCGCCCAGGCTGGAGTGCCCTGTCTAGATCTTGGCTCACTGCAGCCTCAACCTCCTAGGCTCAAGCGATCCTCCCACCTCAGCCTCCCAAGTAGCTAGGACTACAGGCGGGCACCAGCACTCCCGACTAATTTTTCTTTTTCTATTTTTAGTAGAGATGGGGTTTCATCATGTTTCCCAGGCTGGTCTTGAACTCCTGGACTCAAGCGATCTGCCTGTCTTGGCCTCCCAAAGTGCTGGGATTACAGGCCTGAGCCACCGCACCCGGCCTCGTTTTTAATTCTCACAATTCTCAAGGATAGTCGCGAGAGGCCTCAGTGTTTCCGTTTGACCAAGGAGACATACTGAGAAAAATCCAGTGGCTTTTCACATAGATCACGGTGCAGGTCCTTTGCCCTGGCACCTTAATCAGGAAAAGGAGCCCCTAGTGAGCCCTGGTTTCCTCATTTATAACGTTGGAAAAATAACAGTATCTACTGCATAGCATTGATTTGAGAGCTAAAACCAGATAATTTATGTATGGTGCTTAAACACAGTGTCTACAATTAGCAAGGGCTCAGTAAGAAGGAGCCAATATTAATATTATTAACATCATAATTTAAGAGGAAAAAATTCAAAGTGTGGTCCATGCCTATATTTCAGTTTTATGCAGCTATTTAAAATGGTGTTTACATTTTGTGTTTACAAAATTGTTTAATGCATGAGGAAATTTTTATGTTGTTAAATTTTTTCAAGTTTCCGAAATCATATATACTGTATGATTTCAATTATGCTTTAAAAAAAACCAGTAATAAAAACACAGGAGGAAATATGACAAAATATCAACAGTGGGCATATCTGGGTAATGAGATTGTGCGTAACTATTTTTCTACTTCTCTCTCCTTCAATCTACTTCCCAAGGAGCAGATAACTGTCTCTATAATTATAAATACAATAAATCAAAATGTAAGTAAAGTCGAATATGCACTAATCGAGCTTTGTTTTCCCATATGGTAGTGGTCCCCATCCCGGGCTGCACGTGAGGATCCCCCAGGAGCTTGTTCTCACCCAGGTTGCGGCTGCCCCCTGACCAGTGTCATCACCGGCAGGTGCCATCGACAGTCTGATGAGAAACAGCTGACAATTTTGATTCAGAATCTGAAAGTGGCTCACTGGTGTTATCAATACACACAGGATCGCTTTCATTTTAAAGTCACAAACAGAGAGTCAGTGCAGCTACAGGATTAGAGCTGACTGGCTGAGTGCTTTGTCATCTGAATTATCAGGACCTGGAGAGCAGGGGAGGCTCCCAGTGGGTGTGGATCTCAGCGCTGGCTGCCCTTTCTCCCCATTTTCACCTGTTTCGCCATTGCTCTCAGTTGCCACCCTGGCTCTAAGAAGCGGGGTCGAGAAAGAGCCACTGAGGAAACTGAAGAGGCCACGAGTCGATTCTGTGCCCAGCTCAGACTGTGGCTGATGCGCAGAGGCACGTGGGCTCTTGGAGGGTGGGGATGAGCTGGGCAGCCCCACGGCTCCTCCTGGCAGGGCCCCCATGCTGCGCGTCTGTGGGCTCTTGGAGGGTGGGGATGAGCTGGGCAGCCGCACGGCTCCTCCTGGCAGATCCCCCATGCTGCGCGTCTGTGGGTTCCACGGCAGCCAGTTCCAGGCACAGGGCATTCTTGGTGCACTTGTCAGGTGATTGACTCCGTGCAGCGATCTCCACGGGTCCTTTTGAGGATGATGCCGAGAATCTCTGTTTTACTCCTGGGAACACAGCAGCTGCCAAGGTTGGACATCACTCTTCCTAACACCTGGGAGATAGATAAGGAGTGCTTTAAATGAAGCTTCAAATGTTTCTAGTGGTTCAAGAGGGGCCCTGAATGTGTGGATCCTCCAAGCTCCCCTTCTCTCTGCACTTGGCTGTGTTGTCATTCACAGCCCAGCAACTCACCTTACAGAGGTTAGGAGGGAGAGGAGGCTACACATCTGCGTATTAATTCATAGAAAGCCTTGACCCCATCAGTGCCAAGTCCCAGCATGTTGTTGAACCACTTACATCAAGACAAGGCATTTGTGCTGCATCAACTCAGCAGTGATTGGCAGAGTCCTGTATTCATCATTCCTCCCGGTGTCGTCCTTTTAAAAATAATCTACAGGTGAGCAAATCATGAAAGTGTGCCAAACTGGTAGGCTTTTCTTTTTCTTTTTTATTATTTATTTATTTATTTATTTATTTTGAGATGGAGTATCGCTCTGTCGCCCAGGCTGGAGTGCAGTGGCACAATCTTGGCTCACTGCAACCTCTGCCTCCCGGGTTCAAGCAGTTCTTCTGCCTCAGCCTCCCGAGTAGCTGGGACTACAGGTGCCCACCACCATGCCCAGCTAATTTTTTTCGTGTGTGTGTATTTTTAGTAGAGACGGGATTTCACTGTGCTAGTCAGGATGGTCTCAATCTCCTGACCTCATGATCCGCCTGCCTCGGCCTCCCAAAGTGCTGGGATTACAGGCGTGAGCCACCGCACCCGGCCAGCTTTTCTTTTTCTATGAGTTTGTGGTTTTCTGCCAGGACATCCCATCAGTTTGGAATAAATGAACACATCCCTTAGCCCTGCATTTACAGACCCCACCCCCATCACTCAAGTCCCCATATCCCCTCTCCAGATCTGTATCCACAAAGCACCACGCTGAGATCGCCTGACTGCGCTGCCTTTGACCTTCCAGGCATCAGCGTTCCCAGGAAGGGAGTGGCTCCAGGCCCCTGTGGGAGAGTTGCAAAAGGTGGCGCACACTTGGTTTTCCAGGGTTAGACCCCCTGTATGAGTCTGAGAGCCCGACAAGCCCAACTATGGCTTTGAAATTCATCATGGGGTCATTTTCTGTATTTAAAATAAAACTGGAGAAAATGAGATTTCAATCCCATTTTGAAAATGTTTGTGCCGAGACAGCAAACAGCAAAATGGAGCTTTCTTGCCAGCGAAGAAGAGCACACCTGCATCACCTTTAAGGAGAAACGGGCACAGCCGTGCCCTTGCTCTCTGGGAGTCCCCATGCAGACTGGTGGAGGTGCTTGGAGCACCTGTCAGAGGGCTGGTGTCCAAGAGCCAGGGGGGTCCCTACCCAGCTCCACTCACCCCCACCACCCGCAACAGACAAACTGCG
Organism: Homo sapiens; assembly: GCF_000001405.40. NCBI lineage: Eukaryota > Metazoa > Chordata > Mammalia > Primates > Hominidae > Homo > Homo sapiens. The sequence continues at coordinate 76,686,011 of NC_000018.10, forward strand.
TGAGGCTTGGTTTCTCTGCCTGTGAATGGGGACCACTCCAGGGACACAGTCCTCATCCACACTGCCCGCCGGCACCCAGGCTCAAGGTGCTGGGGAATGTGTGGCCCTTCCTTCCCTCTGCCCCCGCAGGTGTGGCCACCAGTGCTGCACAGGCCTCTCAGCCATCCCGCTGTTGTCCTTTTGCTTTTAGTTTTGGAATCTGGTCCTTGGGGTTGCTGGGTTTTGTTTTGCTTTTGGGATGTCAAGCAAGCATTGGCTATGATCTCCAGAGTTCAGATGGTCCCCTAAGATGGATGCAATCCCTAAAAATAAGGTGATGATCCCTACACATATTTATGACCATTTTAAGGACTCACACGTGGTTCTCTGGGCAGACTCTGTGCTGCACCCTGGCCTGTCAGAAGTGCCTTTTCAGCAGGCGACTATCATCCTGCATGTCCTGCCCCTCGACCGGTCACCCAGCAATGCTCTGTTGTCAAAAAAAAAAGACGAAGATTAATCAAAGTGTTGCCTTCTTCCTACTTTTCTTTTTTCTTTTTCTTTCTTTCTTTCATTTATTTTTTTTTTTGAGAGAGGGTGTTGCTCTGCACCCAGGCTGGAGCCTCGAGTGATCTTCCCACCTCAGCCTTCCAGTAGCTGGGACCACAGGCGCACACCGCCGCAGCCGGTTAATTGTATTTTTTTGTAGAGACAGGGTCTTGCTCTATTACCAAGGCTGGTCTCAAACGCCTGGCCTCAGGCGATCCTCCTGCCCCAGCCTCCCAAAGTGCTGGGATTCCACGCGTGAGCCACTGCACCCGGCCCTTCCTACTTTTCCACGGCTGGCCCCAGGGGTGAGCACGCTGTTGCTCTGTGTACCTTTAAAGACTGTTTTCCAAAAAGTGGCTGCCATCTCCTGGGAGCCCGTGAAATTGCACGATCTGGAGTCAGCCAAGCCTTTAGTAACCGATTGTTTTGTTTCTTCCTCTTCAAAATGTGCAGGTTATTCCAGGGCCATGTATCAATTTTGTAGGTCAGAGTGACCCAGATCCAATCCTTACAGCACCAAGGCAACAATATCAGGGCCCTGGGTCCCTCCCTTGGCCTACAAATAAGAGTAATAAAGGAATTGACGTCAACAGATCTTTGTCATGATAAGTTACTGTGTTACAGGGATGCAAATTTCACAGCTACAGATCCTGTCAAAGTTGCTTCTAAGCCCAAGCTCTGGGTGTTGCAACTATGGTTTCATTATCCTAAAAAAAAAAAAAAAAAAGGAAATACTTAAAGATACTTTTAAAACTTGGTTTAGGTCGAATGCCTTAAAAAACAGCTTTCCTTTCAGGCCCCAAAGCTTGAGATTCTAAGCTGGAGAGTCAGCAAAGAGTGCCCAGAGACTTGGTTCTCCCGGAACCTCCGCCCCCTCTCCCACCCAGTGAGGGCCATCAGGTGAGAATGATTCATTTCTCACTTGAATAGACCCTTTAAATAAAGATGAGTCATTTTTCTGAGAATAAGTCCTTGACATCAAATTGTACAATCTGTTGCCTTTCTAAACACCTCAGTTTAAGGGAAGCAGAATGACTTCAATATCAGGGTTTGTAACAGGCACACAGAAGGGGCAGGGGGTGGGGCCTGGGGGAGGACTGAAGACCCTTTGGTGAGTTTCAGGAGGTAAATAATGACTTACCAGAACGACAGCATGGCTGCCTTCCCTGTGAAAAGCCAGTGTTGAAACATGAGTGTTTGTTCATCTGCAGCCTTGGGCTGTGGTGTCTGCAGTGTTTAATAAGTCATTTTTAATTAGCTTCCATCCACCGTGGTGCGTGGCTGGCTGTCTTCGCACAGCTCTCCGGGGCTGTCTCCAGGAGGCCCTATTTTATTGGCCATTGATGCCATGTCTGCTCAGAGATACAATCAGAAAATATGATTGGTGTTCCCGCATGACACACAGGAGGAGGCACGGATGGCATTACACAAACGGCCCAACAGGCCGGGCGCGGTGGCTCACGCCTGTAATCCCAGCACTTTGGGAGGCCATGGGGGGCGGAAGACCTGAGCCTGGGCAATATAGCAAAACACCGTCTCTATAAAAAATACAAAAATTAGCCAGGTGTGGGGATGTGTGCCTGTAGTCTCAGCTGCTTGGGAGGCTAAGGTGGGAGGATCACCTGAGCCCGGGAGATTGAGGCTGCAGTGAGCCAAGATCATGCCACTGCACTCTAGCCTGGGCAACAGAGCAAGACCCTGTCTCAAAAAAAAGCAGCCCAGCAGGTGACAGGGTGAGCATGGTGGGATTTATCATGAGCAGTACCCTGACCTGTCCGAGGGCACAGCATACCATTATCTAAATGACCAAGGTCCGGAAACTCTTTCGTTCCTGACTTTTCAGTGGTTAGAAGGTGCCAGAGACCAGCTACCTAAGAAGGGAACTGGCCAATTCCCAGGAGGAAAATACTGCCTGCCACTGCACTCAATTGGGGCAGCCATGGCTGAACAAAGCAGGAAGGAGCTGATGGGCGTGAAAAAGGACTGGACTGGAAGTGAGGACCCCAGCTGTCCAGCACATTTCTCAGGGAAGACTCACATGGCACAGCCCAATGCTGGTGTTCTTGTCAAGTGAAGAGTGGGAGTGTCCCGCAGCCCCGGGAGAATAATCTACTTGAGTCCCTGTTTTAAGGGGCATTACTGAGGGGATTCTGCTCCCTGAGCTCCTAGAGGTCTGAGAGCAAAACCATGCAGTGTTGTGTTTGCATTCACAGAGAGCAGGGAATAGAAATGTCTGTCTGCCTTCCCCTCACCCCAAAACCAGAATGCCATCCTCCTAGTGTGTCTGCTGCACTCATGGCAGCAGGAGGAGCAGAAGCAGCCGGGGGTGCTGCTGAGCCCCCACTCCTCCCCACCTCCCCGCACCCGTCCACCTGCAGCAGGGATGGCATGGAAAACCCGACATTTCATAAAGATTCAGCAAGGTCCTGTCAAAGCCCAGGGGAAGCCATATTCAGGGAGGGGGTCAATGTCTGGGAGGAATACAATTCCCAAAAGAGACTGAGAGTGAAGCCTGTGGGTCGGAGGGTGAATGAGAGAGGCTGGCGTATTTGGGAATCAAAGGTGTCAAGGTTTCTTGAGGCTCCTGTCCCTGTCTGTCTGCTTCCTTTCTCTCCGTTCCACCTCTTAGCCCCTGTGAGCAGAGACAGCTGGGGCCCCAGGCTGGTATGATGAGCAAGGGTATAGTTCCCTTCCCTGGGTGCCTTGTCCATTCATGTGTGTGCGTGCACTCCGGAGCTCCTCACCACCCAACCCTCTCTCCTCGTGGTTTTCCCAGTGTGGAGATTAGCCCTCGCCACTGACACGCTGAATAATGCCTTCCTGCCCACCCTCTCCAGGTCGCCTCCTCCCCACGTGAAGCCACTCCCCAAGGGCTCATCTTTGAAAGACTTTTTAAGGTGCACGTGTCATTTTCACATTTGCTCACATTGCACAAAGACCTAGTTGAGGAAACGAAAACTGCTATGATTTATGCTAATGAGATGAATTGCATTCCAAATGTATCTCAACCAGAACACACTTCGCAGTAACACGCATGAAAAGGAAACGTGTTCTATCTAGGAATCCCTGTGTTATTTCACTGATCTGCATGTTGTACCCGAGGGCATCTAGCAATGTGCTAATACCTAATTCAGGAAATCTGGATTGAACATGGGCACCTGTGAAGAAGTGGAAACGGCAGTGGAGCTAAGACATACAGCAAAGAGAGCCTGTTTTGTTATAAACAGCTAAATCTGGAAGTCAATGTTTTGTGTTTCTTGCAGAAGTCATACTTTTATCCTGTCATTATGCAAAAGTGCTGATTCATGTTTAGTGCCACAAAATCTACCTTTAAAGTGGAATATTTTGAAAGGTTGTGTTAAAATGACTCTCAAATCTCTTCCAAAAACTAGCTGCTAAGCAGGAGTTCTCAAGGTAGAAGTTGGAATTACCCAACCACCACCCTGATGGGATGCTCTCTGAATGCAGATGGAAACGATGACTTAACTGCAGCTTCGGATGCATCAGACACAAACGCTGGATAAAGCTGCTCATTCACATAAAGCACCACCTGCTGCCGCTACCTGGAATATCCACACTGGATAACTCGAAGCTTGGTGGAAACAGAGGTTGGAAAAAGCAGAAAATAAAACAAAGGGATGGAAGATGGGTGCTCTGAATTCCATTTCCTTAGAAACCAACAAGAGCTCCTTCAGTATGTCGTGGACACCTTCAGTTGAGCACAGCTCAGGCACCGCAAGGACACTCCGCTCATGTAAGTTGGCCTTAGTAGGTTTTTCTTCCATGAGTGAATTTCTATTCAGAGCAAGTAAAACACAGCCTGTGACACTGTTTGTCCCGAATGTCAACAGCGCTCTCTGTGATCAGCCCGTTGTACGAGGTGTTGGAATACATGAACAACGCAAACGGAATATCTCGTCTCTCATTTCTGTCTTTAATCATTGGCTGCCTCCACTCCAGTTACACCTGGGCCGTGCTCTGATCTGCAGGTTTAACTCCAGGGGAAACTTCACCTGTTTGATGACAGCCGTCAAGTGAACCAGATGTTACCTCTAGTAAGAAAGGATGGGCAGGTAGAGTGTGATGTCTGGGGTGCTCCTGACTCAGGGCGGCCTCCCTGGCTCCCCTCACCCAGTTGGACCTGGGTGCCCTTGTCCTACTCTTCTATAGCATCCTTGGCTTTTCCTTCATGGTGCCCATCACACATTCCAGCGAGACACGGATTTGTGGGATTATTTGCACCGGGTGAAGTTGGCCTGTTCCACTAGTTTCCTGACTCCAGGAGCTCAGAGCTTTTGTCATTCTTTCTTCACTCTGTGCATGTAACACACAAGAGACGTTTCCTGAATGAAGGGCCCCTGATGCTGTGGCACAAATAACAAAACATTGGGAAGTAGTACGTCTTGCCAGCCCTACTGCTGGCCCTGAATGACTGGAACCAGTGCTTCAATTTTAAACATTTGATTGACAAGTTATTTTCAGCAGTTTGCCCTCAAAAGATGACCTTGTGTCGTTTACTTCTAACCTGATCTGGGCTTAGCGTATCTACTCATTCCTTAGGTCAGCCACAGCCTCATAAGCAGCTACGTTCAATCAGTCGTCACAGCCCTGGGCACAGACTTTCTCAGCAAGAGTAATTTTCTCACTTATGCTAACAATTTGACTTCTTCAAACGCGTACTCTTTTTTTTTTTTTTTTTTTTTTTTTTTGAGACGGTGTCTCATTATGTTGCCCAGGCTGGACTTGAACTCCTGGGCTCAAGCAATCCTCTGCCTCAGCTCCAGACTAGCTGGGACATAGATGCATGTCACCGTGCCCAGCTCAAAAGCGTACTTTTACCTACACTGATGATATCAAGACATGATAGAACAAAAAGCATATTTCCTGAGTGATTTTTTAAAAATTTCAACCGCCTGTACACAGACTGTAACACCAGCAGTCGTGAGGAAGTGCTTGGGACTTGCCGGTTCTCAGACTTGCCTCTTGCCAGGGAGGAGACCCCATCTAATAACAAATGTCTTTCCCTAATGAAGTCCAGAACCAGATCTTTCATGGACCTAGATTTTACCTGCAGAGATGTGGAACAGCCACAGTTGGAAAACCATGAGTGCTTGATGTTAAATGAAGGCAACACTCCTCAATTCTGAGATTGTTTATATTGTTTTGGGAATGTAATCGTTGGAGAAAACATTTCTCAGCCTGGTCACAAACCGTCCCTCCCACAACAACAACAATGGAGTATAAGAAGTACAGTTTTACAGAGTATTTTGGGGGCTTTCTTCTCATGACAAGAGTCTTTCTTATGGTACAAATAGTTGTGTCCTTTCTCACAGCATAAAATATACACATAAAATAGTAAAACGGGAGAGACAGTACTGACAGTGGATGAAGCCAGGCTGACGTGACTGAGAGGCAAGTTTCAACATCAGGAAAAAGTGAGTAACCTTATATATCTGCTTTTTATTCCAAGGAAATCACACACTGGTGATTTTGGAGAAGGGAATCTGCAGGACAACGGCGGTGGGGAGGGGCACAGAGAAGCTTGCAGAGCGGTTGCTGTTTGATCATTGGAATAATGAGGAAGCAGAGAAGCTGACAAACTTGGGACCCAATGGCTTCATGCTCTGAAACGACCATTTTTGTCGTTGGAATGTTTTCAAATGTGCTAAGACTTGTGATGAGTCTAAGTGGAAAAAATAAGTTTTTCCTTTTCCTTTTCCCAGGGTAAAAAAAGATGATACTAACACACTAAGTTGGTCTGTAGATGCCTGTTATTCACTCACCAGCCCCTGTAGACCTTATAAGCCTTGTAGAATCTTTAGTCACCAAAGACTGAAGAACAAGAAGGTGCTCACCCACAAAGATCAGGGTGCATTTCACCAGAGGGTAAAGCCATTCTCAGACATGGTCTTTTCATTACAATGTGTTCTTTTCATTCTAGCTGGTTCTTTAGCTAGAATACCAGTGAATTCCATGTCTAGGTATAGATTAGGATCTTTGTATAAATTCCAGGCTCTGGGAATTGCTGCTTGGATGTTGGCACCTAGAAGTAGGAGAATGGAAGCCACATAGTGGAAATATCCCTGTTTCCTTTTGATTCTAATGACACCCACCTGGTCTAAGTTAATTTCCATTTTAATCTATGCTAATTATTTCCGCTTAATTATAAATTCCTATTGTGTCAAGGTTGGTAAAGCCGGGTTGAGACACAGTTTATTCAAGGCTGATAGTTCAATAAAAACATCTATCCAAGTACAAATGTAGTTTCAGAAGGTAAAAAATAGTTCTTGTTTGGATTTATAAAATTTAAGGGAAAAAAAGATGTAATGTCTTTCTCCAATTGTATTAGTCCATTTTTATGCTGCTGATAAAGACATACTCGAGACTGGGCAATTTACAAAAGAAAGAGGTTTAATTGGACTCACAGTTCCATGTGGCTAGGAAGCCTCACAATCGTGGCCGAAGGCAGGCAGGAGCAAGTCACATCTTATATGGATGGCAGCAGGCAAAGAGAGCTTGTGCAGGGAAATGCCCCCTTCTAATGACCATCAGATCTCATGAGACTTACTCGCTCTCATGAGAACAGCACGGGAGAGACCTGCCTCCATGATTCAATTACCTCCCACAACACGTGGCAATTCAAGATGAGATATGGGTGTGGACACAGCAAAACCATATCACCGATCAATGTGTTCTTGTTTACAGAAACAAAGACCACACTTACTCCTCAGGAGATACATGGGTGATCTTTCAAGAGACCATCAGAAAGAGGCTGCTTGGGTCCCGTCCGAGGAGAGACAGAAGACTGAGCCGTGGTGTACTCTATTATCTGACGCAACAGCCTTTTCTGCAGGATATTAAAGGACTTTATAAATATTAATTATCTCATTCATCCTCATCACTTTGTGAGAGCCGAAGACATTATAGATGGCCAGTCACCCATTTCACTAAGTATCTAAAGCCACCTTCCACACGTAATCATTAACATTTCAAAATACTTTCACCTCTTTATTATTCAGAGATGTTGAGTTTATGAAGGACTCGGTCCTTTTTGGTTCTTTCTGCCCCGCATTAATAAACACCTTTGAATTACTAAACATTCCTGCCTCTCTCCACCTCTTTCCTTTTTTCTACATTAATTTAGCAAAATTACAGAATGTAAGTATGTAAAAATAAGAGTAAAGCCACTCATAAGCTCACAATGACTAATAATTACCATGAATATTTGATGAGTGTCCATCCTGAACATTTTCCAAATACATAGGCTCACGCATTTTTACCTCCTTTAATGCTGTTTTATGTTCATTAATATCATTATTTTAAATATATTGTATGTAATTTTTTTTTTTTGAGATGAGTCTTGCCCTGTCGCCCAGGCTGGAGTGCAGTGGCCCATCTCCGCTCACTGCAAGCTCTGCCTCCCGGGTTCACGCCATTCTTCTGCCTCAGCCTCCCGCATAGCTGGGACTACAGGCACCTGCCACCATGCCCGGCTAATTTTTTGTATTTTTTTAGTAGAGATGGGGTTTCACCGTGTTAGCCAGGATGGTCTCGATCTCTTGACCTCGTGATCTGCCCGCCTTGGCCTCCCAAAGTGCTGGGATTACAGGTGTGAGCCACCACGCCTGGCCTATATGTAATTATTTTTATGTATCATTATTATTTCTTTTTTTTTTTTGGTGACTGAGTCTCACTCTGTCACTCAGGCAGGAGGGCAGTGGCACAATCTCGGTTCACTGCAACCTTTGCCGCCTGGTTCAAGCAATTTTCGTGCCTCAGCCTCCTGAGAAGCTGGAATTACAGGCACAACGCACCACCATGTGAAGCTAATTTTTGTATTTTTAGTAGCGACAGAGTTTTGCCACGTTGGCCAGGCTGGTCTCAAACTCCTGGGCTCAAGCGATCCACCTGCATTGGCGTCCCAAAGCGCTGGGATTACAGGCGTGAGCCACCTTGCCCAGTTGTCATTATCACTATTTTTAACAGCTGAAAATTATTTCACTGTATGGATGTGCCATCATGAAATTAACTAACCCCCTATACCCAAACTCTGAGGTCGTTTCAACACATTTGCCGTTGGAAACCTCTTACCTCTGTCTCCAGCCCAGACAGCAGCCTGGTCGGCTTCCTTCCAAATCATTTTCCATGGCCAATCACACAGAAACCAGGGACACATATAAAGGATTTTGTTATTTTGTTTCCTTTACAAAAATAGTATTATACCCTGCAACCTGTTTCTCTCATTTAAAAAATACATTATAAAAGCTCTTCCAGATAATTTTTAAACAGCTGTACAATATTTTATAGTATAAATACACCACGATTTGTGCAACCAATTTCCTCAGTGGGCATTCAGGTTATTTCCTGATGTTTGCCACACAAAGATTGCTGCTCCAGACACTCTAGAACATCATGTTTGCATATCCACGTGTGTGCTTTCATAGCATGAGGGCAAGGCAGTGGGATTGCTGAGTCCAGTGGTATATTTGTCCAATGGTATATTTGCTGAGTCCAGTGAATAGATTTGTCTGAGATGATTCTTAAAGGCATTCACACCAAAGTGGGGAAGAATTCAAGCTGCTCTGTCAGTTTCTTCCACACAGATATTCTAGCTAGAAATAACAAATACTTTGTGTGTAGACATGCAGACAAAGCAGCTGATGCTCGGAAAAGGAACAGGACTGATCAAGGTCACAGCTAAATATTTCAGAACCAGGACTAGGACTAGGTCTCCTGATTTTTTTTTTTTTTTTTTTTTTTTTGAGATGGAATTTTGCTCTTGTCACCCAGGCTGGAGGGCAGTGGCTCAATCTTGGCTCACTGCAACTTCTGCCTCCCAAGAAATCCTTCTGCCTCAGCCTCCTGAGTAGCTGGAATTACAAGCATGTACCATTATGCTCAGCTAATTTTTGTATTTTTAGTAGAGACAGGGTTTCACCACGTTGGCCAGGCTGGTCTCCAACTCCTGACCTCAGGTGATCCGCCCACCTTAGCTTCCCAAAGTGCTGGGATTATAAGTGTGAGCCACTATGCCCGGCCCAAATCCTGATTCTTTGACAGAACCTTTTGCACAACAATAACCTTTTGCTGGGCAATGAAGAGTTGGGGAAATGAGAAAGAAAAGGTGTGTATCAGTTATCTATTGCTGTGTAACAAGCCAGCCCAAAACATCATAGCTTAAAATGATAGGCATTTATTGAGTTCGTGATTCTATGGGTCAGCAACTTAGGCTGGGCTCTGCTAGGAGGATCTTTTGGTTGGAGTTGGGTTCCCTCATGGGGATGTGTCAGCTGTGGGTCAGCTGGGGGTCTTGGTTTTTCTCTGTGCTCTCTGTTTTTTTTTCTTTTCTTTTCTTTTCTTTTTTGAGATGGAGTCTCACTGTGTCGCCCAGACTGGAGTGCGGTGGCGCAATCTCGGCTCACTGCAAGCTCTGCCTCCCGGGTTCACGCCATTCTTCTGCCTCAGCCTCCCAAGTAGCTGGGACTACAGGTGCCCGCCACCATGCCTGGCTAATTTTTTTCTATTTTTAGTAGAGGTGGGGTTTCACCGTGTTAGCCAGGATGGTCTCGATCTCCTGACCTTGTGATCCGCCCGCCTCGGCCTCCCAAAGTGCTGGGATTACAGGAGTGAGCCACCGCGCCTGGTCTCTCTGTGCTCTCTTATCCTGAAGTATGCCGAAAAGGAGTGCAAGTGTGTAAGACCTCTGGAGACCTAAGCCCAGGGCTAATATGTTATCACTTCTGCCATATTCTATGGCTAAAGAGAGTCACAGGAGAGCCTAGATTCAACGGGTGATAAAATAGGCTCCACTTCTTAATGAGAGGAACAGCAAAGGCACATTGCAGAGGGCATGGATCAGGAAAAGGTGGAGAATGGAAACCATGTTTGCAATTTATATGCCATGTTTTCAGGGGCATGAATTTTTTTTTTTGAGATGGAGTCTTGCTCTGTCCCCCAGGCTGGAGTGCAGTGGTGCGATCTTGGCTCACTGCAAGCTTGGCCTCCCAGGTTCACACCATCTCCTGCCTCAGCCTCCTGAGTTGCTGGGATTACAGGCGCCTGCCACCGTGCCCGGCTAATTTTTTGTATTTTTAGTGGAGACAGAGTTTCACCGTGTTAGCCAGGATGGTCTCGATCTCCTGACCTCGTGATCCGCCCGCCTTGGCCTCCCAAAGTGCTGGGATTACAGGCGTGAGCCACTGCGCCCGGCCCAGGTGCATTAATTTCTTCCCCTAATTTCCAAACAATTGCTTTGGTATCATGTTGATGTGGCTGTTTGGAAAATCATGGCTCTGTAAGAGCATAAAGTAATATCAGTGGTAAAATCCCAAAAAGTCTTCCCAAGGTACCTGAGGCACATTTGGGGCACTGGAATATTAGGTCAAGCCTCTTTGTTTTTAAAAATAGATTTTCAAATAAGAAAAATTATTCTATGGCCATTTTATTCTCATTTTTAATACATTTTGTATTAGTCGCTGGTGTGTGCCCTCTTTACTGCTCTGTTTGAGAACACTGCAGCTATACAGAACTGGGGTTTTGTGTGTGTGTGTGTGTGTGTGTTTCTTAGGATGTTTCTGTAATTTTCTATCTCACAAAATAAAAACCTAAGAGTACTCTGCAGGTCATAAAAATAGCAGGCAATAAACAAAGTTAGACATAGTACACTTCCTTTTAATATTCCAACAAAAGAGTGTCCTTGGAGACGAGAGCAGGTGGGGGTGCAGGTGAGGAGCCCCGGACGTCCATGGGGCACAGAGAGCCCCTCTGAGGGACTCCTGTGCACTGGGCAGACAGCAATCTCTATGTCCAGAAACTTCTGGGCTTCAACCAAATATACAATGAATTTGGGGTGTGGGTTCAGGACAGGAAGAAAGCACACACACGTTAGCGTTTTGTTCTTTCCTGAATCGGCAGCTTAGTATGGAAAATGACCCTCTGGGACACTCCCATTTGTCTAACCCAAGTGGGGCGTGGAAGGAAAGGAAACTCCGTGAGACTCCGCTGAGTCTCGGGCAGGGCACGTTGTAGACGTCTGGGGCACACTGGCCCCGCTCTGCATCCACAGCTGGATTCTCCACCCCTGAGCAAGACAAGGAGCCCCAGACAAAACGCTCAGGATTCCAGAGGATGGGGTTGAGGATCCTCAGCCTTTCAGAGTGAAAATCCACGAGGCGGAGGAGGTTTAAAACAACAGAAACAGGCATGTGGGGAAAACCATAGGTTCAATTAGAAGCACTGTACAGACGTTCTGTACAAGAACTTCCTGCGCAGAGGAAACAGGATACCAGGAAAAGTGGAAACCCTATTGTTTACTTGGAGGTAGGAAAAGAAATAGGTGGGTGATTTGTTTCCATAGTGACTATTGTTAAAATGAGACAAACTGACACCGATACTGATTTATTCTCCTTTTCAAGCCTTTTTAAAAGATCGCTTTAATCTGAGTTGGTCCTTGAATATAAATAAGAAGACAAAGTTATCGTTCACAATTATTATTTTTGGCCACTTAGAAATGAGATTTTTTAAAAAATGAAAACATTTAAATAGAATGTGTTTTACATATAGGAATTGTGTTCTGGGTATTTGCAATTTAATCCTAAATCTTAAAATAATATTTTTTCCTGCTTTACCCCAAACTACAAGATGTGTATTTGCTGTTGGTGACCTCTGAACCCACATCACAGGAGTTTGATTTATAAAGGTGGACACTTAATCTGTCCTCCTGGACAGCCAGGCTCCCCACTCCTCCCAAGCTCCAGATGCTGTTTGTTACAAAATGGCGAGCATAAAAGGCCTTAATGGGTATCATCTCACAAAATCTCCACTCCCTCTCAGGAGCAGGGGACCTCCTTGCAGGGCAATAAGCAGGAAATTAAACACGTACACACGCATATGTACACACACATACACACGTACACACATACACACACAAACGTACACACACACATACATACACACATACACACACACAATTGGTGCAGTGACTCTCTGGCTCAGCTCTTGAAAGGAAGAAAAACCCAAAGAATGTTCTAGAAATTCCTAGGCCCCTGCTGGCTTAAAGTGTAGTTCTCACATGAGCCAAAAGTGAAGCCTGCCAGGGTATCGAGCCCCTGTGGCCCATCTCTACCTTCATCCCCTCAATCTTCTCATGCATTCATTCGGTTATTAATTCACCAAGCTTCGTGACGGCCCCCTAAGCTAGTGATTGTTCTAGGTACTGGGGCTGCCACGGTAAGACATGACTGATCTCTCTCACACCAATTAATAGTCAGCATTAAGGAGGTGTGGTTAAGCATGCAGGCTGCGGAGCGAGACTCAGAACCAAACCCTGGCTCTGACCCTTTCTAGCTGGATTTCATTGCCTGCACGCGCTCCCTCTCTCTCTTTCTGTGTCTGTCTGTCTGTCTCTCTCTCTTTCTCCATCTCTCTCTCTCTTTTTTATACCTGAAAATGCAAAGAATCGTGTCACCCCTATGCATTGCTACAAGGATCCATGGGATGCCGCAAGCAGGGCGTGCAGCCGCCTGTTCCCGGGTGCCGCACACGTGCTTGCTACAGCTATGAGGATTCTCCTGACTAAGGCGTGCGTCTAACCCTCGAGGAACTCGCTATCTAGATCTAATGGTACAGGAAAACGACTAGAACATTTGAAGGTGCTATCAATGCTATTCTTTTTTGGTTGAGTGGGATCCCCACAATTTAAAATTAAGTAAAAGCTGGCTAGGCATGGTGGCTCATTCCTGTAATCCCAGCACTTTGGGAGGCCGAGGCAGGCAGATTGCTTGAGCTCAGGAGTTCGAGACCAGCCTGGGCAACATGGCGAGACCCTGTCTCTACAAAAAATACAAAGAGTAGCCTGATATGGTGGCATGCAACGGCTACTTAGGAGGCTGAGGTGGGAGGATTGCTTCAGCCCAGGAGGTAGAGGTTGCAGTGCAGTGAGCTGAGATCGCACCACTGCACTCCAGCCTGGGTGGCAAAACCAAACCCTGTCTCAAAAAAAAAAAAGAAAAGAAAAGAAAAAGAAAAAGAAGAAAATTAAACTTAAATTAAGTAAAAGCTGCCATTTATTTTTAAAGCCACTTTATTGAAGTCTAATTGACGTAGAAAAAGCTGTACATATTTTATGTCTACAACTTGATGAGTTTGGAGATAAGTACTCACCTGTGAAACCTCACCATAATTTATGCCGTAAGCATATCCATCACCTCCAAAAGTCTCTTTCCACCCTCTGAATTAATTATTGTTATTATTTTGTGATACAAACACAAGATCTATCCTTTCAGCCAATTTTAAGTATACAATACAGTGTTGCTAATGATATGTCCACGCTACACAATAGATTGCTAGGACTTACTCATCTTGTATAATTGAAACTTTGCACCCCCTGACTCATCCCGTCCCGTCCCCCTCCCCCACGCTCCCTCTCTCATCCCACCCCTGACAATCACTGTTCCACTCTCTGCTCCTGAGCCTGACTAGATTCATCATGCAAGCAGCACCAGGCATATTTGTCCTTCTGTGTCTGGCTTATTTCACTTAGCATAATGTTCTCCAAGATCACTGGATGACGTGTGTTAATGAGGCCTCTGAAACCAAGCCTAGGACCAGGCAGAAGTGTGGAATGCAGCTGTGGAGCGAGGATCTAATCATTCTGCCCACTCTAACTGCCAAGATGAATCGCTCCATGGACGGCACGTTCTGAAGTAATCAATATCAATTTTCAAGACAGCTGAAATGTCCGATGAACCACACGGCAGCCGGGTGCAGTGGCCATGAGCTGCTGTCGCTTCCCAGTTAATGTGAAATGGAGAAATAAACACCTGTCAGGCCCTCCCATCCACGGAGGCAGGCGGTCTGCAGAATCTTGTTCAACAGGCTGTGTTTTCTATGCCACACCATGATCTTGGTTCCTTGGCTCGGCCAGGCGTGATGGTGGCGGGAGCCTGTAGTTCCAGCTACTCGGGAGGCTGAGGCAGGAGAATGGCATGAACCCGGGAGGCAGAGCTTGCAGGGAGCCGAGATCGTGCCACTGTGCTCCAGCCTGGGTGACAGAGTGAGACTCCATCTCAAAAAAATAAAAATAAATAAATAAATAAATAAAAATTAAAAAACTATTCTAACATTTAAAAATTTATTTTAAAATAACAAATATACTGTCGAAACATTTTAAAAATTAAAATATCCAGTTTTAATCTGTGTTTTGAGAAAAGGGAAATGGAATAAGTAGCTAATTGGTACATAAGTTGGTAGAAACTGTCAGAAAATAATTGTATTTTGTATTTCAAAAGGGTAAAGTTATAATTGCATTTTAAAACTGAGACATTTCATTCTAGGAATTTACATGAGCAAATAATCAGAGATGCACAAGACAGATCTGTGTGTGGGCATGTTTGCAGCCGCAATGTTTAGGAGTAACACTAATAAAAAGCAAGGGGGTGAGGTAGGGCGAATTTTAATTTGCTATGTGACTCTTAATCCTCCCACTCATAACCAAATAGCCGTTTCGGGACAAAAATCTTGTCTCCCCAAATCTCTTCTTAGGTGGGAGGCAGCTGGGCAAGGCATTAAAAAAAAAAAAAACATAAAAAACAAATGCCGGGCGCGGTGGCTCACAACTGTAATCCCAGCACTTTGGGAGGCGGAGGCAGGTGGATCACAAGATCAGGAGATCGAGACCATCCTGGCTAACACGGTGTAACCCCATCTCTACAAAAAAATTAGCCAGGCGTGGTGGCAGGTGCCTGTAGTCCCAGCTACTTGGGAGGCTGAGGTACGAGAATGGTGTGAACCTGGGAGGCAGAGCTTGCAGTGAGCCGAGATCGCGCCACTGCACTCCAGCCTGGGGGACAGAGCAAGACTCCGTCTCAAAAAATAAAATAAAATAAAATAAACATATATACAGGGTCTGATCCTCTCCACTTCCTTTTAGGGCTGGGATTATGCCCAATTAGCTCATGATCTGAGTCAAATGTTTGGGGTGGGGTGTATTTATTCAATGCTAATATAATTATGTGCACATACCAAGACAGGTATTTGCACGAGTTGTCACCAGTAATACAGATAATCCTGAAACTGGATTCTGTGGGGAAACAGAGTCTGGGGAAGCTAAAGATCCCACCTGAGTCTTTGATAAACAATAAAGGATAGCATGGGAATCCCCACTCCAGGCTCACCCCAGGCGCATCCTCACTCACTGTGTCTGACCCAGCTTCCTGTCTGTGAAATAAAGCTTCATGTGTTCTCTAAATGACTTTCTGGTTCTAATACTCTGGAGCACTCTGATTCAACATGTGCATTCATCAGAAGCTCCAAAAATCCAACAAGAGTGGAGCACCCTTGCTTCGAAACTCAAAGCCAGGGCAATGTAAACTCTCCGTGCTGCTTCCAGAAGCTTCCAACTGTCTGAAAGGCAGAAGTCACGGTATGAACATGGCAACAGTCTACTTAAAATCACAAGATCTATACATTTGGAAAAGATAACTTGATTTCTTTTTTTTAAGTCATGGTACAAAAGAATTTAATAAGTGACACATCGGTATAAAAAACATGTCACTTGTAGCTCATCCTTTAAAACCAGAATAGCCAAATGAAAAATCAGTACAGAATTTTACTTAAATAAAAAATCAAAAGTACATGTTGGAAATTGAACTACTATGTTTTTTCTTCTTTTTGGAAATGACATACATGCTTTCTGGTAACTAATACTCTACCAAACATTGCACTAAACTAAAGCAGATAGACAACCTAACTGATTTCTGCAGAAAGGGTTTTCAACAAACATGCAAAGAACAGGATACCTTTTAGTCGATTTCCAGCACACAGCATACATTCATTAGTGCTCAGCAAAATAGTAACAAACACCAGCGTAGAGAGCATTTTTGCATTCATAGTACTAACTAAAGAGCACACAGCATATCATACTTTGATCTTCAAGTGGGGAATCATGAAAGTTCCAAGATCATACCCACTAGGTTAGCATGAATATTCACCTATAAAAATTTTTTTCAAAAATAATGCTTAAAAGAGATTTCTAGAAAACAGTAGGACTACACCAGGAGAAGCACAAGACAGTGACATAAGGACTGCAAATGTTAAGACAAGGAGTTGATTTTCACATGTAGCTTTTAAGTAAAGGACATCTCTTTCAGTTAATTCCTACAGGCAAGACAAGCTGTGATCACAGGAGATTCAGAAATCTCAAGATGGACATCTGGCTTGAGTAACACCCTACACAAACATCAAAAAACCCATTGAGGCTGAAGGACTGAAACTCTGACCCATGTTAAAAAAAAAAAAAAAGAGAGAGAAAGAGCTGTGAGTGTACAAAAAGATTTATGCAAACCCTGCTGGTACAGAAGTTCGTGGTGGAGGGTTATTCCACACCGGGACAGAGGGTCGTGGTGGAGGGTCGTTCCACGCCGGGACGGAGGGTCGTGGTGGAGGGTCGTTCCACGCCGGGACGGAGGGTCGTGGTGGAGGGTCGTTCCACGCCGGGACGGAGGGTCGTGGTGGAGGGTCGTGGTGGAGGGTTGTTCCACACTGTTGGCACACCAACATGCATGCTGGGGGTAGGAGCCCTGGGTGGAATGCTTGGCATGGGCTTGCTCCCAAGAAGTCTGCCTCGGAAGCACCGAGAGAGGAGAGAGGGGTCTATTTGGATCTACACGGGCAGGGGAGGAGTTCCAGGGTTATTAAGCACTAACTTAATACAAAAAGGTGTTTCAGGAGAAATAAGTCTAGGAGGGTTAGGTCATTTTGCTTTTGACTTATCAATACTTATCATGAATAAAGAGTTACAGAACAGAGTCTGTCTCTCCAAGATGTATTATTCTGTCACCATTAGCTGAGCCTTTTCGTCTACTGGGTCAGTAACATCCACAACGATCCCATTCATTGCCTGGAAACCTAGCGCCACAGACTGTCTTGGGAAGTCGGCATAGAAGATGATTTGCACAACAAAGTCACGACTAAACCTCTGCTCAGGTTCAGTCTCCAGCCTTTTTTTTTCTTTTTCTTTTCTTTCTTTCTTTTTTTTTTTGAGACGGAGTCTCACTTCTGTTGCCCAGGCTGGAATGCAATGGTGCAATCTCGGCTCACTGCAAGCGCCGCCTCCTAGGTTCATGCCATTCTCCTGCCTCAGCCTCCCGAGTAGCTGGGACTACAGGCGCCCGCCACCACGCCTGGCTAACTTTTTGTATTTTTAGTAGAGACGGGGTTTCACCGTGTTAGCCAGGATGGTCTCGATCTCCTGATCTCATGATCCGCCCGCCTCGGCCTCCCAAAGTGCTGGGATTACAGGCGTGAGCCACCGCACCCGGCTTCCAGCCTTCTTCTTCTGCTTTCCAGTCCAGGAACATTTATTCAAAAGCCAGAAAATCCACAAATATGAGCAGCATGTCAAATATGTCACCAGCCTTTATTTTTATGGTGCTGCAAGGCTGCTGTGAAAGCTGCCGTGTTAAATCCAGGAATCCACTCCAGCAGTGATTCTTCAATGTACTTTTCTATCAAATGAATTCATTAAAAATAGCATGTAGGTGAACTTATCCGCTTCTGTGTCTTCAAACTCCTGGTAGTACCTGTCCATGAAACGTCTCTGTAGTAGCTGGAACTCCTCATCCATGATAGCGTCCTCCAAATATCCCACCACAACCTCAAATTCTGCATCAGAGGCGGAGGAGAGAGACAGCATAAAGCTCTTTTCTTCTAAGGCATCTGTTGTTGCTGCCTTACCCACCAGAGTAGGCCAGCAGCCCTAAGGCTCCTAGCCCGCTTGCGGACCAACCTGCTTGGAGGGCACAGTGGGGAGGAGGCCTCGCTTCCCAGGCCATGCCCACTCGCTGCCCAACCAGGTCAGTGCCTGCTGGTGAAAGCCAGCCTCAGGCTCCCGGGTGTGGCCACAGCCGCTCTGCCCACCACCCATGTGGGTCCCAACTGAGAACTTTATTTACTTTTTTTTTTATTATACTTTAAGTTCTGGGGTACATGTGCACAACGTGCAGTTTTGTTACATAGGTATACACGTGGCATGGTGATTTGCTGCACCCATCAACCTGTCACCTACATTAGGTGTTTCTCCTAATGCTATCCCTGCCCTGCCCCCCAACAGGCCCTGGTGTGTGATGTTCCCCTCCCTATGTCCATGTATTCTCATTGTTCGACTGCCACTTATGAGTGAGAACCTGTGGTGTTTGGTTTTCTGTTCTTGTGGTAGTTTGCTGAGAATGATGGTTTCCAGCTTCATCCATGTCCCTGCAAAGGACATGAACTCATCCTTTTTTATGGCTGCATAGTATTCCGTGGTGTATATGTGCCACATTTTGTTTATCCAGTCTATTATTGATGGACTTTTGGGTTGGTTCCAAGTCTTTGCTATTGTGAATAGTGCCGCAGTTAACGTACATGTGCATGTGTCTTTATAGTAGAATGATTTATAATCCTTTGGGTATATACCCAGTAATGAGATTGATGGGTCTAATGGTATTTCTAGTTCTAGATCCTTGAGGGATTGCCACACTGTTTTCCACAATGGTTGAACTTACACTCCCACCAACAGTGTAAAAGCATTCCTATTTCTCTACATCCTCTCCAGCATCTGTTGTTTCCTGACTTTTTAATAATCGCCATTATAACTGGCATGAGACAATATCTCATTGTGGTTTTGATTTGCATTTCTCTAAGGACCAGTGATGATGAGCATTTTTTCATATGTCTGTCGGCTGCATAAATGTCTTCTTTTGAGAAGTGTTTGTTCATACCCTTTGCCCACTTTTTGATGGGGTTTTTTTTCTTGTAAATTTGTTTAGAGAACTTTATTTTTTATGAAGGGCTGCAACCTGCAGGCTGGGAAATGGAGCCTTCCGTTGAGACTGAAAGCAGGTGCTTGGAGGGAAGGAGGGTGGGATAGGAGTTTTATGTTAAACAGGTTAGCTAAATATAAATATTTAACAGGTTATAGGAGAAGCTATGAATATTCATGAAGAAAGGTCATACACCTGTGTGGGAAGCAAACTTATATGTTACATGTGTCCCATGTTCAGTTGGGATGAAGATGTAATATTAAAATGCAGTAAAATTAGGCTCTATGTCAAAAGGTGAAAGATAGAACACAAAGGTGCTGTGTGCACATCCTCCATAAACCAGCCAGAACCAGTCTGTGATTGTGATCATGTAAACCGGTCAGCTATCACGTCAAAACCAGGGAAAGGAGAGGCGAGTCTGGGTGCAGCATCAGGAGGTTGCTTGAATTCAGCAGAGGAGTCTTGGTTTTTTGTTTTCCAGGACTGGTTTCTGCTTATTTCTTAAGTAAAAAAGGTCCCGTGAAGGTTAGTGAAGAAAGAAGTGTACTGAGGTATAATTGACCTCTTGTCTTGTCATGACCAGAAAACTAAAACTATTATGTTTTTTGGATTTTGAAATATTTGCATACACATAATGAGATATCTTGGGGATGAGACCCAAGTCAAAACATGAAATTTATTTATGTTTCATATACACCTTATACACATAGCCTGAAGATAACTTTATATAATATTTTTAATAATTTTGTACATAAAACAAAGTTTTGGCCACAATGTGTCACAAGGTCAGGTATGAAATTTTCCACTTGTGGCATCATATCAAACTTTTTGGATTTGGAAACTCAAAGTTTCAAATTTTGGAGCATTTTGGATTTCAGATTAGGGATGCTCAACCTGTGCAGTACTTTAAAACTATAATTTCCAGACTTCCAATGGTGCACCCCTATTAGACTTTCAGAAAGCACCCGCCAAGTAAGTTACTGATTTTACACGTATATGCACAACTACTGCACTAATATGCTTTGTTATAAACACACACACTTTAAAGGTTATAACAAAAATAAACAATATTTTATCTTAACTTTAAAAGTGTTTTTGCTGTGACTCCGACTTGTGTTTTGAGTGCAAGCAGCAAGACTGAATATGCGGCTCCCATGTCAGTTGAATACATACACCAAATGCTGAAAGGAAAGAGCCAGTGAGCACACCCTGCCCCCGCCCTCCAGTGGGGGCTCCTCATTCACTCTTCAGGGATGTCCGTGCCCCTCTGACATGCATGCATTTGGGGGATAAGAGACCAGTCTATGTAACATTCGTAAAACGTGATTTTCTTATTTGATTTTAAAAAATGAACAGATAAAGTTGTTTTTCTGTGGTTTTTGTTTTGTTTTTTTTTGAGACAGAGTCTCGCTCTGTTGCCCAGGCTGGAGTGCAGTGGTGCAATCTTGGCTCACTGCAACCTCTGTCTCCCGGGTTCAAGTGATTCTTCTGCCTCAGCCTCCCGAGTAGCTGTGACTACAGGCGTGTGCCACCACACCCGGCTAAGTTTTGTATTTTTAGTAGAGATGGGGCTTCACCATGTTGGCCAGGCTGGTCTCGAACTCCTGACTTCGTCATCCGCCTGCCTCGGCCTCCCAAAGTGCTGGGATTACAGGTGTGAGCCACCACAGCCGGCCCAGATAAAGTTTTACTGGCTCTTCCTGCGTGCACCTCAGTTATTTATGGGGTGCATTCACTGATTCATATGCCTCATTTAAAACAAGAACAGGCTCAGATCCAGGTTTTGTAGAGCATAGGACTTTTACAATTTCTGAGAAGAATAAACTCTTTAAGAAAAAGAACACCAAAAAAAGCCTTACTTTTACAACTTTTACAAATGCTTGTGACCCTCAAAACACAGTTAGGGGACTCCCAGGGCCATGGAAGGGACCCCTGTGGGGGACCTACGACCACCATCACGGCCTTGCTGGCTTTCAAAGTATTTGAGGAGGCTGCTCCTGAAAACAAGACAGCCTGGGAAAGAGAGCTCCTTTGGAAAAGGTTGCTTAGTAGACTGGAATTTCAATGTCCTTCCCTGCCTGGGTCCTCTTCAATGGGCCATCAAAGAAAATTCTATCCTCTAGGCTAAACTGTTTAAAGAACAGTCCCTGCAGCACGGTGAATCCAGGTCTGGAGCTGCTAAGAACAGGAGCACAAATGTTTAGAAAACACCAGTTATCACAGCCATTCACTGTAGCTGTCTCTCTTTTCTCTTCCCTTCTAAAACTCAAGCTGTGGTCTTAGGATAGCAGTGCTCCAGGCTGGAGGAGGAGGAGGAGGATGTATATAACATTTTAGTAAAGAACACTGTGGACTCACTCAATAAGTCACACTGTCAGCTCCTGCCCATTAAGGGGGAGAGGGACCTGTTTTCCCTATTCCTCATGGGCGAGAAATTTGAGCTGAAACTCGTCTTGCAGAAATCTCGGTCTCCCTTTTAAGGCATTGTTTTCAATGTAAGATGGCAAAGGCAAATCCAGTAAAAGGTTGTGGCTAATACCGGACATTTACGGCCCTGAGAACAGTGAAATGCAGACGGTGGCGGTGGGGATGTGCTTGAGGCAAGGCTTAGCAAAGGGTTAAAGTATAGGCAAATTCGGAGGAAAGTGGAAATGCCCAGGAGAAATTTCACTTTAGAAAAAAATCACAAATCCATTCCCTCTTTCGACCCCTCACTCCAGCAGTGCCTCACACGAGTGCCTGACTCCAGATCATCCTTCTCTGAGGCGCCTGTCCCTGACATGTCTCCAGGAGCCAACTGCAGCCCAACAGCCACACAGGTGGGCCTGACGCGCTCTGCTCAGGAAGCGGCTGTGAACCCGCTGCCTTCCTAACACAAGTGTTAGTTCTCTCAGGGTGCCGTGGCCTTAACAGCAAGAGCCACAGCGTCTGTGCTCCCAACTGCCAGGGACTCTGGCTTCCGGGAGGTGGCCTGAGAACCAGCTCAGACAGCAGGGATGGGCCGGGCCTGGCCCTCTGCTCGGGGCCACCCAGGCCTCAGGAGCCTCCTGTTTTACAACTGTCATACCCGGGATCCAAATCCCTTTCCCCTGCCGGCGCGGATCAAAGAAGGGCTCTCACCCCCACCACACTCTCCGCATCCCCACAGGCCTCCCACTGCCCCATCCAACCGTGGCTGCTCCCGAGGCTGCAGGCAGGGTTAGGCCGCCTGTGGGCGACCACCCCGAGGCCTGTCCTCAGCTGCTGCGGGAGCCCCCTGCAAGGCTGGGTCATCACTGTCTACGCAGATCTCGCGTGGGCCCTTTTCCTGGCCTAGCACCCCCAACACACTAAGAAGGGCGGGCAGCATCCTGTTGGTCTGGACTCTGGCGAGGCTGCTCCGGGAAGCCGCAGGAACGTTCTGTGAAACAAAGGCTGACGACTCGGGACTCCCATAAGAGATAGAGCTTGGTTTCCACGTGCCACGCCTACCTGCCATGCCCCGCAGTGTCACGTGGCTTAGAGAGCGGTCGTCACGTGACCCGGAAGTGATGGTCACGTGAAGGGGAAATGGCTGTCTCTGCCCAGGTACCCTCCTAGATCCACGGAGTCCACACTGAGGCCTTGGCGCCCAGGCCATTGCCAGGGCCTTGTTACACCAAGTTTAGGAAAACCGGATTCCGGGGTCACAGCTGCAGAGGAGGGGGTGGCGGAGGTCTCACAGGCCTCACCTCTGCACCTCCCCTGGGGCGGGATGAAGCAATCTGGGGTAACCCGGAGCAAGAGTCTGTAAAGAACCCCAAGGCCTGGGGTGGACTCCAGGCCCAGGTGCTTGCTGGGCCAGGTGCCCGAGCCTCTCAAGGCCCCCAGCCCTCACACCTGTGGGGCCTCGACCACTCCGAGCAGCTGGGGCCTCGGGGCCAGTCCCTGAGTTAAAAATAACCCAGCTAGGCTAGAAGCAAGGAAAGACAAGCGTGCTAGAAACTTCTCCCCTGCCAGGTCAAACAGGGAGGACATCCAGGGAACTTTCTAACTCTAACTTGGGTATAAAACCAGCTTTAGAAGTTGCTGTAAGTTAAGAATTCCTTCAGATAAAATTTTACCTGGGACTTGGTTTACCCTTTAAAAAATCTTTAAAGGAGGAGAGAATAGTTGACATTTCTGAATCCCTGAGACTAGCGAGCATGTGGCTAACGTCACGTTATTGAACAGAAAGGGCGGCGGGGATTTTTGTAGAGGCATTTCCAAGGACAGCGGACGGGCCCTGCGGGCTTAGGGCCCGGCGGCAGAAGAAAGAGGAATCAGTTAGAAATATTCGAGATTTTCCACTTAAAGCTTTGGGTAGAGGCCAATATTGTTGACATTTAAACATCCAGATGAGCCGTCTTTGGGTCAGGAACAAGGAGCTGTCTGGTTCCACATCCCTGGAGGTAGCCTGAGCGCTCAGCAGGCCTGAGTCAGGTCCGCCTCCTGCTACTGACGACTCACGTGATTGAGAATAAACGGCTTAGCCGTCTGAGCTGAGCCTCCTCCTCAATCTGTTGTGCAGTCTATACCCGCGTGTATAGACTCCGGGCCCTTCTTCCCCACGGCAGGATCTAGCAAGGCGCTTCTTTCCGGTGCAGCGCGGAGCCTGTGACTTATGCTCCGCTGCCATCTGGTGGCCCTACGCTCGAATTACAGCTCCAGGGTTTATTAGGTTTTTTAAATTATTATTGTTTTGAGGGATGAGGGAAAACCCTTTTAAAAGTTGAACACGTGAGCCTGAAAAAGTTAAGAAAAGTCAAAACACATGACAGGGGAAGGGAAATAGGTGAGGAGCAGGCAGGATATGGAATGTGGACAATTTCCAGGGTCTTTGTAGAACTGCATGTTTACTTCTTTGAAAGATTTTGAATTCCTAGAGTATTAGGCCCACCTAAAATGAAAGAACCACACGTATGCCAAACACACAGAATACCAATTATTTGTATTATCTAACATTTGGGATTGTCTACTTTACTCTTTTTTTCTCCATTCGAATGTCAAGTTGCTTTCAAGGAACCCTTTTAATGATGTCTAAACTGAAATTGAGACAACTGCTGCTGACTGGATTCGACACTTAACCCCCGGCCCTTGCCCTGGACAAGACCCAAGGGACCCTGGCTTTGAGTAGAACCCGCAAAGAATATAATACTGGCCCCTCCAGAAAATAATCCTCCACACCTCTGTCCAGCATGTTGGCGTATCCTCATCACGAGCGAGTTCTGCACTTGTGACTGATTTGCCTTTTTGGCAAAAAGAGATGGAAGTTGAGCTCCCTAGCGAGAGCAAGCGCTCATCATTTGCAATACAGTGTGGGGTACAGTGTGGGGTACTAGAGGGAGGTGGTGCCAAGCTGCAGGGCGCCAACAGGTGAGTGCCAGCAGGTGAACATACCCTGAAGGAAACCCACCAGGCGGGGCTACCTGAGGGCCTGTGTCCTGGGCAGGGTGACCAGGTGGCCGTCCCACCTGGTTTGAGAGTGTGTGCATCAGGGCCACCACCTGCTCTCTTGCTCCTCTCTTCTGAACATCATTAAAACAAGTTCAAAAATGTTCATCTCCAGCCATGACCCCAGGGCCACTGACAGATGCCTGCTCTTGGCAGGGGAGCGGCTCTGGGCAGCCTGCAGGGCCTGTCCTGGCCAGCAGGAAACGACACCAAACAACCATTTCCTGGGTGATTTCAGGCAGACCCAGGACTCCTTTGATCATCCAGAATCAGGACTCTGAGGACTTATTGAAGGCCTCAGGCTCTCCAGAGGGCCCCACTTGTCAGAGTCATTTCACTCCCCAAAATGTTGGCCAATTCCTGATGCTAGCAGCCTAGCTGGGTGGGGTGGGGCAGGTGCGGCCATGGGAAATCCAGACTGTTGGCCTTTTAAGTTGGGAGTTAGCAAGAGTTGCTTCTTGTAACTGGCTCAGTGTAAGTAAGGCCTCTGCATTAGATTTATAGGCTCTGCCTATCCCGACAGTTCCCCAAACATCCCAGCCCTCCGCAGCCCAGGAGAGTTCATCGAGATCATCTTTCTGTCTCAGGTCAGTGCCCTGGGAAGGGCAGCAGACTGACTTTTCTCGTCCTGCCCGTGGCTCCATGGCTGGCACACAGGACGTGCTCTGTGAGGTTGCCTCTTGACTCTCCTCCTCTTGACATTTGCTGGCCCTAAAAAATGATGAAGGTTTTTCTCATTCTAAAACTCAATCCTTCTGAGTTGGCTTGGCCTTCAGTGGATTAGAGATTAGGATCTGGAGCCCCCGAAACCTTGAGCCAAAACCTCGTTCTAGCTACCAGCTGTGGGTACCTGGGCAAGTAACCTGCCCTTTCTGGGCTGAACTTTCCTTAGATGTAAATGAAGGCAATAATAGCATTGAACAGGGTTATTGGAAGCACTAAATTGGGACACTGTGTGTAAAGGTTAAGTGCTTAGCCGAGGCTGAGACCAGCAAACACTGGAGCCTCTGGGTGTCTGTGCTCACTGCCTTTCCTGCTCTGCGCGTGGGGAAGATGCCCTGCACCTGGCGCTCACCTGTGCCTTAGGCCCAGGACGCACAGTGATTCACCACGCTGCAGAGCCGGCCGTACCCTTCAGTGAGTGACCCCTGCCCTTCAGGGCCCTGCTCTCCCTCAGCTTATACTTTAACACTTCAGACTTTTTGAAGCCTTTGGCCTTAGGCTTTGCTGAGCCAGGTTAGGGGAGGAGAAGGCAGAGGCGAAGAAAGGGGACTAATTGCATATCTTTTTTTTTGGAGACGGAGTCTCGCTCTGTCGCCCAGGCTGGAGTGCAGTGGCGCAATCTCGGCTCACTGCAAGCTCCGCCTCCTGGGTTCACGCCATTCTCCTGCCTCAACCTCCCCAGCAGCTGGGACTACAGGTGCCCGCCACCACGCCCGGCTAATTTTTTTGTATTTTTAGTAGAGACGGGGTTTCACCGTGTTAGCCAGGATGGCCTCGATCGCCTGGCCTCGTGATCTGCCCGCCTCGGCCTCCCAAAGTGCTGGGATTACAGGCGTGAGCCACCGCGCCCGGCCGGATTAATTGCATATCTAAGGTGAGGCCCGGGGCTCTACGTTCACCATGGTCCCCTCATTAAAAGCTGTGAAGTCAAACACCAAGACCCAGAGAATTTAATACTAATACGTGGCCCAAGTTAGACAGCAAGTGCATGACAAAGATAGAACATGACCTTAGCGCCACCCAAATACAAAGGACAGACTCTTCTCAGGCACATTGCGTCTGAGGCCTGTGAGGTCGCTGGGCCTGTCAGGAGGCCTGGCTTCCTCCCGCTCCCTGCTCCTTCTCAGATTCTGTCATGATCAACTTCCCAGGAAACTCGAATGTTCTATTTTATTTCAGGAACTAAAAATAAGGAAGATTCTCTGACAAAATTGCATGAAATGCATCCTGTCCTTCTTTCTCATTTCAAGCATGAATGAACTCGGTGTGAGGAGACTAAGCCAGGCGGCAGGGGTCTAGCATTTCCCGCCTGTGGGTGCAGGAGGCAGACATCTTAATTTTTAGAGCTGCTCTGTAGGCACTTTACAGCTTCCTCTTCTAGCTGCTCAGGCCATAAATCTCTAGACTGCCAGGCTCCAAACTCATGGGGAATGTCCTGCACCCCAGCAGCAAGTCCTGCAAACACAACACTGGGTCATACGTGGCCCATAAATAACGCGCACGTTGAGCCTCAACCTCAGCTGGTGAGGTCTGCTGTCCGGAGGCCGTGGACTTGCGAAGGCCTGAATGAGCCCCTCCAGACTGCCCAAGACAGAGGGTGACACTTCCTGGTGGTGGAGAACCCGGCAGCATCAGCATCAGGTTAGACAGAAACAGCAACAAGGATAAATCCTGCAGGAAAATAGGGAGAGCCTGATGGGATAGGACCGCCCAGTGCTGCAAGCTTGTGCCTTTTCTGGATACTTCCATGGTGCAGGTCACTGCAGTCTGGGAAGTGCCTGCTTGGCCCTGTCCCATAGCAGGCACTCGGCCACCTTGCTGAGAGTGA
This sequence comes from Homo sapiens, assembly GCF_000001405.40. Lineage (NCBI taxonomy): Eukaryota > Metazoa > Chordata > Mammalia > Primates > Hominidae > Homo > Homo sapiens. Next base: position 76,713,341 of record NC_000018.10, read on the forward strand.
GGAGACGGAGCTCACAGGCTGGGCAGAGAGACACAGAGACCCAACGGCTGGGGAGGGGAACACTGCCCCCCAAGTCTGAGGGAGTGTGAGGTTGTGGGGAAATTGTTGGAGGAGCCTGCGGATATGCATGGGGCCCACAGCCCCTGCCCAGGGCACCTGCATCTTCCATCAGCCTGGGCATGGAGAGTGACCCCGCCACCAAGCCCAGCCCTGCTCTGAGCCTTGGAGTGTTGGGTTCAGGACAGTGAGGAGACCAGGCCCACTTCTCCTGCCGCTTCAGGGTCTTGGGGTGTAGTCCTTACCAGACACTATACTTCTGTACCTAATCGTACAGGGGCAAGTGGAGTTGACAGAGGGTCATGAGCAGGCATGATTGCTGGCCTAGAGCACTGACTGCGCATGTGCCCTGCATCAGGGTCTCCTGTGGTCCAAACGTGTCTCCTCCAGAATCCAAATGTTGAAACTCAAGGCCTATCGTCATGGCGTTGGGAGGTGGGGCTTTGAGAGGTGATTAGGCCCTGAGGGCTCCTCTCTTGTGAATAGGATGAAGGCCTTCATAAAAGAGGCTTCACATAGGGTTTGGCATCTTTCTTTTCCGTCTCTCCTCATGTGAGGACACAGTGTTCCTCACCTTCAGAGGACACAGCATCGAGGCACCATCTTGGAAGGAGAGAACAGCCTTCCCCAGACACTGAACCGCTAGTGCCTTGAACTTGGATTTCCCAGCCTCCAGAACTATGTGAAACTAGTTTCTGTTCTTTATAAATTATCCAGTCTCGGGTATTTGTTGTAGCAGCACAAATGAACTAAGACATGATCTTAGCATGCACTGAGCCCATGGTTTTCCTGTAAAATGAAAATATTTGCACCTATCGCAGGGGCTGTTATGAGGCCTGGAGATAATGTGCCAACAACTAGCAGATAGTAGGAGCACTGCTGATGGTGGTTACCAGGGCGATGAAGCCTAGCTCTCCAGTCGGGCTTAAGGACACACTCATGCAGATGGGATTCTTAGGACTCCTCCAAGTCATTTCTAACACATGGAACTTGTGGGTTATTTCCCCTTCATTTCAGGTCCTCTATCGAGGGAACCTGGGTCCTGGGACAAAGCTGCCACTATGGCCATGGGAGGAAGCACTGAGCAGGGAGGGGAAGCGGAGACAGCCCAGTCTCTCCCTTAACAGAGCAGCCCTGACAGCTGGCATCAGACAGTGCCCGTGACGAGGTCAGGGCCACTAGGCAACACTTTTCAGGTAAGGGAAGGCTGGGTATGTGCTGGGCACCTGCATGCTGGTGGTGGGGGTTAAACCGCGTGAAGCTGAAGGAGCCACCCTCCTGAGTCTGTCTCTGTCAGGGAGAGGAGTGGGCTGGAGTCACTATCTTAGGACATACGGCAGATTTTTCTAGGATTCCTGTTGGATGGGGATATAGTAAGTGAAGGAAAACCCCAGGAGTAAGGAAAGGTCTTATGGTCTCAAGCACGGAACAACACATTTTTTGTGGGTGTAAAGGCCAGATAGTAAATATTTTAGGTTTTGTAGACTACAATCTGGTTCTGTGGCAGAAGTGGCAACACACCATACAGAAGTAAGTGGATGTGGCTGTATTCCAATAAAACTTTATTTACAAATCGTAAATAGGGAGTGCGATTGGTTCTGAGGCCTAGTTTGCCAACCCCTGTACAGGAGAAAGAGCATAGACACTACCCTAAGTCCCACAACCTAATCCCTGTTCTGCTGGTGCCAGGTCTGCGGCCTTAAGCAAATGCTGTGTCCCTCTGAGCCTGCTTCCTCTGCTTCCTCATCAGTAGAAAGTGGTTAGCAGTATCCACCTCTTAGAGCTGTGATAATGTGTGCAAAGCCGCCAGGACACTGCGGGGTCCTAGGCTTCCACGGAAACACCCGCCGTTCTCGAGGCGGATGGGCCACGAGCAGTCCTAGTGTTCTGTTGCCCTCGGAGTCTTTCATGGTCTTCTCGCTCACTTATTGGACCTGACTCAGGGGGAATGAAGAGTCTTCCCCCTGTACTCTTGCTCCATCTGTACTCTTAAAGTAGGTCTTTCCAAACTCACTGACATGTTATTTCAAACGGTCTGGCAGCATTCAGGGCTGCGCGGAGTCCCCTGGAGATTCTGCTGCACCAGAGCATTGCCTGCCCTAGCATTTTAAAGTTATAATGAAATCCAAAGCAGATGTGCCAGATCTAGGCCGGCCTAGAGCAACCTGAATTTGTTTCTTGGGAATGCCCCTCTTCAGCACGTTTTGAGCAGACATTTGTGATGCAAGCCAGGCAATAAAAGACCCCAGCATGCTCTAAACACTGCAGTTTTACCCGTTTGTGTCAAAGAAAATCTGGGAGGCATGACATGAAACTAGCTAAATTTATGGCTCAAACTTTCACTAAGCTATCTCTGAAAAATGTTGCTGATCAGAGAAAAGAGAATTTAGTTAGACAAAAATTAGGTAGTATTCAGATGGGTGGAGCGCTTAACTATGACCTCAATCAGTACTTAGTTATGTCAGACATGAACTGAGAATATGAAGTAGAAGAGGTGAGATAATTATGAATATTATAAATATTTGTAAACTAAAGTAAGAGGAAAACAATGCTATTTTTATATCCAAGCTTATGCTCTTGCTAAGTAGAAAAGTTGTTACAAAGATGATTAAAGGTGGTGAAACTGGTTTCAAAGCTCTCATGAAGGTTGTATATGGTTAGGAAAAGGAAGAATAAGGTTTTTTTAAAAATAGCGTCAGGAGTTCGAGACCAGCCTGGCCAACATGGTGAAAACCCATCTCTACTAAAAATACAAAAATTTGCCGGGTGTGGTGATACGTGCCTGTAGTCCCAGCTACTCGGGAGGCTGAGGCAGGAGAATCGTTTGAACCGAAGAGGTGGAGATTGCAGTGAGCCGAGATCGCACCACTTCACTCCAGCCTGGGTGACAGGCTGAGACTCCGTCTCAAAAAAAAATAAATAAATAAAAATAAATAGCTAGAAAGACTGAAAGCTTTACTCCTCAGATAAGAAAAAGACAGGGATTCCTGCTTTCACCTCTGATATTAAACATTGTATTGGAAGTTCCAGTCAAAGCACTTAGGCAAGACATACAAATTGGAAAGGAAGACGTAAAACTATTTCTATTGCAAATTACATGATCTTCTATGGAAAATCCTAAAGAAATTTAAAAAAAACTTCTAGATTATCTTAGTTCATTTTCTGTTGCTATTATAGGATACTACAAAATTAGGTAATTTACAAAGAAATGTATTTCTTACAATTCTGGAATCTGGGAAGTTCAAGGTCAAAGATGAAATATGGCAAAGATAGAACATGACCCTAGCACTACCTGATACAAGGGACAGACTCTTATCAGGCGTGTCTGAGGTCGCTGGGCGCTGTCAGGAGGCCTGGCTTCCTCCAGCTCCCTGCTCCTTCTCAGATTCTGTCATGACCAAATTCCCAGGAGACGTGAATGTTCTATTTCATTCATCTGGTCAAGGTGCCACATCTGGTGAGAGCCTTCTTACTGTATCGTAACATGCAAAGGGCACCACCTGGCAAGGGGGCAAGGGCACGCCAGCACAGGTCTCTCCTCCTCTTCCTAGGAAGACATCACAGGGCCCCACACTGATGTGATGGATGATATGATGCCCCTTATCTCATCCTAATTCTCTCCCAAAGGCCCTGTATTAGTCAGGGTTCTCTAGAGGAACAGAATTAATAGGATATATATAAAGGGGACTTTATTAAGTATTAACTCACGTAATCACAAGTTCCCACAATAGGCCATCTGCAGGCTGAGGAGCAAGGAGAGCCAATCCAAGTCCTAAAACTGAAGAACCTGGAGTCCAATGTTCAAGAGCAGGAAGCATCCAGCACGGGAGAAAGACGTAGGCTGGGAGGCTAGGCCAGTCTAACTATTTTACATTTTCCTGCCTGCTTTATATTTGCTAGCAGCTGTTTAGATGGTCCTCCCACCCCCCCGGATTGAGGGTGGATCTGTCTTCCCCAGCCCACTGACTCAAATATTAATCTCCTTTGGCAACACCCTCACAGACACACCAGGATCAATACTTTGCATCCTTCAATCCAATCAAATTGACACTTAGTATTAACAATCACAGGCCTCATCTCTTGATCCTGTTACAATAGGAATTAAGTTTCCAACATGCATTTTGGGGTGACATATTCAAATCACAGCACAGATCTAATATACAAATTCAGCCAAATTGCAGAATACATGATCAACACAATCAGTTGTGTTTCAATACAATGAAAAACTCAAAAAGGAAATTAAGATTAAAATTTCGGCTGGGTGCAGTGGCTCATACCTGTAATCCCAGCACTTTGGGAGGCCAAGGCAGGTGGATCACGAGGTCAGGAGATCAAGACCATCCTGGCTAACACGGTGAAGCCCCATCTCTACTAAAAATACAAAAAATTAGCTGGGCGTGGTGGTGGGCGCCTGTAGTCCCAGCTACTTGGGAGGCTGAGGCAGGAGAATGGTGTGAACCTGGGAGGCGGAGCTTGCAGTGAGCTGAGATCGAGCCACTGCACTCCAACTTGGGTGACAGAGCGAGACTCTGTCTCAAAAAAAAAAAATTCATTTACAATAGAATCAGAAAGAATAAAATACCTAGGGATAAATTTAATCAAGGAGAATGTAACTGTGACAGACTTGTGAACTGAAAGGTGTAAAACATTGCTGAAATAAATTAAAGGAGCGATATAAATGGAAAGACATCTCATTTTCATGGATTGAAAGACTTAATATTGTCAAGATAAAAAGCAATCTACAAATTCAAACTCAATCTTTATCAAAATTTCAGTGGCACTGCAGTGAACGCGAATAACCAAAACAATCTTGAAAAAGAAGAACAAAACTGGAGGACTCACACGTTCCGATATCAAAACTTATGACAAAGCCACAGTAGTTAAAACGGTGGTACTAGCAGAGGGATAGACATATAGACCAATGGAATAGAATTGAGAGCCCAGAAATAAATCATATCTATGACAAATTGATTTTCAGCAAAGGTGCTAAGACCATTCAATGGAGAAAGAATAGTCTCTTCAACAAATGGTGCTGGGATCACTGGATATTCACGTGCAAAATAATAAATTTGGAACCCACTTCACATGGTATGCAAACATTAACTCAAAATAAGTCAGTGATCTAAATATAAGAGCAAGACCAGGCCGGGCACGGTGGCTCACGCCTGTAATCCCAGCACTTTGGGAGGCTGAGGCAGGCTGATCACTTGAGGTCAGGAGATTGAGACCACCCCGGCAAACATGGTGAAACCCTGTCTCTACTAAAAATACAAAAACATTAGCCGGGCGTGGTGGTGGGCACCTGTAGTCCCAGCTACTTGGGAGGCTGAGGCAGGAGAATGGCATGAACTCAGGAGGTGGAACTTGCAGTGAGCCGAGATTGCGCCACTGCACTCCAGCCTGGGCAACAAAGCAAGACTCTGTCTCAAAAAAAAAAAAAAAAGATCAAGACCAAAGGGGCAAATCTTCATGACCTTGGATTTGGCCAAAATATCTGACAAGGGATTAATATCCAGAATATATAAGGAACTTCTATAACCCAACAACAACAAAACTTAATTTTAAAGTGGGCAAATGACTGAAATAGACATATATACACATACGCACACATACACACAAATGGTCAACAAGCACATGAAAAAATGCTGAACATCATTAGTTATTAGGGAACTACAAATAAAAAGCAAACTTCATACTCACTAGAATAGCTATAATTTAGAAATATGAAAAATAATAAGTGTTTGTAAGGATATAGAGAGATTGGAATTCACTTTTTTTTTTTTTTTGAGATGGAGTCTTGCTCTATTGCCCAGGCTGGAGTACAATGGCACAATTTTGGCTCACTCCAACCTCCATCTCCCCGGTTCAAGCAATTCTCCTGTCTCAGCCTCCCGAATAGCTGGGATTACAGGTGCACGACACCATGCCTGGCTAATTTTTGTATTTTTAGTAGAAATGGGGTTTCACCATGTTGGCCAGGCTGGTCTTGAACATCTGACCTCAAGTGATCCTCCTGTCTCGGCCTCCCAAAGTGCTGGGATTACAGGCGTGAGCCACCATGCCTGGCCTGAAATTGGAACTCTTGTATACTGCTGGTGAAAATGTAAAATAGTGTAGACCCTATAGAAAACAGTATGGCAAGTCCTAAAGAAATCCAAAATGGAATTACTGTATGATCCAGCAATTCCATTTCTGGGTATATATGCCAAACAATTGAAAGCAGAGACTCAAACAGATTATATCCTGGTATTCACAGCAGTGTTATTCCCAACATCAAAAAGCTGGAAACAACTGAAACGTCCATGAACGGATGAATGGATAAACAAAATGTGGTATATACCACAGAATACTCCTTCAAAAGCAAAGAAATTCTAATATTAATACATTCATAACATGGATGAATCCTGAAGACATTATGCTAAGTAGAATACACCACTCACAAAAAATAAATCTTCATGATTCCACTTATATGACATGCCTAGAGCAATCTAATTCATAGAGACAGAAAGTCAAAAGCCAGTTAGCAGCTGAGGGAGGGGGGAGTGGGGAATTATTGTGTAGTGGATCAAAGTGTCATTTTGGGATGATGGATGAGTTCTGGAGATGGATAATGTTGATGGGTGCACAGCAGTGCAAAGGTACCTAATGCACAGAACTGTATGCTTAAACATGGTTAACACCTGTAATCCCAGCACTTTGGGAGGCCAAGGCAAGAGGATCACCTGAGGTCAGGAGTTCGAGACCAGCCTGGCCAACATGGTGAAACCCCATCTCTACTAAAAATACAAAAATTAGCTGGGCGTGGTGGTGGATGCCTGTAATCACAGCTACTTGGGAGGCTGAGGCAAGAGAATCACTTGAACCCGGGAGGCAGAGGTTGCATTGAGACGAGATCGTGCCACTGCACTCCAGCCTGGGCAACAGAGTGAGACTCCATCTCAAAAACAAACAAACACACACACATGGTTAACATGGTAAATGTTATATACATTTTACTACAATAAAAAATATTTGCACACAGAGAAAAAAAGTAAACATTGAGATACCATGTGACACAGAAATCTGCTATGCATATACCCCAGAGACCTGAAAGCAGAAAGTGAAAAAAATACCTGTACACACACATACCCATAACAGCACTGTTCGCAGTACCCAAAAGGTGGAGACAACCCAAATACCCAACAACTGACCAACAGATAAGCAAATTGTGTTGCATCCATACAATAGAATAGGATTCACCCCCAAAGACACAGAGTTACTGATTCATGTTGCAACACGGGTGAACCTTGAAAACATTATGCTCAGTGAAAGAAGCCAGACACAAAAGGTCACATATTGTATGATTCCATTTATATGAAATATCCAGAATAGATAATTCCATGGAGACAGAAAGCAGATTGGTGGTTGCCAGAGGCTGGGAGGAAAGGCCATGAAGGGAAGCTGCTGAATGAGGACAGGGTTTTGTTTTGAAATATGGAGACGTTTCAGAACTAGAGGTGGTGGTTGCGCAACATTGCAGATGCACTAAATGCCACTGAATTGTTCACTGTAAAATGATTTTGTGTTACGTGAATTTCATTTCAATAAATTATTTAAAAATATGTAGCTAGTATCAATAACTGCTTTTTAAGACACTGTATTCGGTGCTGTACTATGTGAGTTAGAGATATCGCCTGTTTTGGTATCAAGATAGTCCTACGAGGTAATAGTATTATAATCCCAATTTTATGCCTGAGGAAGCTGGGGAACAGTGTTGTCCAGGGGTGTTGTGGTCCAGTGGGGGTGGTGGAAATAGACGCAGGATAACTTCCTATGAGAAGGTGAGTGAGCTCAGTGCTGCAGAGAGATTTAATGGGCAAAATAGTAACAGCTGCTGCAATGAATCGAGCAGGCACCAGATGCCGAGTAGTTTCTTTACAAAAATACAGGAGTGCAGTTCACCTCCTTTCCTCCCCACAAACAGCACCCTGGGCCGGGTCTTGGCTAAGAATGAGCTGAGCGCTTCTGAGCAGTCACTTCAAAGCATGGGGTAACCACAGGAAAACCTTGTTGAAAGGATGTGGCTTAGCGAGAGGTCCCACCTTAGTCCTGGTGGGCCACATGGGGCACAGTAGGGGCAGGGGGAAGATGGGGTTAAGAGGGGATTGCTGTAGGAAAAGAAGCCATCAGGAACTTTGAAATCTATTTTCAGTAGTATCCCGAATCTTCTAAACTTTGTTGTCCTGGCTTTTGAGCTTCTGGGAAAGGTGGATACCCACAAGAGCCCCAAGTCATTGTGATGTCAATATGAACTTTAGTTTGATTCTGTAGCAATATAATGAGCTTGAAAGCCAAGCTCTGTTAAGACCAAGACAGAAAGTAAGAATGAAAATGTGTGGAATAGACAGTTTTCTAAAAATCTTTCAACACTGAAGAACAAAGCCTGGAGTCCTGCCATCACAGAGGCCCCTCTGCAGAGCGGAGAATGTGGGGCCCTCCACCTGGAACCACAAGGCCCCCATGTTACCGCCCGACCAGAGGGAAGCCAGGGTGTTGAAGAAAACTCTGGAGTTTTTCTCTTCCAGTCCTGAGAGATGGTGCAAAGGAGAAGGGGAGACAGAATGAGAATGAGGCTTAGATACGAAGCAGGCCCTTGTTCGTCCTCTCTCTTCAGAGCCCCAATCTTGATTTGGGAAATGGAGCTTTAGAAACATCCTGTAAGGAACATGGCTGTAGCTGCAGCCAAGCAGGCATAGGGGTAGCAGGCATAGGCCGAGGTAAACAGCCTGGTTGACTCAGTGGGGTTGGGGTGCAAGCGTGCAGTCCCATGTCTTATATAATCATAGCCAGGTAGACATAACATAGAGAAGCTCCCCACCTGGCTCTTAGCCACTATTGTTTGTGTAGTGTATAAGCGTAACATTGAGCCTGTGAAGGAGCTGCTGAATAAAGTCATGTCTCATTTACCTGCTGTCTCTTGAATGTTCTTCCAGCTCCCTGCCCCACATCCACCCACTCTCCTCGGACCTCAGTTGGAGCTGGACCCCGACCCTAAGCATGACATATTTGCACAGGTCAGGGGACTTCTGGAACATGCAAAAGCCTTCACGTCCACGATTGTGCCCTCCTGAGCCTGGGGCAGGACCAGGTCTCCGTGAACCTGCAGCCAGGCTGCCTGGGGCCTGCAGAGCCTCTGGAGCCTTGGACCATGGCCTGGGTCCTATGGGGGTCCACGGAAGTGCAGAGCCCTGGGTCAGGACAAGGACGTCCCTGAGAACCATGCCTAGAGACAGCAGGCAGTGCTGCCCTGGGGCTCAGTGTAGATGGAATAACTTGAACCTTACAAAGGATTGCTGCTGTGGGGTTGGGGAGACAGCGGGACTGGAAAGAAGGCCTACAGTGCCTATGAGTAGAGAGGGGGTTCCCTAAACTCCAGAGCATGGTGTGGCAGCAGGCCTAGAGCAGGCTGTGAGGGAGAGGGGCACCGTCAAGCGCCAGGAGGGGGAGCAGAGCGCTATGCTGTCAGGGGCCCAGGAGGATTCGACTGCTTTCCCCTTGGACCGTGGAAGGCCATATGTGGCATAGCTGAATTGGGATTTTCTCCTCTTTATTCTAAGTTCCTTCAGTTTTCCCAAACCTAGCAAAATCCATGTTATTATTAATTATTATCAGTGTTAATTTAGTAACACTAAACACTGTTTATTAGTAAAACTAACACCAGCAAAGCCTTTGCGTGCTAGAACTTCTGAGCATTTTCCATGGACTGCCCCATTGGAACCCCATAACCTCACGGACTACCTTTATCACTATTGTCCCTGTTTCACAGATGGAAAAGCTGAGACACAGAGAAGTTCCTTGAGTTGCCTGAGATCACAGAGCAGCAGGGCCAGGACCCGGTCCCAGGAAGTTCCACTGCAGGCCCGGCTCTAACCCTCATCACTGTGGTGGTGGCCTTCAGTTTGAGTTGGGTCAGAATGATCAGGTAGGCGTGTCAGACACAGAGCTTGTCCAGAGGCAGTGGGAGGGGGCTTGGAGTTTGCTTTTTTTTTTTTTTTTTTTTTTGAGACGGAGTCTCGCTTTGTCGCCCAGTCTGGAGTGAAGTGGCACGATCTCGGCTCACTTCAACCTCCGCCTCCCAGGTTCACGCCATTCTCCTGCCTCAGCCTCCCGAGTAGCTGGGATTACAGGTGCCCGCCACCACGCCTGGCTAATTTTTTGTATTTTAGTAGAGACGGGGTTTCACCGTGTTAGCCAGGATAGTCTCGATCTCCTGACTTCGTGATCCGCCCACCTCGGCCTCCCAGAGTGCTGGGATTACAGGCGTGAGCCACCGCGCCCGGCCGGAGTTTGCATCTTTAACAAGTTCCCAGGTGGCGATGATGATGCTGGTCTGAAACCCACACCCTGAAAACCACTTCTGTAAAGACTCCACCCTGATGCCTGCGGAGAGCCTCCACCCTGATGCCAGTGGGACAGGTGCCCAGCACACCCAGGCCAGCCTAGCAGCCAAGGGAGCGGAACTGGTGGCTGGGGAGCCCCCAGCCCTGAGAAGCAGAGGGGCTGGAGAGGAAATCTCTCCCACCTCTCCGCACCAGTGGGGAGACCCTGGACAGGGCCCGGGGGTAAGGGCTGACATCCGGTTCCCTGCGATGCAAACTGTGTGGTGGCTGCTGTATACAGACAAACGAAACAACCACAGCTCCGCAACACGAAATGCCAGCACACAGCCAAGGCAGAGCCGAGCCGCTCGTCCTCAAAGCCTGGGCCTCCCCCTTTCCTGCTGCTCAACAGGCTCTTGCAAGCTGAGCACGAAGACAAAATAAAAATCAGGCTTGAGGAAGGGCATCGCCAGGCCGTGTACCCTGAGAGGCTAAGTGGGGAAGAGCTGGTAACACGGCTGTAGAAATAGCAGTGTTCTTTGCCTCTTATTCAGTGTTACTACATAAGGCAAGGAAACTGGGCCCTTTTCTGCAAAGAAGAGTCAAGGAGAATGAAAATAGTGCTTGGGTGCTGTCTTCCTGTTTCCTAGCCGTTTCTTTTTCTGCAGAGCACAGAGAAAGGACAAATGACTAGGGATCTGCAACATTTGATCAAACCGATGGGGAGTGGGGTGGGTGAATGGGGCTGTGAGGGCTCTCCAGCACGGAGGCCTTTAGGCGGTGCTGACTGACCAAAAATGTCCAATTCCTTGAAAGCATTTAATCACTGGAATGCTCAAATTTAAATTTTAAGAGATCAGATTTAAATCCACTTAACAGCTGCATGCTCTTGGGAAAATGTAACCCCTCTAAGCCTTGCTTTCTTCCTAAAATGGCAGGAATGGGGAGCAGTAGAACGGTGCTCAGCCCACAGAATTGTCAGGAGGATGACGTAAGATGATGGGTTCAGTGCAGCGCCTGGACGTAGAAGGTGACGTTCTTTACCATAAATGTTAGCAGGTGCTAACAGAGATCTCTGCTTCCCCATGTGGGACCTCAGGTGAAAAGAGTCTTCAGATAGTAAAAGCGAGAAGACAGGGTAGAGAACCCCCTCTCCCAGGATCCAGTGTAAAAATCATCTGTCACAAGTTTCTATCTTAAAAGAAACCCTGCAGCCATAAAAAAGGAGGAGTTCATGTCCTTTGCAGGGACATGGATGAAGCTGGAAACCATCATTCTCAGCAAACTAACACAGGAACAGAAAACCAAACAGTGCATGTTCTCACTCACAAGTGGGAGTTGAACAATGAGAACACAAGGACACAGGGAAGGGAACATCACACACAGGGGCCTGTCAGGGGTTGGGGGCTAGGGGAGGGAGAGCATTAGGAGAAATACCTCATGTAGGGTTGATGGGTGCAGCAAACCACCGTGGCATGTATATACCTATGTAACAAACCTGCACGTTCTGCATGCGTATCCCAGAACTTAAAGTATATTTTAAAAAAAGAAAGAAAGAAAGAAAGAAAAAAAAAAGAAACCCTGGAGGGTGCCCCGTGGAATCTGTTAGATACAGTTGCAGTAATACCAGATGCCTGATAAAGTATCTGGCATTATTGCAGCTGTAAGTTTTATAAAGTTCAAAATGTAGCATTTTGGAGGGTTTCTTGCATAGTCGTGTTCAGTCTGATGGCAATGGAGCAGCTGTGTTCAAATAAACAGCTATTGACCAAGGATTAGTTGCTTGGTGTTTTGGGGGATTATTTGTAGCTAAAACACTAAACTTGTTTGCTCATGTTTCTGAAAGTATGTAACAGCTGGAGTCAGATCCCCATTCAAAACTGGAATAGAAAATGACAAGCACCTTCACCAGCACAAAGGAGGAGCTGTCATGCAAATGTTTGTCATGAAACTTTTTAGCTTTGTCCCGTTGTCTGGATCCTTCTTATTATAATCTCCTCTAAAGCAGTGGTCCCCAACCTTTTTGACACCAAGAACTGGTTTGTGGAAGACAGTTTTTCCACAGATGGTGGCAGGGGTGGTTTCAGGATGATTCCAGCACATTCCATTGATTGTGCACTTTATTTCTATTATTATTACATTGTAGTATATAATGAAATCATTATATGACTTATCATCATGTAGAATCAGTGGGAGCCCTGAGCTTCTGTTCCTGCATCTAGATGGTCCCATCTGGGAGCGATGGGAGTGACAGATCATCAGGCATTAGACTCTCTAAAGGAACGAGCAACTTAGATCCCTCTCACGCGCTGTTCACAATAGGGTTCAAGCTCCTAGGATAATCTAATGCTGCCACTCATCTGACAGGAGGCGGAGCTTAGGTAGTGAGGTGAGCAATGGGGAGCAGCTGTAAATACAGATAGATGAAGCTTCCCTTACCCACCTGCTGCTCACCTCTTGCTATGCAGCTCAGTTCCTAATAGGCCACAGACCACTACTGTCCATGGCCTGGGGGTCAGGGACCCCTGCTCTAAGGCACAGGAAGAGGTAGTAAAACAATGTGACAGTTCTACATGGGTGGTGAATACAAATAAACAAATGGTGTGTTAGAGTAATATATAGTGTGAATGCCTGTAAGGTCCTAGCCTGGCAGGGCACAGTGCTGTACTCTCAGCACTTTAGGAGGCTTTTGCGAGAGGACCACTTAGCCCAGGAGTTTGAGAGCAGCCTAGGTGACAAAGTGAGACCCCATGCCTACAAAAACTTATTTAAAAAATTAGCCAGGCAGCTGGTTGCAATGGCTCATGCCTATAATCCCAGCACTTTGGGAGGCTGAGGCGGGTGGATTGCCTGAGGTCAGGAGTTCAAAACCAGTCTGGCAAACACAGTGAAATCCCATCTCTAATAAAAATACAAAAAATTGGCCGGGCGCGGTGGCTCACGCTTGTAATCCCAGCACTTTGGGAGGCCGAGGCCGGCAGATCACAAGGTCAGGAGATGAAGACCATCCTGGCTAACACGGTGAAACCCCGTCTCTACTAAAAATACAAAAAATTAGCCAGGCGTGGCAGCAGGCGCCTGTAGTCCCAGCTACTAGGGAGGCTGAGGCAGGAGAATGGTGTGAACCCGGGAGGCAGAGCTTGCAGTGAGCCGAGATTGCGCCACTGCACTCCAGCCTGGGTGACAGAGTGAGACTCCCTCTCAAAAAACAAAAAAAAAATACAAAAAATTATCCAAGTGTGGTGGTGTGCGCCTGTAACCCCAGCTACTCAGGAGGCTGAGGCAGGAGAATCACTTGAACCCTGGAGGCAGAGGTTGCAGTGAGCTGAGATCGTGCCACTGCACTCTAGCCTGGGTGACAGAGCAAAACTCCGTCTCCAAAAGAAAAAAAAAAGCAGAAAGAAAATTAGCCAGGCATGGTGGCGCACACCTATAGTCCCAGCTATTTGGGAGGCTGAGGCAGGAGGATCACTTGAGCCTGGGATGTCGAGACTGCAGTGAGCCATGTTCATGCCACTGCACTCCAGCCTAGGTGACAGTGAGACCCTGCCTCAAAACAAACAAAACAAAACAAAAACACACTTGGCCTAAGAATTAGGCTGAATCCACGTTTTCAACTATAATACATTACATCTTTGTCAGTCATATAATCCAGAAAAGAACTGTTTGTGCCACAAAGAATAAAAAATTACTTCTCTTGGAAAATCTGAAATTTCGTATCCTCCAGGAAAGGTATCCTGTAATACTATTCCCTGTATGAAACAAACCTGATTGAAATCTTTTTTGACCGTATAGAGTTGTAAACTACTGGGTAAAGTTGACCTACTTTTTATCTAATTCTGTACCACCATTTCTTTAGAAAATGATCTGTACCAGACAAGAAATGTATTTCTGAACTAGTCTTGTTGTGCTCCAAGACATACTTAAAAATAAGGACAATCACTTGGTTTACAAAGAGGAGACAAAAATAGTTCACTAAAATAGAACAGAAACATCTTCTGGCTTCACTGCTTACTAATAACTCACATTTTCTTGCCAGGTCATCATTTTATAAACCAGAGAAGAAAATCGTTTCCATTAATGCTGAATATTGGTGCCACTGAAGTTATAATACCCTGTTGCTGATGCCACTGTAGAAGGCTATGTTGTTAACTTTTTAAAAAAGTGCATTTATTGCTTGTATTTTGCTGTATCCAAATAAAATTATTTGTGTGGTTGAACTCACACCACATATAAAATTCTGTCCTGTGTCTTAAACTTTTATTTTGAAATAATATTGGATTTATAGGAAGTTACAAAGACAGCTTAGAGAGACATGCACCCTTCACCTGGTTTTCTCCAATGGTTACATTGTATGTAAATATAGTACAACATCAAACCCAGGAAACTGACACTGGTACTGGGTGTGTGTATAGTTCTAACCCATCTTAACAGGCATATTTTCATGTAATCACCACTGCAATCAAGATACAGAACTCTTCTGTCAACACAGAGATGTCTTTCTTGCTACCTCTCTGAAGCCACACCTGCCTCTCTGCTCCCACCGTTCCCAAACCCTGGAAACTAGTCATCTCTTCTCCATCTGTGCTTCTATCATTTCAAGAATGTTATGTAAATGAAATCATATATTGTGTGAATTTTGTTTTGTTTTGTTTTGTGATGGAGTCTCGCTCTGTCACCTAGGCTGAGGTGCAGTGGCACGATCTCAGCTCACTGCAAGCTCCACCTCCCAGGTTCACGCCATTCTCCTGCCTCAGCCTCCTGAGCAGCTGGGACTACAGGTGCCTGCCACCATGCCCAGCTGATTTTTTTTGTATTTTTAGTAGAGACGGGGTTTCACCATGTTAGCCAGGATGGTCTCTATCTCCTGACCTCGTGATCCGCCCATCTCGGCCTCCCAAAGTACTGGGATTATAAGCGTGAGCCACCACGCCCGACCTTGTGTGAATTTTTGAGATTACTTTTTGTCAGTAGCACAATACCCTTGCATATAGTTGAATCATTTTTTTAATCCACTCTGTTAGCCTCTGTCTTTTAATTGGTGTATTTAGACCATTTACATTTAAAGTAATTATGGATATGTTAGGGCTTGGGGCTGCCATTTCATCTTTTAGTTTCACGTTTGTTCTATTTCTGTCTCTCTCTCCTGTTTTCCTGAACTCTTTCTAGAATCCATTATTTACCTATAATGTGTTGAGTATATCTCTTTGTATAGGTTTTTTAAGAGTTGCTCTAGGTATTACATTATATAAATAAATATATATACATATATGCATATAACTTAGCAGTCTACTGCTGTTGACATTCCACCAGTTTGAGTGGAGTGTAGAAATCTTAACTCTCATTAAATCCCTTGATTCCCTTTTTGATAATTATTTTAGCATTTCTTCCACACATATTTAGAACCATATCAGAATGCATTATAATTTTTGCTTTGTCAAATGTAATTTGAAAGACTCATTGTCTTTCAATGGAAAGCCTATTGTATTTGTCCATATTTTTGCTCTTCCTGTTCTTTCTTCCTTCCTGGTGTTCCAAGATTCCTTCTTTCATAATTTCCTTTCTGTTTTGAAATTTTCTTTAGCTGTTCTTTAGAGCAGGTCTGCTAACAATAAATTTTCTCCATTTTTCTTCTTCTGAAAATATCTTTGTTTTTCCTTCATCCCAAGGATAATTTTCCTAGATATAAAATTTCAGATTGACAGTTCTTTGCTTTCAGAACTCGGAAAATGTTATCCCACTTCCTGTTGACTCTCATGGTTCTCACAAGAAATCTATGGTCATTCAACTTGTTCCTCTGTAGGTAAGGTGTTGATTTTTTATCTCTGCATTCAAGATTTTATTTTTAGTTCTTAGTTTTCTGAAGTTTGATTATGATGAGTCTTGTTGTGTAATTCTGGGGTTTATACTGTTCAGGACTTTTACTCAGATTCTTGGATTTGTAGGTTTAAGTCTCGCTAAATTTTGGAACTTTTCCTCAATCATTTTCTTGAATACTTTTTAGCCCCACCCTCTCCCTCCTCTCCTCTAAGACTTTGACATGAACATTAGGTCTTTTGTTATAGTCCTACCTGTCCCTGAGGCTCTGTCCCTGATGCTCTGTTCATTTTATTTTTAGCTTTTTTTTTTTTTATTCTGTGGTTCAGATTGGGTAATTTCTAATGACAGAACATTAGAAATTTCAACATCAGTAGTCTCCTTCCTCTGTCATTCTGCTGCTGAGCTGATCCATGGAGTGGATGGAATTATTGTAATCTTAATTTCTAAAATGCTCATGTGTTTCCTCTTAGATTTACTATTTCTTTGCTCAGCCTTCTTTTTTATTTGTTTCAAGTTTGTTGTAATTGCTTGTTGAGACATTTTTATGGTGACTGTCTTAAAACCCTTGTCAAATAATCCCAATATCTCTGTCATCTTGTTGTTAGTGTCCGTTGATTGTATTTCTCACTCAAGTTGAGATTTTCTTAGCCTCCAATGACACTGTCGAGGGAGCCTCGTTAATGCCAGGTGAGGAGGAAAGTCCAGCTCCCCACTCAGTCTTCTCTGATGCCAGGATGAGGGTGCCAGGATAAGGGTGTAATGAAAGTCAGATCATGCCAGGTGTGGTGGCTCACGCCTGTAATCCCAGCACTTTGGGAGGCCGAGGCGAGCAGATCACGAGGCCAGGAGATCGAGATCATCCTGGCTAACACGGTGAAACCCCGTCTCTACTAAAAATACAAAAAAATTAGCCAGGTGAGGTGGCGGGCGCCTGTAGTCCCAGCTACTCGGGAGGCTGAGGCAGGAGAATGGCGTGAACCCCAGGGGGCAGAGCCTGCAGGGAGCCAAGATTGCGCCACTGCACTCCAGCCTGGGCGACAGCGAGACTCCACCACAAAGAAAAAAAAAAAAAAAAGGATTAACAAGACAAAAAAAAAATGAGAAAAATAATTCAGTCAACTGAGAAGAACAAAAACCTTTATCCAGAAAAAGCAAGATCCAAGAAGAGAAAAACATAAAAGCCTTTTAAATATACCTATTGCTTGTTTATACAGTTTTAATTAAGCTGACCTTTAACCATAGCGCTCTTCAACCTAAAAAAAAAATCCTTTTAAATTGTTTATTACCCAACTTTAGCCATGCCAAGTGGCCAATATTTTTGGCATTTGAATTCCACAGGTAACTTCCCACATGAAATTAATAAGTTTTAACTAAGGTTATAACTTAACCATGGACACACACGTGTCTCAAAGAGATGGTAAGCAGTTGCTTTTTTTTTTTTTTCTTTTAAGATTTAGAATCTCCCCTGGGTAGTTTAGAGAAAGGAAAATTCAAGACAGGAAATCAGCTATAGCAGGGGGGAAACCTCAATACATGGCAAAGTTACATAAATAAAAAACCAGAAGGGAATCATTCCAGAAGCCAAAAATAGACCCCAGGCCGCCATTGTCAAAAGGCAAAGCCCTAGCTACTGAGTTACAGCATTGAGCAGTTTCTATTGCTCTTCCCAGAAGGAGCCTAGAGAAGTCCATTTCAAGCTTGCAAAGGCTTTTAACTGCTCAAGAAAATGTTTAGGGCTAACTATGACATGAATCTCCAAATTCCTGTCTTCTAGAAACCAAGAGAAAGTATCCCCACATGGTCACAGGTTAAGCTCTTAAGGACACAAAAGAAGACAGAGAAATTTCATCCTGTATTGGTTTCAGGGACCCACAGCAAAGTTTGCTGACCAGCCTGCCAGGCTAGCTTGAAAAGTGGGCTTGAAAGTGGGTCTTAAACCCACATTCTATCCTGTGATACTCCTTTCTCCATTACAGAACACGGAAAGACAAATTCTTAACACTAGGTACACCAGATTTTCTACCACCTAAGACTAGTCTCACAAATCCTTTTTCTATTAATCAAACCCTTGCAGAGAGACAAATAGTGACATTTACTATTTACCCAGACAGAGAAAGAGAGAGACACCAGAAACCTGGCTGGTAAGAATTTCTTACCCTTTTTCGCTGGCGTACCAGGTTTCTAGGCTCCCTTTCTCTGCAGCTTCCAGAACAGAGCAGCCTCTGATGACCTTGCTCACTGCGCCATAGCCGTGAGGTTCAAGCCACTTTATGAAAGAAAATCACCATTTCCTGCTTTTTTTTTTTTTTGAGGTGGAGTCTCCCTGTGTCGCTCAGGCTGGAGTGCAGTGTCCCAATCTTGGCTCACTGCAAGCTCCGCCTCCTGGGTTCAAGCGAGTCTCCTGCCTCAGCCTCCTGAGTAGCTGGGACTACAGGTGCATGCCACCACACCTGGCTAATTTTTTGTACTTTTAGTAGATATGGGGTTTCAGTCTGTTAGCAAGGATGGTCTTGATCTCCTGACCTCGTGATCCACCTGCCTTGGCCTCCCAAAGTGCTGGAATTACAGGCGTAAGCCACCGCGCCCGGCCCACCTTTTCCTGCTTTATGGAACCATAGGCAAGATTCTTAATTTGCAGGATGCTGCCCAATAGGCTGCATGGGGGACCGAATTAACATTTTCCATCCCAGCAAAACACACATAACAAAACAAACATTAGTCACCTCCTTCAGCACCCAATATCAACCTGGCAAAGCTCAAACTTTTTCCTGTTGGTCTCTGTTGTCTGTGATTCCCTCCAGATGGGGAGGGACAACCTCCGAATGGTAATTCACAATGAGGTCTCTGGGCAAGGCAAAGAGCAGATAGTCACCCCGAGACAGATCTGTTGAGCCTTCTTTAGGGCTCATCAAATGTGACCAGACAAATAAGGAGGGTTCTCTGAGTTAGGCCTGCTGAACTTCCATCAGCAACCCCTTCTGAGATCCCTTCCACATATACAACCACACACAAAGACGAGAGGACAGAGGCCTTCCAAATCAGATCCCTAACCAAGAACTCCAAGAGTATCCCTTCCAAACTACCCTCTTATTCTCTGAGAAACCTCCTCGAAATCTTCCTGATTAAGGAGAAGTCTCCCAAACCAAGACTCTTCCTACTAGTTACAAAGCGCCAACCAAGAACCCCCAGGAGCCAAACAGACACCTCAAAGTGGGGCTACAGACACAGACACCCCATGGTGGAGCTACAAACAGACACCCCACAATGGGGCTACAGACACCCCACCATCGGGCTAGAGAACCAGTCAGGAGAAGGAAGGAGGCGTTGGCAGCGCCTAGGATACTCACCAATCCAGACAACCTACAATGGGGCTACAGACAGACACCCTGTGATAGGGCTACAGTTGAGGGATGTCTCCCCATGACATTTCTCTGTTGTAATTAAACCCATGCACATTGGGTTGGCAGTGTCCCCCGAGTGGAGAGAATACCATAGTCCTCCGCCAGTCCAAGAGAACCAGGCTGCCACTTGGGCTGGCTTCTGGATCCATCACTGAATGGGGGCCACTGAACCATGGGCGGGTAGCCACAAGGGCAATCCCAGATAAGCCCCCAAATTTGTAACCGCTCAAGGGTTTCACCTTGCCCACTGCCTAGACAGAGCCCTTTCATTACGACAGGAGAATTGCAATAGGGAAAGGGTAATTCACACAAAGCCGGCTCTGCGGGAGACTGGAGTTTTATTATTACTCAAATCAGTCTCCTCATTAGGTTTTTAAATACAACTTAAAAATCTGACTGTACTCTATGTAAATTTAGAAACTTGAGAACGATTTTCTGTTTACTCTAGTTGAACAGATTAAACTATCTTCAATAATAATTAATACTTATGTACTTAGTTATTTAAATTATATAAAGCATTTTGGCTGGGAATGGTGCCTCAAACCTGTAATCCAGCACTTTGGGAGGCTGAGGAGGGTGGATCACTTGAGGCCAGGAGTTCGAGACCAGCCTGGTCAACATGATGAAACCCCGACTCTACTAAAAACACAAAAACTAGCCAGGTGTAGTGGTATGAACCTGTAATTCCAACTACTCAGGAGGCTGAGGCAGGAGAATCACTTGAAGCTGGGAGGTGGAGGTGGCGAGAGCCGAGATCGCACCACTGCATTCCAGCCTGGGTAACAAAGCGAGCCTGTCTTTTTTTGAGACAGGCAGCCTGTCTCAAAAAAATATATATAAAGCATTTTGAACTACATTTACATTTAATAAATTATTTTTTCTTGTATAGTGATTCAAATTCCTGACAGGAACCAATTTATAATTCTACTCAGCAATAACACACCAAGCATGTAAACTATTGTTATAAATATAATAAATTAAACTTATAATATGTCAAGGTGTTTAAACATTCCAATACCTCTTAGAAATGATAAAATTTTAAGTAACAATCTGCTTAAAAATCAAAAGATTGGAGCATCATATTCTCTCAAACATTGAAATATTTTAACAGCATGCAGATGAATCTGAACTTATCACAGTAGTATTGACATTGGAGATCTGAATTATATTAATAATCCAGGTGAAAGACAATGATGGCCTGAATTCATGTTATATAGAACACCTGGTTAGATTTTTTTTTTCTTTTGAAACAGGGTCTCGCTTTGTCGCCCAGGCTGGAGGGCAGTGGCGTGATCTCAGCTCACTGCAACCTCCGCCTCCCTGGTTCAAGTGATTCTCTCGCCTTGGCCTCCTGAGTAGCTGGGATTACAGGTTTCCACCACCATGCCTGGCTAATTTTTATATTTTTAGTAGAGACGGGGTTTCACCATATTGGCGGGGCTGGTCTCAAACTTCTGACCTCAGGACTCTCACCTGACCTCAGGTGACTCTCAGTCCAAGGCCTGAGAACCAGGGAAGCTGATTAGGTGACTCTGTCCAAGGGTGAAAGCCTCAGAACCTGGGTGTTGTGGGGAAGCCACTGGTGTGTAAGTCCTGGAGCCCAAAGGCCGGAGCCTGGAGTTCTGATGTCGAGGAGAGGAGAAGAAGGGTGTATCTCGGCTCCAGCAGATAGACCAGCACATTCCCCTTTTCTCTGCTTTCCTTCTCTGCGGGTCTGCAGCTGACTGGGTGGTTGCTGCCCACATCATTGAGGGTGGACATTCCCCCGCAGGTCCACTCAGATCACGTGTAAATCTCTGGAGACACCATCACAGACACATCCAAAAATAATGCTTGGCCAGTTTTCTAGGTCTTCCTTAATCCAGTTAAGGGGTCAGCTGGCTGGTGTGCCAGAAGGTTGTTGGAACCCTCAACATGCATGGGTGTTCCCAGACTTGCAGGCAATCGGCCACCAATCTGTACACAAAAGCCCCATGAGACAGAGGACTGAATGGTCCCCATTTCTAGAAGGGCTCACTGGACCGAGATGAGAGGAAAATTCCTAGTTTAATGTTGAAAAATGTAAAATCTGAATATCCAAACTGAAGTTCTGTTTCTCATTTTTCTCAGGTTTGGAATCTTGAAGTTCAAAGCTGAGACTATCCCACAGCCGATGCATTTGTCCAGAAGTTCATGGAATCCAGAAGCTCTCAAGTCCGTCAGCAGTTTTCAGGGTGTTCTTGGGAGAAAGTCTTAAGAACTCCCTCCAAAAAAAAAAAAAGGCCGGGCATGGTGGCTCATGCCTGTAACCCCAGCACTTTGGGAGGCCAAGGTGGGTGGATCACGAGGTCAGGAGATCGAGACCATCCTGGCTAACACAGTGAAACCCCGTCTCTACTAAAAATGCAAAAAATTTAGCTGGGTGTGGTGGTGGGCGTCTGTAGTCCCAGCTACTCCGGAGGCTGAGGAAGGAGAATGCCGTGAACCCGGGAGGCAGAGCTTGCAATAAGCCGAGACTGCACCACTGCACCCCAGCCTGGGCGACAGAGCAAGACTCCATCTCAAAAAATCAAAAAACAAAACAAAACAAAACAAAACAAAAAAAACGGGTAAGGCAATTTCTTTTTTTCCTTTGAGACGAAGACTCGCTCTATCACCCCACCTGGAGTGCAGTGGCACAATCTCAGCTCACTGTAACCTCCACCTCCCGAGTTCAAGCGATTCTCCTGCCTGAGCCTCCTGAGTAGCTGGGACTACAGGCACGCCCAGCACGACTGGCTGATTTTTGTATTTTTAGTAGAGACGAATTTCACCATGTTGGTCAGGCTGGTCTCGAACTTCTGCCCTCAAGCAATGCACCTGCCTTGGCCTCCCAAAGTGCTGGGATTACAGATATGAGCCACCATGCCCACCTGGGTCAAGCAATTTTTAAAAGGAGGCAAGTGCTGAAAATACAAGCCAAAGATGCCATAGTGAGGATGGGAGAGAAAGAACCACCCTGGAATTCTTTTAAAGGAAGAGAAAGCACAATGTGGTGACATTTGAAAAAGAAAGTCAAAGGCAGACATAAAATAAGCAGATATCAGAAACAAATTAACGGAATGACTTCAAGAGTGACAACTTTAAAGCAGTTCTATTTTGAGAGGCAGCAAGAACGTGGCAAAGGAATCCACTGTCTCTTTTGCAGCTCGCCCTGCAAGGGTGACCAGCTGCACCCAGGACGGGATGTGCCACAGCTGACAGGCGACACTCTCCTTCCCATATGCAGCAACAAAAGCTTTGCTTCTTACCAGTTTTGCAGAATTGTTTTGAGGCAGCAGCAAACAGCAGCACAGGACAGAAAAGCCTTTTATCCGCCTTCATCCCGGAGATGAAATGAAGCATGGTCTGTGGAGGAATACGCTGCGTGGCCCTGTTACAACAAAAGCACAATTAACACTGAGATCTCGCACACGTGTATCTAGGACACGCCAAGGAGGGAGTGCAGGGTCGTCAGCCAGGACTGACGGCGGTGTCCTCTGCGCATGGGGTGCAGCCCACCCTCTATGAGGAAGAGGCCACCTCTCCGCGCAGTGTTGGGGAGTCGGCATGGAGGCGGTGTGGAAGCCCTGGGGGTCCTCATGTCCCCTGAACCTCTTGAGGCTCAGTTTCCTCACTGCAGATGGGAACCATGTTACCTCTCACCGGCGATTGGAGTGTCCAAGAAGAATGACTTGGTGATTCATGACCTAAGAAGGACACGTGCACAGGGCTGTGGGTGTACCTCTGAGAACCGCTATAGCTAAAGCTGTGTCGACTATCAATTTACTTATAGAAACCCCAGTGCCTGTGAGATCAGGGTTTTGTTAAAATCTGCACTCATTCCAGAGGTCCTGGCTGCATTTCATGGCAGACCTTGCTGAACATTTCCAGGAGGCAAATGCAGTTCTGGGGTCGATTTGGTGGGCGTGTTCCAAAACATAACATTTACTTATACTCAGACTTGAAAACCATCTTTGTGCAACCACCACCCGCTCTCCACCAAGAACTGACTTTTCACCGAGGCCTCCAGAGTATAATCAACCTTTCGGGTTTCTCATTCCATGGTGAAGTCGTGAGTTCTCCCACACAGATGTGAAAGGAAATACTTTCAAAATGTTAAGATATCCGCTGGAATAAGTGGATCATTCCCCACAAAGTAGAGGATGGGTTTCATTGACTCATGAATAGAATGGATCCCCCAAAGTGGAGGATGGGTTTCACTGGTCACTGATAGAATGGATTCCCCAAAGTGGAGGATGGGTTGCATTGATTCATTGATAGAATGGATCCCCCAAAGTAGAAGATGGGTTTCACTGGTCACTGATAGAATGGATCCCCCAAAGTGAAGGATGGGTTTCACTGATTCACTGATAGAATGGATCCCCCTAAGTGGAGGATGGGTGTCATTAATTCATTAATAGAATGGATCCCCCAAAGTGGAGGATGGGTGTCACTGACGCATTGATAGAATGGATCATTGCATTTCCACTGGGAGTCAGACACTGTTCCTGTGGGTGCTGTTCCCAAGGGTCAAGGGTGCTGGGCCTGGGCCTTTGACTAACTTGTTTGGATCCTGTGCCTTGCCTGAGCCTCCCTGACTGATACATCTGCACCCCTGGGTGCCTGGCTTCATTTGCAATAGATTCCTGCCTCTCCCAGTTTCTGGGAGTTCTGGGCACTTCTTGACACCCCTTGGCTTCTAGCTGCATCCTTCTGATCTCTGCCTCCATCTCTGCATGGCATTCAGGGTCCTCTCTGTGTCTGTGTTCTAATGTCCCCCTTCTTTTAAGGACATAAGTGGTCCATGGATTTAGGGCCCACACCCTAATCTACTATGACCTCATCTTAACTGGATCATATCTAAAGAGACTCTATCTCCAAAGAAGGTCACATGCAAAGGCTCCAGGTGGTGTGAATTTGGGGGGAGAGTGTTCAACCCAGGGCATATCTCGAGCAAGGAAAACAAGGGGACCCCCAGGCCCTGGGGGGGGCCTCCCAGTAGAGCCCCTGCTCAGGCAGCAAGCACAGTGATGCAGGGGCCTCAGGCTTCCTCTCCTTGACTGAGGCACAAGACAACTTTTGGGGCTAAATATCATGCAGATTCATTAAGGAAACATTTATCAAGTGCTTATTGTGTGCCTGTCATTGGCTAAGAGATGCTCACTGGGAGGTGGAGGTTCAGCATTGCAGGAAATACAGTCCTTGGCCTCAGTGGGTTTTCAACATTTCCCCTAAGTAAACTGCATTCGACTATTAATACCAAAAACAGCCACAAAGAGAAGCACTCTGACGGTTCTTCCAATTACTAACATTTGTTGTTTGGTCACGCGTGGCCACAAAAAAATGCCCTAAATTCATAATTTTTAAAAATTTATATCATTGAAAAGATAAAATGCATTCTTTGGAAATACTAGGCCTGTTGACAGAGCAGCTCTGTGAATGAGAGGCTGACGCCCAGTGGACGTCTAGCCGCTCCTTTCGTCTCAGAATATTGGAGTGAGGGAGTGAGGGAAACAATATTCCTAAATACAACACAAGGTTTTAAGATATCATAACCCCTTCTTTGCATTCAAAGGAAACAGAAAGACAAGGTTATGAACCTGAAGTTGTATTAGGAAAAAGTATACCTTCTGAAAATACCAATTAGAATCCCAGAGTCATGGCCCATTGTTCTGATAATGTCCCAAATTCTTACGAAGAGGCACAAAGTACGCACATGTCAAGAGAAACTCTGTTATTGAGCCCTGGAGTTCCATGTTAGATTGAATAACCTGAAGACAAGTTAGTGCTATTGTGTCTTTTGTTTGGACCTAAAGTCTTAAGCCTTGTTCATAGCCCTTCAGCGTTCAGTCACATTCATCTTCCTGTATATCTTCTCCTTCCTTCGTTCCTTCTTTCCTTCCTTCCTCCCTTCCTTTCTTCCTTCCTTCCTTTCCTCCCTCCCTTCCTTCCTTTTGTCCCTCCCTCCCTCCCTTCTTTCCTTCCTTCCTCCCTCCCTCCCTCCCTCCTGTACTCCCTCCCTCCCTCCTGTACTCCCTCCCTCCCTCCCTCCCTCCCTCCTGTACTCCCTCCCTCCCTCCCTCCCTCCCTCCCTCCCTCCTGTACTCCCTCCCTCCTGTACTCCCTCCCTCCCTCCTGTACTCCCTCCCTCCTGTACTCCCTCCCTCCCTCCTGTACTCCCTCCCTCCCTCCCTCCTGTACTCCCTCCCTCCCTCCTGTACTCCCTCCCTCCCTCCCTCCTGTACTCCCTCCCTCCTGTACTCCCTCCCTCCTGTACTCCCTCCCTCCCTCCTGTACTCCCTCCCTCCCTTTCTTCCTCCCATCTTTCCTCCCTCGCTGCTTTCCTTCCTCCCTCCCTCCCTTCTTCTCCAATCATACTTTTCCTCAATTTGCCTTTTTTTCACACTCACACTTAGACCTGCTTCAGCCTCCTGCATTCTTAACGCTGCTTAGCGCCCCAGACAGCTCAAGGCCAGAGACAGTCGCCCAGCCCAGTGCTTCTCACTTCCACCTGCCCACAAATGACCTGCACACCTTGTGGAAGTGCAGATCTCATCTCAGCACATCTGGGGTGGGCCTGAGAATCTGCATTTTTAACAAGCTCCTGCTGTGTGGCCCACACGGGAGCAAAGAGGGAGATTGCTTGGGCAGCCCCTGGCCCCTCGTGATGCTCAGGTTCTTTTCTTTTCCTGTCATCGTAGAGAAGGCACACATGAGTCTGGTGGGGTGAAGTCCTAGCATGCGAGAAGGTGTGAACAGGGAGACACAGCATCGCGAGGGTGGTGTTCCGACAGCGCAGTCCTGAACCAGGTTGAGGCGGGAGCCGGCTGGCTGGTTTGCTTCTCTCCAGGTTGAGAACCCAGCAGAGACCGACCGAGGGGATGCAGCGCACAGTCATGAGATGAGCCTTCACGTCTCCCGATGGGGACCCCAGAGGTGTTCTCTGGACACTCACACACGCACCAGGGAACAGGGGGCTCCACGTGCACACCTTGGCTGGCTGGGTGTTTTTTTTTTCCATTCCCGGGTCCCATCTGGATGGAGAACATCTCTCAGAGCAGAGTGGCACTTCCAGCAACCAATGAATACCCCAATTAACCTCATGCCAGATATCTGAAAGGGTCATTTGAGACATTAAAGAGACATTTTGTTCATTATGATCAAAAGCTTCTCTACTTGAAGGCAGACCACACACCACGATTCATGCTAAGGTCACTTAGAAAATAAAGAAGTGGTAGACCGAGGTGGGCAGATCACTTGAGGTCAGGAGTTTGAGACCAGCCTGACCAACATGGTGAAACCCTGTTTCTGCTTAAAATACAAAAATTAGCCAGGTGTGGGGGCTCCTGCCTGTAATCCCAGCTACCCAGGAAGCTGAGGCAGGAGAATCACTTGAACCCAGGAGATGGAGGTTGCAGTGAGCTGAGATGGCGCCACTGCACTCCAGCCTGGGGGACAGAGCGAGACTCCATCTCAGAAAAAAAAAGAAAAAGAAAAAAGAAAATAAAGAAGAAACATTGAAAAAGCCAAGTGACTGTTCCCAAAGAAGGTACAGTACAGCAGGACTGAGAGTGCCTCCTTGCCTGAGTCATCGCTGACTCACCACCCACATCTTCCTGACGCTTAAATTATGTTCTCGAAAGGCCAGCTCCTCGGAGGCATCGGATCCAAACTGCTGGCAGCATTTACAGCCTGTGACACTTGAAGTTGAAATGATAGAGCACTACTTAAGCATCGCAAATTCAGAATAATCTGTTTGGATGACAGACCCCTTTCCTTCCAATCCAATGGCAGTGTCTTTTAGATTTCTTTAATCAGAATATTTTCTTAAAATTAGTAATGAAGTGATTACAATATTATAATTAATACTATTTGCAAATGGTTATAAAATAAATGCAAATAGTTTCTGTTATCATTGCTCTTCTTCTTTCTCTTCCGATAGTGATAAATCTGGGACATTCTCTTTTTTTTGAGACACAGTCTCACTCTGTCACCCAGGCTGGAGTGCAGTGGCACGATCTCAGTTCACTGCAACCTCCACTTCCCGGGTTCAAGTTGTTCTCCCGCCTCAGCCTCCCTACTAGTAGCTGGAACTACAGGCGCGTGCCACCATGCCTGTCTAATTTTTGTATTTTTCTTAGAGACAGAATTTCACCTCGTTGGCCAGGCTGGTCTTGAACTCCTGACCTCAAGCCATCCACCCACCTTGGCTCCCAAAGTGCTGGGATTACAGGTGTGAGCCACTGTGCCCAGCCAATCTGGGCCATTCTTGACTGCTACAGAGAAAAAGCAAGATGAAAAGGAAGATGTCAGCGAATTGCTGTTTTTTGGCTGCTTAGAATGAGAAATTTACAAGGCTAGGATCCCAGGCTGAATTTTCTTATGGGCACTGTGATCCTGTGTCCCATATTTTTTGAGGCAGTCATAATTTCAAATGTTCTCTTTTGTTATTTTTATCAATACATTATAGTGTGTCAGACTGTGAATCTCCACTTTTATTGGACACTTTATCTAAGGATATGTGCCCCGAGCAAAGAGATGTGTCAGGTCTTTCATCAAGAAGCCTGGGGAGCAAGTACAAACAGATCAAAGCAAGTATGTCCTCACCACCTCCAGGCACACACCTGGATGGCGCATCCACAGTACCATCTTCCTATGGAAAAGAAGTTTGCAAAAACAAGTCTGGCAAATGGGATATCAAAGTGGTACGGTCTGGCCAACATGGTGAAATCCTGTCTCTACTAAAAATACACAAATTAGCTGTTTGTGGTGGCGTGCACCTGTAATCCCAGCTACTGGGGAGGCTGAGGCAGGAGAATCACTTGAACCCGGGAAGACAGATGTTGCAGTGAGCCGAGATCGCGCCACTGCACTCCAGCCTGGGTGAGGCAGCGAGACCCTGTGTGAAAAAAAAAAAAGTGGAAAAGTAAAGTAAAAAAAGTTATTTTCACTGGGTTGGAAAAATTTGATGTGGAAAGAGAAAGCTGTAAATTTCCAGCTAATTGGTGGAGTCTCTAATAGGAATGGCTGAAATGTTAATGACAGACTCCCAGTAATTCCCATGAATCAAAAAGAACTTTTTTTTTTTTTTTTGAGACAGTCTTGCTCTGTCGCCCAGGCTGGAGTGCAGTGGTGTGATCTCGGCTCACTGCAACCTCCGCTTCCTGGGTTCAAGTATTCTCTGCCTCAGGCTCCCGAGTAGCTGGGATTACAGGCACCCACCACCACGCCAGGCTAATTTTTGTATTTTTAGTAGAGATGGGGTTTCACCATCTTGGCCAGGCTGGTCTTGAACTCCTGACCTCGTGATCCACCTGCCTCGGTCTCCCAAAGTGCTGGGATTACAGGTGTGAGCCACCACGCCAGGCCAAATCAAAAAGAACTTTGAAGAAGCAAGTATGTGTCACAAAAGCTGTATGATATATGCACACGTCATTACATGGACACACTTGAACATGTATCTCCAATCAAGAAACTTTCAAAACGGGAAGTACAGGTTATTTTACCAACATACCAGAAACTGCGTATTTCAGCTCACATTCTTTTTTTCTTTTTTTTGAGATAGTCTCTCTGTGTCGCCCAGGCTGGAATGCAGTGGGGCAATCTTGGCTCACTGCAACCTCCGCCTCCTGGGTTCTCACCGTTCTCCTGCCTCAGCCTCCCGAGTAGCTGGGACCCCAGGCACCCGCAACAGCGCTTGGCTAGTTTTTTGTGTTTTTAGTAGAGACGGGGTTTCACCGTGTTAGCCAGTATGGTCTCGATCTCCTGACCTCGTGATCCACCTGCCTTGGCCTCCCAAAGTGCTAGGATTACAGGCGTGAGCCACTGTGCCCAGCCTCAGCGCACATTCTTGATGAAGGCAACATGCTGCATGTAACATTCAAATTACTTTTTGAAAATACTGTTATATCACAGCTAGGTACAATATTCGTAGGGAAATAGGGGCAGTTGAACAGTCCTGCTTTTGGTGGTGGTGGACATCACTGTGAGGCTGGAGGATGAGGAGCAGCAATGAGAACATGTATGCTGTAGTGAATGATAAGTGTATTCAGGGAGGGAAAGGAAGACGAGGCTTTTTAAGGAGAAAAAACATGAGGAGGATTATATAATTCTTTTAAAATAATTATCTTTGGCTCTAAAGATCAAAAATGAGTGACACCAGTCTGAAGTAAGACAGGCAGTTGCTGAGCAGATGTTCTTGCAGAAGTATTTTTTTGTGTAAGGCTGTGATGGCTTTTGTGCAAGGTTGTGGGTTTTGCAGTCTTTGTGATAGTTTTTGTTATCAGGAATACGAGCGTGAGAACCCTCTTTTCATGGCCTTCCTTGGCTGTATTTGTCAAGGGTTTTTTTGTTTGTTTGTTTGTTTGTTTGAGACAGGGTCTTACTCTGTCACCCAGGTTGGGGTGCAGCGGCGCTATCTCAGCTCACTGCGGCTTCTGCCTCCTGAGTTCAAGCGAATCTCCTGCCTCAGCCTCCCAAATAGCTGGAATTACAGGCATGTGCCAAATTTTGCACCAACCTAATAGTACTACAATAGCACAAGAATTTTTTTATTTAACCAGTGAATACTAAAGGATATTTTTAGATTATTAGCTTCTGTTAAGTTACAGCAGAAGCTATTAATTGTGAAGTTGTAATTACATCATTCTTCCGCCAAGTGAAAAAAGGTAGCATTAACGGGGGTAAAAGCCTCATTATGATATGGAGTCTTGTTCTGATGTCTTGGAAAAAGCTGTCTACAGTGTGAAAACACCAACTTCTCTTTCCGATTTGTAGCTTAAATGGCTCTGGTAATGACATTGGGCAGCTTATTAAACTTTTTGTGTGGCCCACACATAAGCATGACTTGTTTCTTAAAATTTATCTACTTTCAGTTTATAGGGCTTTAGAAACAGATCAGTTTTGCAGGTTTTTTTTTTTTTTTGGAGATGGAGTCTTGCTCTGTTGCTAGGCTGGAGTGCAGTGGTGCAATCTCAGCTCACTGCAACCTCCACCTCCCAGCTTCAAGTGATTCCCCTGCCTCAGCCTCCCAAGTAGCTGGGTTTACAGGCACGCACCACCACGCCCAGCTAATTTTTTGTATTTTAGTAGAGACGGGGTTTCACCATGTTGGCCAAGATGGTTTCGATCTCCTGTCCAATTTTTGTTTTTAGTTCAAGAATTATAGCTAAATACTGGAGGAAATTAGAAGAATTTAGTATCTAGTTTAGTCCATAAATAAATAACAAGAACTTGAAAGCAATGCAAAGGGCTATAATCTAATAAAAAGTATATTGCAATTTTTATTGGGAAACATAACTTTTTCTCTCTGCATTGATTACATGGGAATCTCTGATTTAAATACCCCTTGAAGCTCGGAAGCCAAACCAAGGCAGATTTTAGATTTTACCTACAGTCTTTTTTTTTTTTTTTTTTTTTTTTGAGACGGAGTCTCGCTCTGTCGCCCAGGCTGGAGTGCAGTGGCGGGATCTCGGCTCACTGCAAGCTCCACCTCCCGGGTTCATGCCATTCTCCTGCCTCAGCCTCCCAAGTAGCTGGGACTACAGGCGCCCGCCACTACGCCCGGCTAATTTTTTGTATTTTTAGTAGAGACGGGGTTTCACCGTTTTAGCCGGGATGGTCTCGATCTCCTGACCTCATGATCCGCCCGCCTCGGCCTCCCAAAGTGCTGGGATTACAGGCGTGAGCCACCGCACCCAGCCTACCTACAGTCTTAAGGTTCTTGGGCTTTCCAGAAAATGACAGTTTGTACTCACTCACTGTAAGCCTGGGAACTCTTGAAGCCAGGCATTTTATGCACATTCTTAAACGTGAAGTTTCAGTCGAAGCCTTGTTAATATAACAGTGTTCCCAGTTGTATCCCCCTTATTAAGAGAAAGCAGATCTTTATTGAACATATGTAAACAAAAATAAGAATACTCACAAATAGTTTTTGAATTCTGGAGGAATCAAATAGGGAGAAAAAGAAAATGCTTTCACTATTCGTTCACCAAAGTATACTTTACCAAATTGTTGTAAACTATAGATAGCTTATGAGAAAAGTTTCTTTAAATCTGGAAAACAAAATATTTAAATAAAGAATCAGGCCAGGTGCAGCGGCTCACACCTGTAATCCCAGTACTTTGGGAGGCTGAGGCAGGTGGATCACGAGGTCAAGAGTTCAAGACCAGCATGGCCAATGTAGTGAAACCCCATCTCTACTAAAAATACAAAAATTAGCCGGGCATGGTGGTGTGTGCCTGTAGTCCCAGCTACTTGGGAGGCTGATGCGGGAGAATCACTCGAACCCGGGAAACAGAGGTTGTGGTGAACTGAGATCACGCCACTGCACTCCAGCTTGGGCAGCAGAGCAAGACTCTGTCTCAAAAATAAGTAAATAAATAAATAAATAATCCATAATATTTCAAACAAAGGACATTATCTTGTTACAAAGACTTTATCTTGGTCAATTACTTAATGTCACATAATGAATTTTTTTGTTCTGATTGATCTTGATTAGCAGTTTTATGAATGCATCAGTTTCTATATTTGAGTTTTAAAATTTTTTACTTAGTTAATTTATCTTTTTTATTTTTATTTTTGAGACAGAGTCTTACTCTCTTATCCAGGTTGGAGCACAGTGGCACGATCTCAGCTCACTGCAACCTCCACCTCCCAGGTTCAAGGAATTCTTGTGCCTCTGCCTCTCGAGTAGCTGAGACCACAGGCATGTACCACAATGTCTAGTTAATTTTTGTAGTTTAGTAGAGACAGGGTTTCACCATGTTGGCCAGGCTAGTCTCGAACTGCTAGCATCAAGTGATCCTCCTGACTTTGGGATTACAAGCATGAGCCACTGTGTCTGGCCTTCATTTATCTTAAAGTTAGCAGAAATCTGTGTTTCAAAGTGCTTGTCTTTTGCATGAAGAGCAATTTTGGACTATAGCTGATCGCAAATGTTTTTAGAGAAGAATTTGAGACAACAATAGCTGTGGATGACAAAAACTTAGAATAGCCATGGTTAAAATCTGATTAAAATTCCCAATTGATAAGGAAATTTAGTTATTTCTAGTACATTCAGCATTTTTTTTTTTTTTGTAGAGATGAGGTCTCACTACATTGCCCAGGCTGGTGACTATGGCCTCATAGTATGTTTGAAATCAGGTAGTGTGATGCCTCCAGACTTGTTCTTTTTGCTTAGTCTTGCTTTGGCTATGTAGGCTCTTTTTCGGTTGCAGACTTGAAACCATAAAAATTGTAGAAGATAACACTGGAAAAACCCTTCTAGACGTTGGCTTAGGCAAAGATCTCATGACCAATAACCCAAAAGCAAATGCAACAAAAACAAAGATAAATAGGTGGGACTTAATTAAACTAAAGAGCTTTTGCATGGCAATAGGAACAGTCAGCAGAGTAAACGGACAACCCACAGAGTGGGAGGAAATTTTCACCACCTATACATCCAACAAAGGACCAATATCCAGAATCTACAAGGAACTCAAACAAATTAGCAAGAAAAAAAAAATCCCATGAAAAAGTGGACTAAGGACATGAGTAGACAGTTCTTAAAAGAAGATACACAAATGGACAATGAACATATGAAAAAAATGTTCAACATCCTTAATTATCAGGGAAATGCAAATTAAAACCACAGTGTGATATCACCTTACTCCCACAAGAATGGCCATAATAAAAAAATTAAAAAATAATAGATGTTGGGTAGATGCGGTGAACAGGGAACACTTCTACACTGCTGGTGGGAATGTAAACTAGTACAACCACTATGGAAACAGTGTGGAGATTCCTTAAAGCACTAAAAGTAGAACTACCATTCGATCCAGCAGTCCCACTACTGGGTATCTACCTAGAGGAAGGGAAGTCATTATACGAAAAAGATGCTTGCACACATGTATTTATAGCAGCACAATTCACAATTGCAAAAATGTGGAACCAGCCCAAATGCCCATCAATCAACAAGTGGATAAAGAAACTGTGATATATAAATATATCACAGTTGTTGTATACATATATATATATACACACACATATATATATGATGGAATGCTATTCAGCCATAAAAAGGTATGAATTAATGGCATTCGCAGCAACCTTGGTGAGATTGGAGACTATTATTTTAAGTGAAGCAATTCAGGAATGGAAAACCAAACATCATATGTTCTCACACATAAATGGGAGCTAAGCTATGAGTATGCAAAGGCTTAAAAATGATACAATGGACTCTGGGGACTTGGGGAAAGGCTGGGAAGGTGGTGATAGATAAAAGACTACACACTGGGTACAGTGTACACTGCTCGGGTGATGGGTGTACCAAAACGTCACAGATCACCTCTAAAGAACTTACTCATGTAACCACATACCACCTGTTCCCAAAAACCTATAGAACTAAAACTTTAAAAAACAAAACAAAGCAAAACAAAAAAAGGAGCATAGAAAAAAAAGGCTTCAAAACAATACAGGAAGTCATATGGACGTAAAAATCTTAACCCTTTTAAAGCTCAGTTTTCCAAAGTAATTACAAATCTAATAAAGACAACACAAAAATTATCTTGATAAAATGTAAAATCTTTGGTTTTTTTAGAGACCAGTTGCAAAAAAAGGTAAAGGAAAATCTCCTGCAGTGTGATTGTCTCTTCTGAAGGGAAGGCCATTTAAATAACCTGGAAAATTTGAATACTCTTTTCAAACCTGATGAAAGCTGTATTCAAATTTAATCAGACAGGTTTATGAGTGTACACTATATTATGGAGGAATATAAACAAGAAAACTAGTACCTTGAGAAGCAGAATACATGATTCTTAGTAACAGCATGGGAAGTTTCCTGGTTACATGAACAATTCAGACATATTGAGAAAAGCCAAGAGGGCAGGGTCATGTCATACTGCAGGAAAACATTGCTTTTCCAGACCTTCCACATAAACATATCGGTGTCAGGCCATAACAGCAGAGCTGGAACTAGAGGGGAAAAAATGTTATAGAGTTGACAAGCAGAGAGTTATCACCCCAGCCAAGCAAAAACACATTCCTTTTCAAGGAGAGAAAGAACAAAAGGCAATGAGGACTGACCTGCAGATCATGTGCAGTAAGCTACAGAAAGGTGAGCTTCTGAGATATAAATCTGAGAAGTTTGGGGAAAAAAATTTACCTCAAGAAATAAAATTGGTATTCTGAATAAAAAGGATGACAATTTTCATCCTGAAATAGAGAAATTAATTAGATCACAGGAAGAAATAAAAACTTTCAGTAGTTTAGAAGATGGCTGTTAGAAAAATGTCAAAATGAAAAATCAAAATGCCTGTGGTTTTAGTAAGAGCTAATCAGTACTTTAAGAAAACCTGTTGTTGAGGCCGGGCGCGGTGGCTCACGCTTGTAATCCCAGCACTTTGGGAGGCCGAGGCGGGCGGATCACGAGGTCAGGAGATCGAGACCATCCTGGCTAACACGGTGAAACCCCGTCTCTACTAAAAATACAAAAAAAAATTAGCCGGGCGTGATGGTGGGCGCCTGTAGTCCCAGCTACTCGGGAGGCTGAGGCAGGAGAATGGCGTGAACCCTGGAGGCGGAGCTTGCAGTGAGCCGAGATTGCGCCACTGCACTCCCGCCTGGGCCACAGAGCGAGACTCCGTCTCAAAAAAAAAAAAAAAAAAAAAAAGAAAAAGAAAACCTGTTGTTGTCACATAGGGGACCAAATTTTTTGGCTTTGTATTAGTGTCTTTTTTTTTTTTTTTGAGATGGAGTCTCGCTCTGTCACCCAGGCTGGAGTGCGGTGGCACGATCTCGGCTCACTGCAAGCTCCGCCTCCTGGGTTCACGCCATTCTCCTGCCTCAGCCTCCCGAGTAGCTGGAATTCAGGCCTATGCCACCAAGCCTGACTAATTTTTTGTATTTTTAGTAGAGACAGGGTTTCACCGTGTTAGCCAGGATGGTCTTGATCTCATGACCTCATGATCTGCCTGCCTTGGCCTCCCAAAGTGCTGGGATTACAGGCGTGAGCCACGGTGCCCGGCCGTATTAGTGTCTTTTTAATATCAAAGCTCAATCTTTAGAAAGACTTATAAGTTACAATCATAGCCAAGTAAATCACGTACAAAATTCCTTTAGTAAATTCTCTTTTTGTGAACTTTATCACAACTTAATGAGACTATTAATGACAGGCTTGGACTTTCTAAGTTTTCCTATTATTCTTCTTTTCAAAATAAGCAGTCATTTTACCGCAGGACAGAATTTACCACAGGAGATTCTTTCTCAAACAAAAGTATTTCTTTTCTTTTTAACCTTCCTTGTCAGAAATACATCTTCATATCTATAACTTTTCTCACATCTCCTTCTCCTACTTACTGGTTCCTTTTTGTTTTGTTTGATATTTTGAAACAACCTCTAAATAACCTCCAAATTCAACAAAATTATTTTTTCTTAATCAAGAACATATTTATGCCTTTCTCATTAAAACACACATCTTATTCTTTTGGCACATTTTATGTATAAACACATATAACTCTTAGTAACCCTAAATTTTAGTGAAAACTTAGAAGGAAGAAGTCTTGAATTGTCTGTCATATATCAGTATTTTATAGATGACAACCATTTTATGACGTTTAGAAACATGTTTCCCTATAACATTTTTATGTATATTAGTAAACCCAAGTATGTTTAATCTTTCTATAAAATTTAAGAAGCCAAGAACAAAATTATGTATATGTTCAGCAATTTGTTTTCATTGTTTTTAAATCTTATTTAGAAATAACCTAGACATTTAAAATTTACCAATTAATTTAACATAATATAACTTTAAGATTTCAAATGGCATATAAGATTAGTTTATAAACACTTATCCCATTTACATTTACTTAATTAATTTATTTTTGAACAGTTTACCTAGATTACTTATGAGAACTGGAATACAAGACAATGTTGGTCATGATTTCAAGTTATTTCCCTGATACTCATTTCTTATTTTTTTTTTTAAATTTTTTGAGATGGAGTTTCATACTGAAGCCCAGGCTGGAGTGCACTGTTGCCATTTTGGCTCACTGCAGCCTCCAACTCCTGGGTTCAAGCAGTTCTGCTGACTCAGCCTCCTGAGTAGCTGGGACTACAGGCACTCACCACCACACCTGGCTAATTTTTTGTATTTTTAATGGAGACAGGGTTTCACCATGTAACCAAGACCACCAGGCTGGTCTTGAACTCCTGACCTCAGGTGATGCGCCTGCCTCGGCCTCCCAAAGTGCTGGGATTACAGGTGTGAGTCACCACACCCAGCCCTGATATTCATTTCAATAGCCTGTGAATATCAGATGTTCACTTAGGTAAGAATCTTAAATACACAGGCATTTTGCCAATAATGCAGAAGATACAGAAGTTTTTATTAAACCAACAATATTAAATTAGTCTTATCAAAAAATTTACACAAAGATTATTTTGTTTTAGGCTGGTTTTATATTTTTATAACCTTTACATCAAATTCTGACACTTTAAAATATTTAGAATAGACAAATATAAGACTGTCTGACTAGTAAACCTGAGCAAAAATGTATGCTGACAAATCTGAAGACATTTCTATTTTTATTTTACCAATAATTTTAAAACCAGTTTGTCTGTTAAAGTTTTACTTAAGTCACATGAACTAAAAAGCATTTGTGCTAATTACTATATATTTTATATGAATGTTCATTTATCTTTAAGGCATTTCTGGCCAACTACCCAGATTTTACTATGTGGACATAGCATATAACATAATACATGTATATATGTGTAAAGAACATCTAAATGCATACACACAAATAAAGATCTTATATCTTTCACTTAATAATTTAGTCATGAAATAGTAATACAAACTCACCAGTTTATAAAAGAGTTGAATTCAAATAATATTTGTGACAAAATTGGAAGCTATTCATATAGCTAGACTTTAGTTGCTCTGATAGGTAATCTAATGAAAGCTGTACCCTTCTGGGTAAAGGAGTTTCCATGGCAGTTTGATTTTTAAAAACTTTTCACCCCTTTTTTTCTTTTAGTTTCAAATAAGTTAGGGGTTAAATGTTCAATGTTTGCATTTTAGCTAGGACTGGCTGAATTGTGTAAGAAAAACAAAATCTCCAAGTAGTGTTGAACTAGTAACAAATCTATCTTTTGTTTGCTGGCCTGGTTTGCTTGATTAGCAAATGTGTGTTGGGAAGACTTCCAGCAGTTTGTTTTTCTTTTTTTTTTTCTTTTATCCAGCCTTTCTTTTTGGACTCTGCATGACAGCAAAAGCAAAAACTGAGAAAATCAATGAAAGAAAGAAATCCTAGATGGCACCAGGATGTAAAATGGGAGGACTCTGAAGAAAGATGGTGTAATGTGTGAGGAGCAGCACTGTGGGGAGGAAGCCTTTCCCTGGTCATGAACTGCCTGGATCGCTACCTGTCCAGCATCTCCACCCAATGGCACAGTTGCAGCTCCTGGGTGCAGTCCACATCCTGCTGGCCTCCAAGCTGGGTGAGACCTTACTCCTGACCATCAAATAACCATGCATCTGCACCAACCACGCTGTCTCTCCTCGCCAGTTGTGGCTGTGATTGCTCTGATTTCCTGACCCTGATTCTGCACCAGCTCTCTCTGCCCTGTGACCAACAGATCTTGGTTGAAAAGCACTCCTTGACTTTTTTGTCCCTGTGTGCTAGAGCTTGCACTTTTGCTGTGTACCTGTCAGGCATGATTGCATCAGGCACCACTAAGGCCATGTGCAAGGCCGGGGTGACTGCTCCACACCAAGGATGAGCTCACAGAGCTGCTGGCAGGGGTCACATGGGTCACTGAAGTGGGCTGCCTGCAGGCCGCTGCACCCAGACTGGGAAACAAAAAGTATTTTATCATCCCAGGAGTGATGTATGGTCCTTTATTAAGACAGCCTTATCCAAACAGATCCCAAACAATATCAAAAAACCTCTACCAGCTGGGTGCAGTGGCTCACACCTGTAATCCCAGCACCTCGGGAGGCTGAGGCGGGCAGATTACCTGAGGTCAGGAGTTCGAGACCAGCCCAGCCAATATGGCGAGAACCATCTCTACTTAAAATACAAAAATTAGTCAGGCGTGGTGGCAGGTGCCTGTAATCCCAGCTACTTAGGAGGCTGAGGCAGAAGGATCTCTTGAATCCGGGAGGTGGAGGTTGCAGTGGGCCAAGATGGTGCCACTGCAATCCAGCCTGGGCGACAGAGAGAGGCTCCATTTAAAAAAAAAAAAAAAGCCTCTACCAAAGGAGGGGGAGACTCAGTCTAAGAGAAGACCCCCGCCACGGCAGAAACATGGAGCTGTGGACACAGAGAGCTCCAACAGCTCACATGAGAACAGCGCACCGGGTCCAAGAATCACCGATCTTTTTTCCAACAACGATTTTCTGCAGGTCCTGATATCATATATGTCAACCTGAACAACAAACAGAGAGAGTCTCTCTAAAATGAATGATACTTATTTGGGAACAGAGCATTGCAATGGGAATATGTGTGCCATCGTAAACGATGTGTGAATTCAGGGAGGTAAAGGAAGACAACGGTTTTCAAAAAGGAAAAATGAGGATTGCATAATTGTTTTGAAATAATTATGCTTGGCTCCTAAGACAATGCCAAGGGTGAGGCCAGTGCAAGTTTGGACAGGCAGTTGCTGGGCAGATGTCCTTGCAGAGCCGATTCTGTGTAAGGTTGCAAGGGCCTTTGTGCAAGGTTGTGGGTTTTGCAGTCTTTTGTGATAGTTTCTGTTCTCAGGCACATAAGCATGAGGACCCTCCTTTCCCCAACTCTGTTTATCAGGGTTTTCTTAACATTAGGGATTCCATTTTGATTCTGGCAACTTTCACATGCCCATCCCCCTTATCAAAAAGCAAAACACGTAAGTATTTCTGTACCACCTCCTCACATACCAGTGAGGTTGAAAGTGTGTCGTTTCTATTTTTCTTCCAGACTAATCTTTGTGTTAATTTTAACCTGATTCTCTGCATAGACAAATAATAATTATTAACATTTATGGTGTCTATGTACACAAAGATTGTTTTGGTTGACTCTCATCATGATCAATCAAATTGATCTTATTATTTCTACTTTCCAGGTGATGAAACTTGGAGGTTTATTGACTTTTTCATGAAGGAGAAAAGAGGCATGAAAGAACATAGCCAGCTTTTCTGACCCTGTACCATTACCATTCCAACAGACTGTCATTGTAGTACTGGGGGAGTGCAGCTGAGGAAGGACTCCGTCATCATCCCATTCCCATGAAAGGCCTTCAAACTCGTAACAACCAACTTTGGAAGCTTCAAAATTGGTAGTCATGTTCAGAGCCAGACCTCTCACAATTCTTTTAGGAATCCAATTCTTCTTCTTCTTTTTTTTTTTTTTTTGAGGTGGAGTCTTGCTTTATTGCCCAGGCTGTAGTGCAGTGGCGCAATCTCTGCTTGCTGCAAGCTCCACCTCCTGGGTTCATGCCATTCTCCTGCCTCAGCCTCCCTAGTAGCTGGGACTATAGGTGCCCGCCACCATGCCTGGCTAATGTTTTGTATTTTTTTTTTTTTTAGTAGAGACGGGGTTTCACTGTGTTAACCAGGATGGTCTTGATCTCCTGACCTCATGATCCGCCTGCCTCGGCCTCCCAAAGTGCTGGGATTACAGGCGTGAGCCACCACGCCCAGCCAGGAATCCAATTCTTAAAACCATTCTCCTTGCCTCGGTACCTGTTTATTTATTTTAGAGAGAGGGTCTTGCTCTGTTGCCCAGGCTGGAGTGCAGTGGCATCATCATAGCTCACTGCAGCCTCAACCTCCTGGGCTCAAGTGATCCACTTGCTTCAGCCTCCTGAGTAACTGGGACTACAAGTGCCCCGCCATGCCTGGCTAATTTAAGACAATTTTTTTTTTTTTGTAGAGATGGGGTCTCACTATGCTGCCCAGGCTGATCTTGAACTCTTGGTCTCAAGTGATCCTCCCGCCTTGGCCTCCCAAAGGACTGGGATTAAAGACAACAGCCACCATGCCCAGCCCTTTTTGCCAATAAATAATTTTTTTAAATAAGAAGAAAAGTCTTTTAAAGATGTCACACATTTACCATTTCTGATGTCCTTGGGGCACCTGTGGGTGGAGCCCTCCATAGGCACCATAGCCAAGGGCTTGTGCACGGTGATAGGTGCGTGTCACCTTCTGCAGGACCACACCTGTAGGGCCGTGCTCCAAGAGCAGTTATTCACAATTTAGAGTGTCACACGTATTACTTCTTCATTTGAAAATATTATGGACATAAAAACACTAGAAAAGTTTGCTAACCTAGTTTATTTCAAGATATCATGTATTTTGTTGTAAATGTTAAAAATTCTTTAAACGGACATGCATCTTCTTATTTGGAGAAGGGTTTCATGTGAAGCTTCACATGAAAACTAATCTGTAAAGACATGCAGAATACCACGTGCTAGAGTGTGCAGCTGAATGAGCTCAAGCTCAACATGGGAGATCAACGCCGGCCTCACCATCACGCCAAAGAACCTGCCTGAAAACTTCTTTTGCAGCCAATTAGTTATTACTCACACAATAGCCTTCAGAAACCAGATCTGTTCTCTTTAGTAGGTTTAAAGTTCAGCTTCCCAGGCCAGATCTGCGTGGTTTGCTTCCAGCTTTGTCTAATCACCTACTTCCCGTCTGGCGCCTTCAATTGTCCCTTCAGCTTGACTGATAATATCACTATGTCACAATATCAAGGACCGTGGTAACTTAAAAGAGCTGAACTTAATTTATAAACTTCTCATGATGATCCTGTGATGTAACAGACATGAGGGGTTGGACCAAAATTAACATTTAGAGAGGAGAGGATGTTCCAATAGAATCATAAGCAATTATGTAATCTTTTGAATAAATCAGGTATTTTTCTCCAGGTTGGTTGTTACATGACCATAAAGGACAGCATCAGAAATAATAAAATAATTATATTTTCCTTTTCTAATTAAAATGAGGATGGAAAAAATTTCAGAAGGTAACATTTGCTTGGCAGGAGGTTTGCAAGCAGCTAGTTCTATCTCCAGGGGGCTGTGTGGTAACCCAATGACATTGACTGGAAATGTCTCCTGTGAGCTGCAGATCCTGAAGGTGGTACCTTCTGAGCAATGTCCCTAGATATCTTGTTGTTGTTGTTGTTGTTGAGACGGAGTCTCGCTCTGTTGCCCAGACTGAAGTGCAGTGGCGCTATCACTGCACACTGCAACCTCCACTTCCCGGGTTCAAGCGATTCTCCTGTCTCAGCCTCCTGAATAGCTGGGATTACAGGCGCCCACCACCACGCTCAGCTAATTTTTGTATTTTTACTAGAGACAGGGTTTCACCATGTTGGCCAGGCTGGTCTCAAACTCCTGACCTCAAGTGATCCACCCTCTTCAGCCTCCCGAAGTGCTAGGATTATAGGTGTGAGCCACCTCGCCCAGCTGACATCTTTTTAAAAATGCAGTTGTGCTCGGAAGGGCAAATGAGAAATAACATCACCATCAACATGACGGATATTTTGGCATGACTTCATTAACAAATGGATTTCTGACCTGTCAGTTTCCTAGGAACCGGGCTGGGAGGTTGGACTCCTAAGTTTGTCAGGTATCAAACACTTGGGATTAATACTAAAAAGAAATAAGCCGTCAAGTCATGAAAATACACGGAGGAAGCTTCAACATATATTCCTAAGGAAAGAATCCCGGAAAGCCTGCATCCTGCGGGGTCCAGCTGTATGACACTCTGGAAAGGTGATGCCATGGGGACAGCAAGATCAGTGGTCACCAGGGGTGGGAGAGAGGGAGGAACATATAAGAGGGACACTGAAGCTGTTTAGGGCAGTGAAAATACTCCGTGTGTTACTGTAATGGTGGGTATATTTCATTATACATTTGTCCAAACTTACACCTGTACAACTTATACAACACCAAGAGTAGGCCCTGATGTAAACTATGCACTGTGGGTGACAGTGGTGCGTCAACGTAGGTTCATCAGCTGTAACAAATGCACCCTCTGGTGGGGGGACATTGATCATGGGGGAGAGCACTGCACATGTGGGGACAGGGGTTCTAGGCGAACTCTGTATTTTCTGCTCAATTTTGCTGTGAACCTGAAACTGCTCTTAAAAACATTTATTTAAAAATGGCAATACGTGGTAGCATCTTATATTATGAGATTAAAGCATTTGATAATCCTTCTGCAGCAAAGTAAATTGATCATATGCAATTCCAATACCGTGCTTAAACATGATGATGCGTTGAATTTATGGTTCATTTCCGAATCTAAGAAATTTATTGACAAATCCGGTTGCTACTGCCGCAGCAGAATAAAGTATTTCCAAATTGAAATTAACAATAAAAGCCATCTAAGGGCTATAATGACTCAAAACAGATGATCTAATTTGGCATTTCTGGCAATAGAGCACACTTATAATCCAAACAGCACAATTAGCAATTTTGCTGAGATGAAGACAAGAAAAAATAAATTTACAATAACTTATTTAAATGAAATTTAAAAAATTCCAGGAACTCCAGTTCCAAGGGAAGGGGAGATGGAACTAGGGCCTTCCAACAGCCAGGAAGGACTCCTTAGGGGCCTGAGGTGGGAAGGACCTTTGCTCCTGCAGCACGGGCAGGCTGCCCCTGGAATCACACGGGTCGAGACCCAGGGACCCAGCAGTGTCCAGCTCTCCTCCTTGCCTCGTAGGTGAGGAAGGGGCACCCAGGAGGGAGGGTGACGACGCAGCTGTGGCACGGCTCACTCGCTGCCTCTGTGTCTTGCTCACATGCTTGCTTGCAGTATTGATTTTTTTTCTGATTAAAATTAGATGCTTCTCATTTCAGAACTCTAGGAACTATAGAAAAGCCTAAAGAGTAAATAAAAACAACAAGAAAGATGGTTACAGACATGAGCATAGTAAAGTGACATTTTCAGAGCTGCGAGATGGGGCCTGGAGGGTCCGGCTCCTGTTTTGTCTTCAGATGACCCTTGTGTCTCCAGAGACGTCAGCTGACCTCGCTCTCTAACCGCCTTCTCCTCCCACTCTGCGACTGGCTGGCCAGGGCACCTCCTCCTGTCGTTTGTACATGTTCACGGGGTTTTTTGCTGTCCTCCTTCCTGCAAGTGCTATGTCACGTGTCTCTGTTCTGGGGCACGAGAATCCAGCCTACC
The DNA here is from genome assembly GCF_000001405.40 of Homo sapiens. Classification (NCBI taxonomy): domain Eukaryota; kingdom Metazoa; phylum Chordata; class Mammalia; order Primates; family Hominidae; genus Homo; species Homo sapiens. Next base: position 76,757,137 of record NC_000018.10, read on the forward strand.
CGCTTAGGGGGCCCCGCGGTGCACTGCTAAGTGTACTCATCATCCGCGTGGCCAAACACTCTGACAAAAGCTTCCTGCATTTCAAAAGGCAACCTGTCCATTTTCCATTTTAAGATAGATACTTTTGGAAGAGTACAGACACAACAAAAACAGTAACATTATTCTATTTTTACAAGATATGTAATAAAAATGACTACATTTTCAAGAGAGTCCTATAAAATAATGTGTGCCAAATCCTCATAAACGTTCCATTTTAACAGTGGGCTGGCCGAGACTTTTAGAAAGAATTTATCTGGAAAATGCCAAGCCAGCTTATAAATATTTTCCAGTAGCATCACTGCCAAAAGCGTGATGTGTTTATTGCAACTGTTGCACGTTGTGCGGACTAGGCCGTTTCACACGGTGAGCGATGGCGAGCTGGGTCTCTCGCTGTATTTTCCAGTCTGTTTTCTCGCTTTGTACTTCTCAAAACGAAGCTGTCACTTTCCGTAAGAGGCCAGTTCTGCCTTGACTCTGAGAAGCTCTGCTGTAAATACTTCTGAAGTGCTCGTGTGGTCTTGCTTTTCCTTTCTTCTTTTTTTTCTTTTTGCGCTTGAAATTGATTTTAGGTGTTCCTATCAAAAGGAATTCTTTCAATCTTCCTGCATCTTATATAGTAATAATCGTTGCACTCACCTCAAAGAGGGCCTTACTGCCCGACAACTGGTCAACCTCATTAAATGACCCATAACACAAACCCTCCAGGAGCCACCGGGGGCACCTGCCGTGGTGGCTGAAGGGTCACGAGTGCCTTCAATGTCTTTGTCGAAGGCTGTGGCATGGGCTGGATGTGTCCTTGCTTCCTGACGGGCCGTGTCTTCACCTTTTCCTCTCTGAGGCTGTGGCTGCCTGGGCCGCTGTCCGTGCTGGAAGTCTCCCGTGGAGGAGGAGGCCTGGGGGTGCCGTGTGTGGCCTCTGCGTGGGCAGGACGGGGGCACCGCACAGTGCAGCACTGTCTTTCCAGGTCCTCTCTGGGACGTGACTGTCAGCATGTGCAGAAGACCAGCCAGGTCCCCCTGCTCCTCTCGGTCAGGGAGCCAGGCCATCCCACCCGCACCCCTACCGTCACACTGTCCTGTGAGGCCAACAGCACTGCTGGCCACAGCTCTGGCTCACCATGTCCCTGGCTACCGTGTTTGTTGGGTTTTTTAATGATTGTGGTAAAATATAAAGACATAGAATCAAGCATGTTAACCATTTCTAAGTGCACAGGTCCGTGCCACTAAGCACGTCTGCACTGATGAGCAGCCAACACCACCCTCTGTCTCCAGAACTTTCTCCTTGCCCCCGACGGAAACTCTGGGGTACCTTGTTTTATGAATTATCTCTTTTGTTCCACTTTGTCTCCCTAAGCAGCTTGTGCATCTCTTGAGAACAGGTCCTATCACACGGCCCGAACCGTACCTAGCAGGAGCGCAGTGGGCCCTTGATACCTGCGGCCTGTGTCTCAGGGCCTCTGCCTGGCTCCTGCTCAGAAAACTGCCTCCTCCCTCCCTGAGCCCCTGTTCATTACATTAACCAGAACGCGCCGTCTGTCGCTAAGTGGACCAGGGCTGAGTCCTGACCCAAGAAGGGCCAACTGAAGTCACTCTTCAAGGCCTTGGACTTGGAACAGAAGTCAAATCAGTCCTGGAAGTGACTGGAAATGCAACATTTGAACTGAAAAGCCATGGAGTCCCCCAAAAAGCAGACATGGGAATAGGCAATGAGAGAGAGAAAGGAAGTGGGTGGGAGAAGGAGGCTTCACGTCCTGCTTTTCTTCCTTTTCCAAGGCCTGACTCACGTTCTCTTAGCCCATGGAATAACCCAGCGCCTCATATGAAATGCCTCTTTTAACTAATGCAGTTTTATTAAGACCGACCTGCAGGTGGTGGGACTAGCCCAGCAGTGTGACGCTTGCGGCAAAACTCACGACTCGAGCTTCCAATGGCAGGAGTGAAGCACAGGAAACTGGGCTGAAGCTCCTGAACGTTGTTCCTGCCCGGGAGGACGCCTGCAGCCGCGCTCTGCTCCCACAGCAGCTCCGCATGGGCTCTGTGACCACCGTCCTCTCCCCGGCACGGGTAAGGGGCAGCCTGCAGAATCGCCTGGGTAGCACCAAGCGCCACGCAACCCGCAGGGCGCTCGCAGATGGAGGCCACGCGGCCTGCAGAGAAGCCCCTCTGGCTCGGTTGTTGATTGAACCGTGAACTTTCTGCTTCCATCTCCTGCAGGAGGCTGAGCCTTCCACTTGCAACACACATCTCCACATCTCAGCAATTCGCCATTCAGGTTTCTCTCGCTGGCGTCAGTGTCCAGTGTGTGTCTGCAGCTGCTGCCCAAGCAGGGACTTGGGGCCCCGGGCTCCGTTCTCCTCATGTGGCCCTCAGGGTGGCTGATGGGAGAGGAGACAAGCACGGATGCACAGGCCAGACTTTTTTTTTTTTCTTTTTGTCTTTGTACAAGATTTTATTAAAGGTCTTTACAGAGCAACACCCAGACTCCAGAATACAGTTGCCAAGGAGACCCTGTTAGCTGTGGGGCCTGGCCGGGGCGTGGCAGGAGGCTCTGGCTTCCCATCTTCTCTTCTGAGATGGGGGTGGTGGGCAGTATCTCATCTTTGGGTTCCACGATGCTCACGTGGTCAGGCAGGGGCTTCTTAGGGCCAGTCTTGCCAGCTGGGCCCCAGGGAAGCATGATCTTCACCTTGATGGCACCGGCCAGACTTTTATGTGCAGAGCTGGGGATGGCAAATGTGACTTCCCTCACACACATTTGCCCCCTGCCTATCTGCCAGGGGTCAGTTTGGCTGTTTACCCAGGAGGAAAACAAAATGGGTTTGGGGAGCAGGTAGCACTGCCCATCACGCGCGTGAGGAAGGTCATTCTGAGCATTTTTCCCCCTAGAAGTAATACACAGACTATTTTTATTTTTATTATTTTTTATTATTATACTTTAAGTTCTAGGGTACATGTGCACGACATGCAGGTGTGTTACGTATGTATACATGTGCCATGTTGGTGTGCTGCACCCATTAACTTGTCACTTACATTAGGTATTTCTCTTAATGCTATCCCTCCCCCTCCCCCACCCCATGTCAGGCCCCACTTTTGATGTTCCCCACCCTGTGTCCATGTGTTCTCATTGTTCAGTTCCCACCTATGAGTGAGAACATGCAGTGTTCTCACTGCATGAGAAATGTGCCACATTTTCTTTCTTTCTTTTTTTGTTTTGAGATAGAGTTTCGCTCTGTCCCCCAGGCTGGATTGTGGTGGAGCGATCTCCGCTCACTGCAAGTTCCACCTCCCGGGTTCACGCCATTTTCCTGCCTCAGCCTCCCGAGTAGCTGGGACTACAGGTGCCCAATACCACGCCCGGCTAATTTTTCGTATTTTTTTAGTAGAGATGAGGTTTCACCGTGTTAGCCAGGATGGTCTCGATCTCCTGACCTCGTGATCCGCCCGCCTTGGCCTCCCAAAGTGCTGGGATTACAGGTGTGAGCCACCGCACCCAGCCATGTGCCACATTTTCTTAATCCAGTCTATCATTGATGGACATTTGGGTGGGTTCCAAGTCTTTGCCTTTTTTTTTTTTTTTTTTTTGAGATGGAGTCTTGCTATGTCACCCAGGCTGGAGTGCAGTGGCGTGATCTTGGCTCACTGCGAGCTCCACCTCCTGGGTTCACGCCATTCTGCTGCCTCAGCCTCCCCAGCAGCTGAGACTACAGGTGCATGCCGCCACACCCGGCTAATTTTTTTGTATTTTTAGTAGAGATGGGGTTTCACCATGTTAGCTAGGATGGTCTCGATCTCCTGACCTTGTGGTCCGCCCTCCTCGGCCTCCCAAAGTGCTGGGGTTACAGGTGTGAGCCACTGCGCCTGGCCAAGTCTTTGCTATTGTGAATAGTGCCGCAATAAACATATGTGTGCATGTGTCCTTATAGCAGCATGATTTATAATCCAGTAATGGGATGGCTGGGTCAAATGGTATTTCTAGTTCTAGATCCCTGAGGAATCGCCACACTGACTTCCACAATGGTTGAACTAGTTTACAGTCCCACCAACAGTGTAAAGTGTTCCTATTTCTCCACATCCTCTCCAGCACCTGTTGTTTCCTGACTTTTTAATGATCGCCATTCTAACTGGTGTGAGATGGTATCTCATTGTGGTTTTGATTTGCATTTCTCTGATGGCCAGTGATGATGAGCATTTTTCCATGTGTCTGTTGGCTGCATAAGTGTCTTCTTTTGAGAAGTGACACAGACGTATTTTTAAATTCACTTACTTTAGGGTTAGATAGGAAAACAGCTGTCTCCTTCCTAAGTCTCACTTTCCAGGGGCAAGGAGCCATTTCTTCTAGTATTTATCCCATGATTTCTAAATGCAAGACAAAGATGCAGCTCTCGTAACACCGTCACTTTCTGTGTACTTTTCTGTCCTTTTTCCCACCACTTTGAGTGTGTTTATTCCTCTACTTTGTGGGTGTTTATTCCTGTGCTTTGAGGGTGTTTCTTCCTCTGCTTTGAGGGTGTTTCTTCCTGTGCTTTGAGTGTGTTTCTTCCTGTGGTTTGAGTGTGTTTATTCCTATACTTTGAGTGTGTTTATTCCTTTGCTTTGAGTGTGTTTATTCCTATACTTTGAGTGTGTTTATTCCTGTACTTTGAGTGTGTTTATTCGTGTGCTTTGAGTGTGTTTATTCCTGTGGTTTGAGTGTGTTTCTTCCTATACTTTGAGTGTGTTTATTCCTGTGCTTTGAGTGTGTTTATTCCTGTGCTTTGAGGGTGTTTCTTCCTGTGCTTTGAGTGTGCTTATTCCTGTGCTTTGAGTGTGTTTCTTCCTGTGCTTTGAGTGTGTTTATTCCTGTGCTTGGAGGGTGTTTCTTCCTGTGCTTTGAGTGTGTTTATTCCTATGCTTTTAGGGTGTTTATTCCAATGGTTTGAGTGTGTTTATTCCTGTGCTTTGAGTGTGTTTATTCCTGTGGTTTGAGTGTGTTTTTTCCTATACTTTGAGTGTGTTTCTTCCTATACTTTGAGTGTGTTTATTCCTGTGCTTTGAGTGTGTTTCTTCCTGTGCTTTGAGTGTGTTTCTTCCTGTGCTTTGAGTGTGTTTATTCCTATGCTTTTAGGGTGTTTATTCCAATGGTTTGAGTGTGTTTCTTCCTGTGCTTTGAGTGTGTTTATTCCTGTGCTTTCAGGGTGTTTATTCCTGTACTTTGAGTTTGTTTATTCCTATGCTTTGAGGATGTTTATTCCTATGCTTTGAGGGTGTTTGTTCCTGTGCTTTGAGTGTGTTTATTCCTGTGTTTTGAAGGTGTTGATTCCTATTCTTTGTGGATGTTTATTCCTTTGTTTTGAGGGTGTTTATTCCTATGCTTTGTGGATGTTCATTCCTGTGTTTTGAGGGTGTTTCTTCCTATGCTTTGAGGGTGTTTCTTCCTATGCTTTGCCAGAGGGGTTTCCAGGAGACCTGCAGCCTCCACGAGGCTGGCAAGCTTGAATAGAGCCCTTTTCTACTCTTAGGTTGAATCAACACTTCACTTGAAAATAAAGTTCCAGGTTGAAATCATGTCTTTTCAGAATTTGGAAGACATTGTTTCGTCGTTCTCTAGCATCTAATTTGTTTCTGTAAAGTCCAACGTCATTCTGACTGCTGACCTTGTTAAAGTAACCTGTGTTTTTCCTCTTTCTCTTTCTTTCTGGGAAACCCTAGGACCCTACGTTTACCATCACCATTCTTAAATGACACAGCAGCGTACCCTATGTCTGTCTATTCAACAGGTAGAGACTTGGTGGGTTCTAGTTTTTGTTGTTGTTGTTTTTGAGACAGGGTCTCGCTCTGTTGCTCAGGCTGGAGTGCAGTGGGACAATCATGGCTCACTGCAGCCTAGACTTACCAGACTCAAGGAATCCCCCTGCCTCAGCCTCCCTAGTAGCTGGGTCTACAGGTGCGTGCTACCACGCCTTGCTAATTTTTTTTTCTTTTTTTTTTTTTTTTTACTATTTTTAGTAGAGGTTGGATCTCACTGTGTTGCACAGACTGTTCTCAAACTCCTGGGCTCAAGCGATCCCCCCACCTTAGCCTCCCAAAGTGCTGGAATTACAGCATGAGCCACCATACCCGGCCCTTGGTAGCTTCTTTTAATATTTTATGTCCTTTTATTTAGGGACTTTTCTGTAATTATTTATTTGGTGATTTTGTCCTCTCTATATATTTTTTTCTTTCTGGAAATTTTATTTATCAGCAGTTGAACACCCTGAATCAATCCTTTTTTCTTTTTTCTTTTGACAGGATCTCACTCTGTCCTTTTATTTGAGGGGCTTTTCTGGAATTATTTCTTTGATGATTTTTACTCTGTTTTTTTTTTCTTTCTGGAAATTTTATTTATCAGCAATTGGACACCCTGAATTGATCCTCTATTTTTTTTTTTTGAGACGGGGTCTCACTCTGTCACCCAGGCTGGAGTGCAGTCGCATGATCTCATCTCACTGCAACATCCTGCCTCTGCTTCCCGAGCAGCTGGGATTGCAGGAGTGCACCACCACGCCCAGCTAATTTTTGTATTTTTAGTAGAGACAGGGTTTCACCATGTTGTCCAGGCTGGTCTCGAACTCCTGACCTCAAGTGATCCTCCTGCCTCCTCCTTCCAAAGTGCTGGGATTACAAGTGGGAGCCACTGTGCCCGGTCTGGTCCTCTAATTTGGTCTTCTACTTTTATATCTGTTTTCTTGTTTTGCTTTTTGAGAGATTTCTTCAACCATACCTCCCAATATTTCTATTGAATTATTTTGTTTCTGTTTTCATATTTTAATTTCCAATAACTTTTTTATTCTTTAATATTCCCTTTATACAGTATCTTTTTCCTGTTTCATGGGTAAAATAGATTCTCCTGTCTTTACCAGGACATAAATTGTAGAATTTTTTCGAAGTACTCTTTTTCTCCTTATGCTTTTTTTTTTCTGAGTTCCTCATCTCTGTCTTGCTGAAATGTTTTTTCAGATATCTAGTAATATTTAATTGTCCGTGTTTAAGAAGAGTAAGTCGTGATTGGAAGAGGGAGAGTTAAAGCTGATGGAGGTTCTCTGGTGGACCCGTGGCTTGCATTCCAGGGTAGGAGTCAGAAAACGTTTTCTATAAAGAACCAATAGTAAATGTTTCAAGCTTTGTGGGCCACCTGCTCTGTTGCCAACTCCACCTCCACCCAGCCCTCGTAGTGTGTTATAATGCGAAAGGGGCTATAGGCAATACAAAAGGGGATGAGTGTGGCCCTGTTCCAACAGAACCTTGCAATAACAGGCGGCGGGCCTGGCAGGGCCCATCAGCCGGACTCGCCAGCCCCTGGCATTGTGCCCGGCCTCCTCTCTCAGCTGTGCCTGGAGACTTTGAGGCCAGAGCCTCCCTGAGACAGGGTCCCCAGAGAATAACTCCCCTCTGTCCCTGTTTGGGTCAGTTGTTGCCGGTACACACAAACTGTGGGAGGGGAACTGGGAGCTCTGCTGACCAACTTGGTTTCAGGGTATCCTTGAACCTACTCTCAGAGGCTACGCTGCCTTCAATTCTGAGGGTTTCACACCTCAGCCACGTCCTGTTATTTCCCACTAGGCAACAGGAAGAAAGCTTCAGCTTTCTCCAACTACAAAGTCAAGTACTCCTCTGCCATTTACTCCCCATTTCCCAAAATCACAGATATTGTATTTTTCTTTGGTTTTTTTGTTTGTTTGTTTTTGTTGTGTGTGTGTGTGTTTTTTTTTTTTTTTTTTTTTTTTTTTGACAGAGTCTTGCTGTGTCGCCAGGCTGGAGTGCAGTGGCACGCTCTCAGCTCACTGCAACCTCCAACTCCCTGGTTCAAGCGATTCTCCTGCCTCAGCCTCCCGAGTACCTGGGATTACAGGTACGCACCATCATGCCCAGCTAACTTTTGTATTTTTAGTAGAGACATGGTTGTGCCATGTTGGCCAGGCTGGTCCTGAACTCCTGACCTCAGGTTATCTGCCTGCCTCAGGCTCCCAAAGTGCTGAGATTACAGGCATGAGCCACCACACCTGGCCTCATTTTCTTTGTTCTTATGGGCTTATAACATTTTTTCCCCTTATGGTCATTTTGGTAAGGTTTCAGGAGGATGCTGAAGTAACACGTGTCTGCGATCTACCATGTTTAACCAAAACTCTGATTTGGGAACCTGTGATGTTTTAAAAAACGGATGAGAGTCACAGGGAATGAAATGAGAAGGAAAATTTTTAAGAGAAAAGAAAATGGGAAAGAAAGACAGAATGGAAGGCAGGAAGTAAAATAACATTTAGATTTTAAGTTTTTCCGCTAAACACAGAGCCATGAAATGTTAAAACCTCTTTTACTTTACCCTTCATTCTCTCAACATAAAAAGCCAGTAAGAAATAAAGTAATAAATAGCATTGAGAGGTACATTTTGCCTTAGAGACTGGAGCTGAAATATAGAGAGGTTACTCTAATTCACTTTCTCTGTGTTTGCACTCAGAGGAAGCAAAAAAAAAATTGTACTAAATATGAAATACGACTTTCAGAGAACATTACTTCTGACAATAGCATTATTTTTGACAATATTGCAGAATCTTTTTTTTTCCTTCCCTGGGAAATTTTCAGGCGGCATCACACTGAGATCAGATGTAAAGTAAACACTGCTTCAGGGTGACATAAGTGTTAATCACTGCAGAGACATCTGCCAAGGTAGTGTTCTTATTCCAGCCATTCCGGAGGAGCACAATGGTTTGATCGGAAAGGTTCCCGAATCAGGATTTAATGTCATCTTGACTAATTTTGTACAGTTAAAATGCCATGGGACTCTTTCAGAATTAAATAATTGATTTTTAAAGTGCTGTTCTTTAGGGAAAGAAGAGAAAATAATAATGTTCCAAAAACAAAGCATGGCATCACCCCAGCTGCCTCCTCCTCCCCATCTTCCTCTCTCTCTCGCTGTCTCTCTCTCTCACACAGACACACAGACACACACACACACACACACATGCCTCCAAACTGGCTGTCTTTCCATTGCACAAAATTGTATTGCTCGATTTACAGTTGAGCTAACCTCAAATGTAGTCCATTCAGAACCTGACAGTATGGAGGAGTATTCAAGCCAGAAGGTCGGAAACAGGACTCCCCCAGTGCCCATGGTGGCCTGAGCGAGCCTGGAGATACTTCACAGTGGCAGGGGCTGAAGGAGAGAAGGGAGAGCTGCGTGAAGCTGGGGAAGGCCTGCCCGCTGTGTGGCAGGTGCATGGCACTGTCATGGCGTTCAGGAGTCCTTGGTTGTGGGTGAAAAAGTGAAGGACTTCAGCTTGACCTTGGGGTCGACCAGCTGTGGTCAGACAAGGTGAGAGTGGGAGCGAACTCATTAAACTCTTGGCCCCACTCCACGGGAAAAGCAATGTCCCAGTCCCTGCTAAGTAGGTAAGACCTGAGAAGCAGAGAGACTAAGTGACTTGCTTGCAGTCACCCTACACGGTGATAGAGTTTGCGCCCAGACAGTGTGGCTCTAGAGTCCAGAGACATCTCAAATGGGATGAGAGTCACAAGCTTTGTGCAGTTAGATGAAGTGAAAACAAAAATCCTTAAAGCTGAAAAGGTAGGAGGCAGGAGGAGAGAGCGTCTTCATTGGGGTAGAGCTGCAGCCTCTGAAGACTCCGGGACCTACATAGGATTCAACCTGGTCATGGGTTCTGGATCTGAGCCCCTAAACAGCTGCTTGTCTTTGGGAAGTCACTGGGCGCTCTGGATCTGCGCCCTCATCTGCAGCGTGAAGAAGTTGAACCCAACGATCTCCACGGTCTTTTTCCATGAGAAAATCCTAGAGTTCTAATATGCTCATCATCTGTGGAATTCGCTGTGATCTGTTCTTCTTTTAAAATTATTTTCTGTCAAACAGAACACAAACTTTTTTCAAGAGTGAAAGCGCTGTCTGAGGCCAGGTTATATCACTTACGGGGCTGTTTCCTCTTTGGTTTCTTCAATACACTTAATAGGAAGTGTGCACATTTTAAACTTGGCCTCCTTCCTTTGCCCCTATATTCAACCCATCACCAAGTCTTGTAACTTCTACCGGCCTCCACCCCTAAATATCTAAATCTGCCTACATCTACTCATTCTCACAGCCACCACTCTTGTCTCAGCACCTGCCGGTTTGGGAGCTGCGTTGGCTGCCAGTTAGTCTTTACGCTTTCATGCCTGACCCCTCAAACCACAAGACCGTAATAGCCAGAGTGGGTGCTTCCTGAGCAGCCATGAAGCCATGTGATTCCCTGGCTCACACTCATAGCGACTCCTCAGTGCATGGCCGTAACACCAATCCCTAACTTCGAAGGCTCTCTAGGAACGGCTCTCTCCTTTCCTGGCTTGGTGCAATATACTCCTGCCCCGTGGAGAATTCTGATTCTCAAACATTCCATCCTTTCCTACCCTTTGAGCTTCCCCCAACTTTGTTTTCATTGAAGTAAAATTCACATAACATAAAATTAACCATCTTAAACTGTGCAATTCAGTGGCACTAAGTAGATATACAATACTGTACAACCTTCACCACGGCCTAGTTGTAGAACCTTTTCATCACTGCAAATAGAAACCCCATACCCATGAAGCAGTCACGCCCCATTCTCCCCTCCCACCAACCCCTGGCAACCACAATTCTGCCTTCTGTCCCTGTGGATTAACCTCTCCTGGATATTCCATATGAATGGAATCACAATACGTGACCTTTTGTGTCTGGCTTCTTTCAGTTAGCATACTGTTTTCAGGGTTCATCTGCATTGCTGCATATATCCAACTTTATTCCTTTTTAGGGGTGAATAATATTCCATTGTAGGGATATTTCACATTTTGTTTATTCATTCATCAGTCAATGACATTTGGCCAGTTCCTACCTTTCAGCTATTGTGAATAGTGCTCCTATGAACATTTGTGTGTAAGTTTCTGTTTAAGTACTTGTTTTCAGTTTATTTAGATATATGCCTAGGAGTACAATTGCTGAGTCATATGGTAATTCTATGTTTACATTTTGAGGAAATACCAAACTGTATTCTATAGTAGCTGCACCATTTTGCATTTCCACCAGAGAGGGTGCCAATTTCTACACATCCTGACTTTATTTTCTCTGTTTTTTATTACAGCCATCTGAGTATGAAGTGGTACTTCACTATAGTTTTGATTTACGTTTCCTTAGTGAATAAGGAAATATTTGTCATCTTTTCATATGCTTATTTGCCATCCTCTGTCTTCTTTGGAGAACTGGCTGTTTAAGTCCTTTGCCCATTTTTTAGTTGAGTTTTTTGTCTTATTGTTGAGTTGAAAGTGCTCTTTATATAGTCTAGACATTAGATCCTTATCAGATATATGATTTGCATATATTTTCTCCCATTTTATATGTTGTCTTCATTTTCTTGATAATGTCCTTTGATGTACAAAAATTTTATATTTTGATCAAACCTAATTTATCGATTTTTTCTTTTCTTGTTCCTGCTTTTGGTGTCATATCTAAGAATTCATGCCAAATCTAAGATCATGAAGATGTACCCCTATATTTTCCTCTGAGTTTTGTACACTCATGGTTAGGCCATTGACCCATTTTGAGTGAATTGTTGTTCATGGTGTGAGGTAGAGTTCCAAGTTCATTATTTTGCATGTGGGTGTCTAATCATCCAAGCACCGTTTGTTGAAGACATTATTATTTCTCCATGGAATAGTCTTGGTACCCTGGTGGAAAGTCAGTTGACCATAGATGATGGGTTTATTTCTGGATTCTCGGTTTTATAACATTGATCTATGTCTGTCCTTATGCCAGTGACACACTCTTTTGATTGCTTTAGCTTTATAGCAAGTTTTGAAATCAAGAAGTATGAGTCCTCCAATTCACTCTTTTCAAGGTTCTTTTTTTGGCTGTTTGTGATTCCTTGTAATTTCATATGAGTTTTAGGATCAGCGTTTCCATTTCTTCAGAAAAGGCCACAGTGATATTGATAGGGATTTCGTGGAACGTGTAGATTACTCTGGTGATCTTAGCATGGTAACAATACTAAGTCTTCCAACTCCCCCCCATTTTTGCAATAGTTGCCTCCTTTTCACTTAAATCGTAGCTCCACTGTCTCTTCCTCAGAGACGTCTTCACTGAACAATCACCTGCCATACCTAATTGTATTTTCATACTTTGTACGGTGCTTACCCCTGTCCTTTTATTCATGTTGGCTAGTTGCTTTGCTTTGTCTCTCTGTCCTGGAATAGAAGCTCCTCGATGGCAGAGGTATGTCAGTTTGCTCACTGCTTTACCATAGGCATGTGGAACCAGGCTGGCACCTTGTAGACACTTGACAATTTGTGATGATGAAGAAATGAGCCAATGAAAGCTAGCTAGGGGGGTGGGGCAAGTGAGCCAAGGAGCAGAGCTGGAGGAGTCCACTGTCCTCACCACAGAATGAGACACATGGACACATGCTATTGACATGTGACTCCGCAGAAAAGCCTTTTTCTCTCCTACTGCTCTGATCTGCATGTCCAAGCATTAGCTGTAAGAAAAGTAGACAGAATTGATATTTGTAGTTGTTGAGAATTCACAAAAGGTACCAAATTGTTATTATATATTTGCGTTCCTTTCTATTTTGTTCTAACGGTATCATCTCCATTTACCTATTGATGCTATGTGTCTCTGTCTGTGAGTGCTGCTGTAACAAAACACCCCAGACAAGGTAATTTATAAAAGGCAGAATTTTTACTATTATGTCTTTTCTGGAGACAGAGTCTCACTGTTGCCCAAGCTGTAGTGCAGTAGTGCGATAGTAGCTCACTGCAACCCCAATTCCTGGGATCAAGTAACCCTCCCACCTGAGCCTTCCAAGTACAGGTGAGTGCGAGCCGTTACACCTGGCTAATTTTTTTATCTTTTGTAAAAATGATGTCTCACTATGTTGCACAGGCTGGCCTTGAACTCTTAGCCTCTAGCAATCTTCCCACCTCAGCCTCCCAAAATGTTGGCCTTACATGCATGAGCCACTGTGCCTGGCCCCAAATTTATTTCTCACAGTTCTGGGATCTGGAGGTCCAAGAGGAAGGTGCCAGCAGGTTCAGTGTCTTGTGAGGGCTTTGTCTCCATTTCCAAGATTGTGGAAATTGCACAAAGAGCACCTCTGTGGAATGTCCACAATCTGCCGGATGCAACACATTTGGAGTCAGGAAGATGCTGGAGAACTGAGTACCGGCCTTACCCGACATTGGTGATGGTGGCAGAGAGCCCCGCACCCCTGGAGGTGTTTGTAGTAAATCTGAAAGATCAGGAAAAGCAATTAATCTATGAATGGAGGTTGATGCGGTTTTGAATCTGGGGCCACATTCTGGGCCTGATTCTTTCAGTTGTGTGCCCGGGAGAACAAACAGCATCAATGGCCCCCAGCCTGACTCTGACAGTGTGTGTTAAATTCAGGGACGGAGGAGACTTGGCTGGCTGTGGGGAGCTGCTCCCCATGCTGCCCACCGCGGCTGCCTCTGACGTGGTGCTCAGCACTGCAGGTGCGCAGCATGGCGACCCCTTCCTGTGTCTCTGGTTACCTTTCGGCACCATGTTGGTCCCACCCGCTCCACAGGGATTTTTCTCAAGAGAAATTGCTTCCCTTGGGGCTAGATTACCATGACTGGAGAAAAGCATTTTCTTTACTCTTTTGCCCAGTGCACTGGTCAATACAGGGCGAAAGGGAAAAGGGGAGAGTGTGTTTTGACACAGGGCAGCATAAAGAGCCACTCCCAGAGAACTAGTCTCTTCACTTGCAGCCCGGCCACGGGTTATGATGGAGAACACACTGGAAGAATGAGGGCCACTTCTTCATTGCGTCAGTCACTTAAATGTCTTCTCTGTGAATGAACATACCTTAGTTCTACTGGAAAAATAACACATTTTTAAAATGCATATCCTTTTTGTAGATGTTATAAAATAATTTGAGTGGGAATGAAAATGTATGGCTTTCTCTTTTAAAAGGGGTCAGACTGTCGACCTCCAAGGAGGGTAAGATACTTTCCTTCGTGCTTGTAAACTTCCCTTTTCTTCCTGTTCTCTGTTGCGCTCAATCTGCCCATCCATTCTCTCTGCATTCAGCCTCCATTTAATTATTAACCAGTGGAGACCCTGGTTAAATAATGTGTGGGGAAAGGAACCTTTGAAGGCTCTTTTTGAGGCACTAAGTCCGGTTTAAGGAGGATTAGTGATTCACTGATTTAATTACCACGCACAAATTGTTCTTTTCTGGATGCATAACTGAAACATTGTCTTCGAACTCCAAGAGGAAATTGCCTGTGATATGTAGATGAAAATGAAAAGCAGGCTTCTACCCAGGACGTTATGAGAGCTCATGATGAATTTGAATCTGTGCACAATAGAACCCTTTCACACTTCAGGGCGATTGAAATGTCAAATAATTCTTAAAGTATAATGTGTGGCTTGTTAATCCCTGCAAAAGGCTTAGTGCTCTTTGTGCAATGAGGAAGACGGAATTGGAGCAGGGTGACAGTGAGAGGGGACATTTGTTCAGTAGAGTCCTTTGCTGTTGGCTCCTCCTGCCTCCACGTTCGCCCTTGTGCCCCGGGAGGATTCTGGGAGACACGCAGCCCGCCCCAAGCGTATTTCAAGGGCAGTGGTGAAAAAAGGAAGAGAGTTCAGGGCCTTCAAGGGTCGGACATTTTCCATCAAGTTTATCATCAGAGATGATAAAGTAGTTTGAAAGAGTTAATGATTAATCGCTTTAGCAATGTTCCTAATGACTGATATATAAAATGCTCTCACAGATCAATAAGAAAAAGGCAAACCCATCACCCCACTTCCAGAGAAAAGTGTTAAGGATCCAAACAAGTGTTCACAAATGAAAAAACTCAAAAGGCCAATGAACTAATAGAATACATCCAACTTAAAAGTTGCTAAAGAAATGTGAAGTAAAAATATGGTTAAAATGTGCCTTTTTGGCTGCACAAGATGGCAAGAATTTTTTTTCCTCCCGAGTGGTAATGCTTAGTGTTAGTAAAAATTTGGGAAACTGACAACCTTCTGTACTGTTCGCGGGGTAGAATTGGGGGTGTCACTTTCTGCAGTGTGAGTCTCACTCATCTTGGTAGACAAACCCTTGGCCTCACAAATCTCACATCCACACATTTACCCTTTTCCCTCAGGAGAAGCTGTGCATCTCTATAAATCCGTGTGTGTCACGTCATCACGACGCTTTCCACAGCCAAGGAATTGGAAATTACCTAAATGGCAGATCAAAGGGATGTGGCAGAAACCGCTAGCTGTTCCCTACTTCTGTTCTCTCTTCCTCCACAGCAATAGAACTAAGTTAGGTTCACTTGTTTGTTTTTCTTACTGGAGTCATGTGCACCAGCTTGAGTTCATCGTTACCCTTGCTTCACAATCAATCATCATGCTTAGCCCAGGTGTGGCCCTTTTTACAGACATGTTCCTTTGTAAAAACGTAATGCGCACCTGTGAACCCACGACCCAGCGTGAAAACCAGAACTTGGCAATAACTGTGTCTACTTGCGTGTCTTCCCCACGCTGTGTGCTGCCTCTCTGCCACCTCCGGACTGCCCGGACCCTGGACTGTTCTTTCCCTTGTGTTCCTTTTGACAGTAGTGTTGTGTAGAGCAGTGTAGAGTAGTGTAGGGTAGGGTAGTGTGGTGTAGTGTAGGGTAGAGAAGGGTAGCATGCAGTAGTGTAGAGTAGGGTAGTGTAGTGTAGGATAGTGTAGGGTAGTGTTGTGTAAGGTAGTATAGGGTAGTGTAGTATAGTATGTGTTATGTGTATACATTCCAGAAAGAATGTCTAATTGATAACTTTTAACTCTGCAAAAAAAAGTTAACCTCATACTGTGTGTCATCTTTGAAATTTATTTTGACCGGGCGCGGTGGCTCACGCCTGTAATCCCAGCTCTTTGGGAGGCCGAGGAGGGAGGCTCACGAGGTCAGGAGATTGAGACATCCTGGCTAACACAGTGAAATCCCGTCTCTACTGAAAATACCAAAAAACTAGCCGGGCGTGGTGGCGGGCACCTGTATTCCCAGCTACTCGGGAGGCTGAGGCAGGAGAATGGCGTGAACCCGGGACGCGGAGCTTGCAGTGAGCCAAGATCGCGCCACTGCACTCCAGCCTGGGTGACAGAGCGAGACTCCGTCTCAAAAAAAAAAAAAAAGAAATTTATTTTATTTGCTGAATATGTATTGCCCATATTCATCCATATTGTTGCATGTTACTGTAATTTCTCCATTTGGGCTGCTTTTATGTTTTGATTAAATCATAATTTATGTTTCTACTTTTCTATTAATGGACATTTGAAATGTTTCCAGGTTTTTGCTCCTGAGAACAGAACTGCTATTCAAGCATGCATTGCACATTCTTGTATACATCTGCTGCTGTACATTTGCAAGTTTCTTTTTGGAGTGTTGTATTAGTTTCCTGGAGTTGTCATAACAAAGTACTACAGACTGGCCGGGCGCAGTGGCTCACGCCTGTAATCCCAGCACTTTGGGAGGCCAAGACGGGTAGATCACTGGAGATCAGGAGTTTGAGACCAGCCTGGCCAACATGGTGAAACCCCGTCTCTACCAAAAACACGAAAGTTAGCCGGGTGTGGTGGTGGGCCAACATGGCAAAACCCCATCTCTACTAAAATACAAAAATTAGCTGGACATGGTGGCAGGCGCCTGTAATCTCAGCCACTTGGGAGGCTGAGGCAGGAGAATCGCTCGAACCCAGGAGGCAGAGGTTGCAGTGAGCCGAGATCAGGCCACTGCACTCCAACCTGGGTGACAGAGAGAGACTCCATCTCAAAAAAGTACTACAGACTGGATGGCATAAAATGACAGAAATTTACTCTCCTAAGGTTCTGGGGGCCAGAAGTCAGATCCAGGTGTCCACAGAGCCCTGCTTCCTCTGAAGGCTGCAGGAGAGGAAGCTTTCTTGCCTCTTCTGGGCAATCCTTGCTGTTCCTGGGCTTGTGGCTTCATCGCTTCAACTTCTCTTTCCCTCTGTGTGAATTTGCATCTTCTTACAAGAACTGCAGTCATTGGGTGGACGACCCCCTCATGCAGTCTGACCTCGACCTCATCTTAACTGGATTACTTCTACAAAGGCTCTTTCCAAATGAGGTCACAGTTTAAGATACTGGGAATTAGGACTTCAGCATTATCTCTTTTGAGGAACACATAACTCATAACAGCTCTACACAAAGAAAGGAAATTGCTAGGTCATAAGGTTTGTGAATATTTAAGAGTAATGCTACATTATTGTCCAATGAGATTGCATCAATTTATGCCCAACTTGGTTAAGTTTAAAAAACATTTTCAAAGCAAAGCATTTTGAAATAAGTTTACTCTTTACAAATAACAGAAATACGACTTTACGATTCCTTTGGATTTTACATTTATTTGAAAACCCTTTTCCTTCTTTAAATTGTTGTACTTAAAATAGGGTTGACAGAATGGGCCCAGGTGAATGGTGAGACACCTGAGGGCTATCCATACCTGGAATACTACTCAGCAGTACTAAGGACAAACTAATGATACGTGTGACAACTTGGGTCAGTAACCAGGGAATTACGCTAGCTGGAAAAAGCCAATACCAAAAGTTATATACAGATGATTGTATTTACATAATATTTTCTTTTCTCTCTTTTTTTTTTTGATGGAGTCTTGCTTTGTCACCCAGGCTGGAGTGCAGTGGCACCATCTCAGCTCACTGCAACCTCTGCCTCCCGGGTTCAAGCAATTCTCTGCCTCAGCCTCCCGAGTAGCTGGGACTACATGCATCCACCACCATGCCCAGCTAATTTTTGTATTTTTAGTTAGAGACAGGGTTTCACCATCTTGGCCAGGCTGGTCTTGAACTCCTGACCTCGTGATCACCCACCTCGGCCTCCCAAAGCGCTGGGATTACAGGCGGGAGCCACTGCGCCCGGCTTATGTAACATTTTCAAACTGATAAAATTTTAGAAATGGAGGAAGATTAGTGGTTTCCAGGGCTTAGGAATGTGGGTGGGGAAGTGAGTATGGCCATAAAACACCAACGCCAGGATCGCCATGCTACTGGAGTTGTTCAGCATCATGGCTGTGGTTGGTGGATGCACAATTGACAGTCCTCGCTTGGCACCCACAGGGCATGGGTTCCAGGACTCCCCACCATGGGTACCAATATCTGAGGATGCTGAAGTTCCTTATAGAAAAATGGAGCAGTGTTTACCTATAATCTGTACACCTTCTCCTGTATACTTAAATCATCTCTATATTACGTATAATACTGAATATAATGTAAATGCCATGTAAATTGTTGTTATACTATATTGTTTATTTGTACTTTTATTTTTTAAAAATATTTTCCATCAGTGGTTGGTTGAATCTAAGGATGTGAAACCTGTGCATACAGAGGGCTAACTTCTATACAGAAGGTAAAATTATATAGAACTGAATATACACATACACATACGCACACATGAATACAAATAAAATCGGGAAATATGAATAAGATCGGTGCATTGCACTAACATTAACGTCCTGGTTGTGATACTGTACTATAGTTTTGCAAAATGTTACCATTGGGTGAAGCTGAGCAAAATGTATGGTGATTTCTCTGTATTATTCTTACAAATGCATGTGAATCTGCAATTATCTCAATAAATTTTTTAATTAAAAAAATGGTGTTACCAGATTTAGCAAGTAAAAATACAAGATGGACAGTTAAATTTCAGAGGAACAACACATTTTTTAGCATAAATGTGTCCCAAATATTGTGTGGGGCATACTTCACTTTAGATATTATTGTCATTTATCTGACCTTGAAATTTAACTGGGCATTCTGCATTTTTATCTGGCAACCTTAAATCAAGAAAAGAGATAGCACTGATATGTCAGCAGGAGCTCGCCCCCAAGCCGGCCCCACAACGTGGGACCACATCGGTGTCTGGGCCTCAGCTTTGCAGGTCCAGCAGCCTGACTTTTCTCGTAGACCCTGACGTGAACAGCTCAGTGTTCTGAGTCGCACACATAAACCAGAATCCTAGTTTATAATTTGTGACAGGAAGCAAGACTTCTAAGCAAATGAGAAAAACTTATATTTGGTCATTTTGCCATTTCTCTTCTGCACTGGAAACCTATGAATGTTTAACTAGATGGTTTCCTGGTGATCCAGTCCTTAATTTATTCCCGAAACCTTTGTGAACCCCGAAAATCTGAGACAGGGCTCAGTGAATTTATAAAGTTTATTTTGCCAAAGTCGAGAACGCGCGCCCATGACACAGTCTCAGGAGGTCCTCACGACATGTACCCAAGGTGGTCAGAGCACAGCTTGGTTTTATACGTTTTAGGGAGACATGAGACATCAGTTGACATATGTAAGATGAACATTGGTTCGGTTCGGAAAGGCGGGGTCTCGGTGGCATCAATCAACATATGTAAGATGAACATTGGTTCGGTTCGGAAAGGCGGGGTCTCGGTGGCATCAATCAACATATGTAAGATGAACATTGGTTCGGTTCGGAAAGGCGGGGTCTCGGTGGCATCAATCAACATATCCATTAGGAAAGGCAGGGCAACTTGAAGTAAAAGGGGGACAACTCGAAGCTGGGAGGGGGCTTCCAGGTCACAGGTAAGTGGGAGACAACGGCTGCATTCTTTTGAGTTTCTCATTAGCTTTTCCAAAGGAGGCAATCAGATATGCATTTATCTCAGTGAGCGACGGGTGACTCTGAGTACAATGGGAGGCAGGTTGGCCCTAAGCAGTTCCCAGCTTGAGTTTTTCCTTTAGCTTAGTGATTGTGGGAGCCCAAGGAATTTTCCTTTCACAACTTACTGAGGATCTACACTGTGAGTCTCTGTCCTGGGTACTGAGTAGACATTGGAGAGTGAAATTGACAAGGTCGCTTGTCCTATTGAGAGGTGACAGCGTGCTGCCAGTCCTCAGAGCCCTCACTTGCTCGGCGCCTCCTCTGCCTGGGTTCCCACTTTGGCGGCACTTGAGGAGCCCTTCGGCCCGCCACTGCACTGTGGGAGCCCCTTTCCGGGCTGGCCAAGGCTGGAGCCCACTCCCTCAGCTTGCAGGGAGGTGTGGAGGGAGAGGCGCGAGCAGGAACTGGGGCTGCACGCGGCGCTTGCGGGCCGGCTGGACTTCTGGGTGGGCGTGGGCTTGGGGGGCCCCGCACTCGGAGCAGCCGGCTGGCCCAGCGGCCCCCAGGCAGTGAGGGGCTTAGCACCCGGGCCAACGGCTATGGAGGGTGTACTGGGTCCCCCAGCAGTGCCAGCCCACCGGCGCTGCGCTCCATTTCTCGCCGGGCCTTAGCTGCCTTCCCGCCGGGCAGGCCTCGGGACTGCAGCCCGCCATGCCTGAGCCTTCCCCCGCCTCCATGGGCTGCTGTGCGGCCCGAGCCTCCCTGACGAGCACCACCCCCTGCTCCACGGTGCCCAGTCCCATCGACCACCCAAGGGCTGAGGAGTGTGAGCGCACAGCGTGGGACTGGCAGGCAGCTCCACCTGCAGCCCCGGTGCGGGATCCACTAGGTGAAGCCAGCTGGGCTCCTGAGTCTGGTGGGGACGTCGAGAGTCTTTATATCTAGCTCAGGGATTGTAAACACACCAATCAGCACCCTGTGTTTAGCTCAAGGTTTGTGAGTGCACCAATCGACACTCTGTATCTAGCTGCTCTGGTGAGATCATGGTGAACCTTTATGTCTAGCTCAGGGTTTGTAAATACACCAATCAGCACCCTGCGTTAGCTCAGGGATTGTAAATACACCAATCGACACTCTGTATCTAGCTGCTCTGGTGGGGCCTTGGAGAACCTTTATGTCTAGCTCAGGGATTGTAAATACACCAATCGGCACTCTGTATCTAGCTCAAGGTTTGTAAACACACCAATCAGCACCCTGTGTTTAGCTCAAGGTTTGTGAATGCACCAATCGACACTCTGTATCTAGCTGCTCTGGTGGGGCCTTGGAGAACCTGTGTGTCAAAACTCTGTATCTAACTAATCTGATGGGGAGGTGGAGAACCTTTGTATCTAGCTCAGGGATTGTAAATGCACCAATCAGCGCCCTGTCAAAACAGGCCACTCGGCTCTACCAATCAGCAGGATGTGCGTGGGGCCAGATAAGAGAATAAAAGCAGGCTGCCTGAGCCAACAGTGGCAACCCGCTCGGGTCCCCTTCCACACTGTGGAAGCTTTGTTCTTTCACTCTTTGCAATAAATCTTGCTACTGTTCACTCTTCGGGTCCATGCTGCTTTTATGAGCTGTAACACTCACCGCGAAGATCTGCAGCTTCACTCCTGAGCTAGCGAGACCACGAGCCCACCAGGAGGAATGAACAACTCCAGACATGCTGCCTTAAGAGCTGTAACACTCACCTGAAGGTCTGCAGCTTCACTCCTGAGCCAGCGAAACCACGAACCCAACAGAAGGAAGAAACTCCGAACACATCTGAACATCAGAAGGGACAGACTCCAGACGCGCCACCTTAAGAGCTGTAACACTCACCGCGAGGGTCTGCGGCTTCATTCTTGAAGTCAGTGAGACCAAGAAGCCACCAACTCTGGACACACTATTGGAGTTTTCTGTCTAGTAAGCTGATGGGACTGGAATAGAGGAAGCTGGTGAAGGCATCCTGGGTCATTGTCATAAAACATCTGTCACCTCGTCCACCTGCATATGTTAGCTGACTTTTCTCCCGGCTGGAACACAGCTACTGGAGACTGGATTTGTGTCCCTCTATTTTGACACTCCCCGTGTGCCACTGAAATAGCTGCTTACCTGTCTGCTGCGACCATGAGGGCATCCTGGGTCCTTAGCACAGAATAAGCTCAACTACTCTATGAACCACAGCAGTCACGGCCACAGCCTCATTCACTTAGAGCCTGGGTAAACGATGCTGCCTGAGGATGGGCTGGCTTTCACAAGAGCCTCACCGACACAGCTGCCGTGGTCTCCATATTGGTGTCCCCCCAGAATTCCCATGGTGAACTAATCACCAATGCAATCGTATTAAGAGGCGGGGCATTTAGAGGTGATTAAGTGATGAGGACTGAGCCTTCATGAATGGGATTAACATCCTTATAAAAAAGGTTGAAGGGAGCACTCTGATTTCTTCAGCTCCTCCATCTCTCCTGCCTCTTGACGACACAGCAGTCATCTCTTTGTGCCTCTCCTGCCATGAGAGGACACAGCAGGAAGGCGTCATGTTGGATGTAGAGAGCCACCTTTACCAGGCCCCAAATCTGCCTTGAACTTCCAGGCTCCAGAACAGTGGCAGAATAAATTTCTGTTCTTTCTACATTACCCGGTCTCAGATATTTTGCTATAGCTGCACAAACAGATGAAGGCAATGGGGTCACAAGTTTTTTATTGTTGTTGTTACTGTTGAAATCATGTTAAGAATATGCAAAATTCAAGACACATAAAGAGAGGCATGTAGTGATGTTAGAACAAGACACGGAGAGCTTTCTTTTACTAGCACATGTGGTAGGCAGAATCATGGCTCCAGAGATGCTTATGTGCAGTCCCCAGACCTGTGGCTGGGTCGCCTTCCATGGTGAAAGGGACTCTGCAGATGTGACTAAGATACGGACCGTGAGGTAGAGAAATTATTCTGGATTTTCCAGGTGGGCTCGCTGGAATCACACGAGTCCTTCAAAGTGGAGACTCCTTCCCAGATGCGGTTGAGGGAGCTGTGCCCACAGAACTGTCAGGAGATGCAGCGTGGCTGGCTGTGCAGATGGAGGAAGGGGCTGCAGGCGGAAGCAGGTGGTGGCCTCTGGAAGCCTGAAAAGGAAAGGAACGGATTCTCTCTTAGAGGTTCCAGAAGGCAACACGACCAGGCAACACCTTGATTTTAACCCAGAGAAGCTCATTCCAGACTTCTGACCTTTGAAACTGTAGGGGAATAGATCTGTGCTGTTTGGAGCCACTACGCTTGTGAAAATTTGTGACTGCAGCAATGGAAAACACACATGGTAAAGCACACACCTGCTTCACGTAAAGAAGACGTTTGCTCTGCATTAGAAATATCTGTTATGAGCTGAATGTTTTTATCACCCCAAGATTCCTACGTTGAAGCCCTAACCCCCAGTAGGATGGCACTTAGAGATGAGGCCTTTGGGAAGTAATTAGGGTTAAATGAAGTACTAATCTAATGGAATTAGTGCCCTTATAAAAGGAGACACCAGACAGGTTGCTCCCTCTCTTTCCCCACCTCCGAACGCACACCACACAGAAGAGGCCAGGTGAGTGCACAGCCCAGATGGTGGCCACCTGCATGTCAAGCAAAGAGGCCTCTGAAAAACTTCCCTTCCTGGCACCTTGACCTTGGACCTCCAGCTTCCAGAACAGTCAGGGAATAACTGTCTCTTGTTTAAGCTGTTTGGTCTATGGTATTTTGTTATGACAGCCAAGCTGGCTGATCCACTACCTCTGTATAACTCATTGCTTATAGAGGGTTCATCTAGGAATAAGCTTTGAGCCTTGAAGAAAGTTTTGTAATTCAATTTTTTTTTCCTCTAGGATGAAGTTCATTTATTTTTTATTTTATTTTATTTATTTATTTATTTATTTTTTGAGACGGAGTCTTGCTCTGTTGCCAGGCTGGAGTGCAGTGGTGCAATCTCGGCTCACTGCAACCTCTGCCTCCCAAGTTCAAGCGATTCCCCTGCCTCAGCCTCCCGAGTAGCTGGGACTACAGGTGTGCACCACCATGCCAGGCTAATTTTTTGTATTTTAGTAGAGATGGGGTTTCACCATGTTGGCCAGGATGGTCCCCATCTCCTGACCTCGTGATCCGCCCGCCTCGGCCTCCCAAAGTGCTGGGATTACAGGCGTGAGCCACCACGCCTGGCTAATGAAGTTTATTTCTAAGACCCCAAGCTCTTGGTGCCATTAAGAAAATGTTTATTGGTGCTTTTTTTTTGACAGTTGATAACGCTGCGGTAAAAGACTCCAATACATCTGTAGCCACTCAGCAGCATGGCAAGGTTTCCAAAGCAGGGATGCCTCCCTCTTCTCCTAGCAGCAGATGCAAAGGCTGTTTAAATGGAAGCAGCTAGGCTCTTAAAGAAGTAGAACAGGTTTTCTAACCTAATAGAAAATTAGTCTCAGCAAATGTTTTGAAAACCTCAAATCATCACTAACCAACAGTTAGTGAATGAAAGCCTTCCAGAACAAAGGATAATGTTAGTTGTTCTCCCTTCTTCATGGAGTATCTCAAGTTCTTGCACAGAGTATTTTTCAATAATGAAATGTGAAAATTGAACATGACCTTGGAATTAGAAATTGCCAAGTCCAGCTGGGCGTGGTGGCTCACGCCTGTAATCCCAGCACTTTGGGAGGCCGAGGTGGGCAGATCATGAGGTCAGGAGTTCAATACCAGCCTGGCCAATATGGTGAAACCCCGTCTCTACTAAAAATGCAAAAATTAGCCGGGCCTGGTGGCATGCGCCTGTAGTCCCAGCTACTCGGGAGGCTGAGACAGAAGAACCACTTGAATCCAGGAGGCAGAGGTTGCAGTGAGCTGAGATCACGCCACTGCATTCCAGCCTGGGCGGCAGAGTGAGGCTCCGTCTCAAAAAAAGAAAAGAAAGAATTTGCCAAGTCTAGGCTGGGCATGGTGGCACTCGCCTGTAATCTCAGCACTTTGGGAGGCCGAGGTGGGTGGATCACCTGAGGTCAGGAGTTCAAGATCAGCCTGGCCAACAGGGCGAAACCCTATTTCTACTAAAAAATACAAAAATTAGCTGGGGGTGGTGGTGGGTACCTGTAGTCCCAGCTACTCGGGAGGCTGAGGCAGGAGAATTGCTTGAACCCGGGAGGGGGAAATTGCAGTGAACTGAGTTTGGCGCCACTGCACTCCAGCCTGGGCGACAGAGCGAGACTCCGTCAAAAAAAAAAAAAAAAAAGAAAGAAAGAAAGAAAAAGAAGGAAGGAAGGGAGGAAAGAAAGAAGTTGCCAAGTCCTCTTAAGACTTTAATTGCTGGTACCGAGAGAGGCATAGCTTCCCAGCCCGTCATTGTTCCTTGGGCCACGAGGAACAATCAACACAGTGGGGAGAGTTCAGATTCCTCTGCATGTGGAGAGCAGCTATTCGCATGTCACCTGTCAGTTGCATGGTCCTCCCCCTGCCTACTAACGGGTTAGTACGCAGGGAGGAAAGACCACACAACTGAAAATTGTATTCACTGTGATTTTCTGATTCTACAAATAAGACATTGTCACTGTACTTGGAAACTGGGAAAATCCCAAAAAATATGAAGAAGTACATTAAAAACACACATAACCCACTCTTCGCATTTAGTGTTGGTTTCCTCCAGCCTGCCAGTTTATATACCTACCTGCCATCATCAGCATGGAAGAAATGGGAAACTGTGACTTGGACAGCACTTAGAATTCAAAAGTGAGTTTGTTCATCTCCATGTTTGCTGATATCTTTTTGGAAGAACTGTTTGTCATTAATACTAAGAAAGTAAGCAAATAAATAAATATATGAGCAAATCCTTTTTCCTCCCCCACCTGGGAATGCTGTGTAGACTTGCTCAATAACAAGCAGCTGGAATAAAAGAATCCATACCTGGAATGTGGAGCAGCTGCCCTTACGACTTTTCATTAGGGCTTCTCTTCCCTCCCACTGCTTGCGTTTCTACGCCCACAGCACTGTGGTAAGTATGGCATTGCTCTCTGGATTAACAGTGATGCCGCCTCCCATTGCCCCTCAGGTTCAGCCTCCTGGAAAGACAGCTGCCCCGTATAGATGGGGATCCCTGGGACTCCCCGAAGTGAAGTCAGACACCTGACAGCCAAATATGCCCGCCAAATCTGAGGACAAGCCATCCAACTGGTCTTTCTCCAATGCAGTAATAAACACATATAACCTTCATCTCATTTGCAAAAACTTTTTTTCTGGTTTACACAAGGAATTGGAACTTCATTGCTTTTTGTTTGCTTTCCATGTGCTAGGCCAGCTAAGGCAAGGTGGAAATGCTAGGTAGAAACACGCTGGGTGAAGAAGGTTTGGCCAGCCGGGCGCAGTGGCTCATGCCTGTAATCCCAGAACTTTAGGAGGCCGAGGTGGGCGGATCACAAGGTCAGGAGATCCAGACCATCCTGGCTAACACGGTGGAACCCCGTCTCTACTAAAAATACCAAAAAAATTAGCTGGGCGTGGTGGCGGGCGCCTGTAGTCCCAGCTACTCGGGAGGCTGAGGCAGGAGAATGGTGTGAACCCGGGAGGCAGAGCTTGCAGTGAGCCGAGATCGCACCACTGCACTCCAGCTTGGGCGACAGAGTGAGACTCCACCTCAAAAAAAAAAAAAAAAAAAAAAAAACCACCAAAAGAAAAGAAAAAGAGAAAACAAGCATAGGAAGAAATCCCTTGTGCTGCATTGACTGAGGAAAACAAAGTGTCTCGTTATCCTTTCCAGATTTTATTTGGAATTACAAAGGCTACAGAAATATTTTGTGTTTCACCTAATTTTTTGACGTTCTCCTTTTGCCTCCAGGGAAATTTGTCAGTCCCGAAATGCAGCAGGTCCTTGGGAGAGGTGAAGACCAGAGGCTCTGAGGAAGGATGGAGGGAGGAGAGGAAGGCTCGAAGGCAGAGCAGGGGGCATTCAGAGGCCGAGGGGTGGCCAGGCGGGCTCTGGAGCTCTCTGCACAGCTGCATGGCACCACACAGCTCCAGGACTGGGAAGGTGTGCCCACTGGGCGTAACAACAGCTGACTCACTGAGAGCGTCTTGTGCTCAGTGCTTCTGTAAGGATTTCACGCCACTCACAATCCACCACGCGCTTCTGCGGGAGGGGCTGGGAGCTCCCAGATGCCGGTGCAGGACTCCAGGCGAGGGTGAGCCCCAACCCCAGAGCTGGCCAGGCCCCTCCTGGGGCAGGGTTCTTGCTCACCAAGGCCCAGGCTCTCGGGTGAACCTAGGACCGTTGACGTTAATGGTCCTAAAATGATGGCAATGGTCTCGTTTTAGACCTCGAGGTTTTCATTGAAGATTTCTCATTTTTTCTTATTCGTACTCACTTCATTGCTGAATGCGTTCAGCCCAACCTACGAACACACGTGTGTGCGTGTTCCTCACACGGTAACCAGTGTCGCAGTCATCTGAGACACGTGTGTGCGTGTTCCTCACATGGTAACCAGTGTCGCAGTCATCTGAGACACGTGTGTGTTCCTCACACAGTAACCAGTGTCGCAGTCATCTGAGACACGTGTGTTCCTCACATGGTAACCAGTGTCGCAGTCATCTAAGATGAGCTTCTGCTTTTCTACCTACACCTTCGCTGTTTGTTTTGGGTTATCAGCTGAGAGCCAGCGGAATCTTTCATATCCTTCCCCTTGTGGCGAAATGTCAGGCATATCCTGCGACTTTGCAGAGTTTTCTATGTAGCAATTTTCTGTGTCTCAAAGGTAAGCCTCAAATATCATGGAATCATCAAACTGACAGAACTAGAGAGAACATTGGCAATCACTTACTCTAAATAGAATAATAAATTGGGCCTCAGAAAAGTTAAGCAACTTAGCATGCAACAACTACATAATAACTAACCGTAAGAGCCCTGGGCTCCTGGCTCTAGACTTCCCTGAATTCTCATTCTTTGGTGTCATTCTGAAGAACAGCTCCTGAAGAATCCGCTGTGCAAGAGAAAGTTACATAGTCTTTGCTAGACATCACTCGAAATTAAAACTCACCTTTGGTATAGGCAGCATGTCTAAAACTTTGCTATTCCCAAGACCTACCCCTGGGAGAAGTAATGATATTAACATCTCAAGAATATTATAAAATAAATATAATTCAAGTCTGTATTTCTGGGGAACCCAGAAGCAAACAGTGTTGAACAAATGCTGACATGTGTTAAGCATCCTGAACCGAAGGTCGTCATTGTCCATAAGTTGTGAAACAGAAGTGTCAAATCAAAGGCTGCAGCCCCTGAGGAATGCATTTTCATGGATGTTATTATTGTTATTTTGCTTTTAATTATGTGGCACAGAAACGAACCTGTCATTGCTATTTCACTTTAAATGAGAGATTTAAATAATATTTCCCAAAATTGTTGTCAGCATACCACAGATAGCATGGGAAATTGTTTTAGGCAACATCTCAACAAGTATGTTTTATTTAAATATCTGTGAATTTATTAAATGTATATTAAAAATATATTGTAAAACACGTATCTGATAAAGGACCGATATCCAAAAATATACAAAGAACTCCTAAAACTCACCAATAAAAAAAATGAACAATCCAATTAAAAAATGGGCAAAGATCTGAACAGACATCTCACCAAAGAAGATCCACAGATGGCAAATAAACATATGAAATAATGCCCAATAGCATACATCATGAGGGGATTTCAAATGAAAACAAGATGCCACTCCACACGTATGAGAGTGGCTGAAACCCGGAACACTGGCCTCACCAAATGCTGGGAGGATGCGGAGCTCCGGGAACCCTCACTCATTATGGTGCACATGCAAAACGGGCAGCCACTGTGGAAGACAGTTTGGCGAAGCCAAACACAGTGTTACCTCGTGATCCAATTGCCCTCCTAGGTATTTACTGAAAGGAGCTGAAAACTACATCCACACAAAAACCCAGACACACACGTTTACAGCAGCTTTATTCATGATCACAAAAAAACTGGAAGTCCCCAAGATGTTCTTCGGTGAGTGAATGGTGAAACAAAAGGTGGTACATCCACTATAAGAGAAATGAGCTAAAGATAAATGAGCTATTGAGCCACACAAAGACGCGGAGGAAACTTCAATGCACAGTGCAGAGTGGAAGAAGCCAACCTGAAAAGGCTACACATGCTGCATGATTCCAGTGATAGGACATTCGAGAAAAAGTGGAGAGAAAGAGCAGGGGATGAGCAGGCAAGCCACAGGGACAGTAAGGGCAGTGGAGCTGTTCTCCATGGCACCACAGAGGCAGGCAAATGCCATGCATTCCTCAAAGCCATAGACCTGTACAACACAGAGGGAACCTTAAAGTATGGCATTTGTTTAACAATGATGTAGGAATATTGCTTCATTAATTATAACAAATAGGCCGGGTGCGGTGGCTCACACCTGTAATCCTAGAACTTTGGGAGGCCGAGGCGGGTGGATCACCTGAGGTCAAGAGTTCGAGACCCACCTGGCCAACATGGTGAAACCTCATCTCTACTAAAAATACAAAAAGTAGCCAGGCATGCTGGAGGGCACTTATACTCCCAACTGCTCAGGAGGCTGAAGCAGGAGAATCACTTGAACCCAGGAGGTGGAGGTTGCAGTGAGCCAAGATTGCACCATTGCACTCTAGCCTGGGCAACAGAGCAAAAACTCCATCTGGAAAAAAAAATTGCAACAAATAACTGTACCACACGAATGCAGGATAATATTAATAGGGGAAATGTTGTGGGGAGAGTGTAGATGAAAACTTTCTGTATTAGCTGCTCAAATATTCTGTAAATCTAAAACTGTAAAAACAAAATTGTCTATTAATTTTTTTTAGAAAACCAGGCTAGGTACGGTGGCTTATGCCTTGCAATCCCAGCACTTTAGGCAGCCGAGGCAATAGGATGCCTTGAGGCCAAGAGTTTGATACCAGACTGGGCAAGACAGCAAGACGCCAGACTTTTTTCTTTTCTGTTTGAGACTGGCATCGCACTCTGTCCTCCAGGCTGGATTGCAGTGGCATGATCTCGGCTCACTGCAACCTCCGCCTCCCTCGTTTAAACGATTCTTCTGCTTCAGCCTCCTGAGTAGCTGGGACTACAGGCACGCGCCCCCACACCCAGCTAATTTTTGTACTTTTAGTGGAGATGGGATTTGCCATGTTGGCCAGGCTGGTCTCCAACTCCTGAGCTCAAGTGATCCACTCACCTCAGCCTCCCAAAGTGCTGGGATTACAGGCGTGATCCACCGCACCTAAATTTTTTTTAAATTTAACTGGGCGTGGTGGGTCATGCCTGTAGTTCCAGGTACTTGGGAGGCTGAGGTGGTAGGATCGCTTGAAGGTGGGAGATTGAAGCTGCAGTGAGTAGAGATTGTGCCTCTGCACCCCAGCCTGGGCGACAGAGTAAGACCCCGCCTCAAAAAACAAAATTATAAAATAAAATTTTAGAAAACCTCATACGACTTGGTGGAGTTTATGACAGAAAAGAAAAAGAAGAAAACCCCTGCATCAGTGTTCACTCACTGCTTGGTGCGCATTCAGGCCGCGCCCACCCGGCATGGGGGTCACGTCTGCACCCTTAATCGCGCGCACCTGCGCTGTCCCAGGACAGGGAAGGCCCGTTACAACTGGGCGGCCTCCGCCACAGGCGCTGTCTCTCGTTTTTCCAATTCCCTTCACATCTTTTTCTTGTTCCCTTTCCTCATCACCCGTTCATCCCCGGGTCCCGCCCCTCCAGGATGGCGAAGGCGAGAGCCAACCCAGGATCTTGGAGGCCCGTGAGCAAGCGCGCAAGGGCAGCGCCGGCAATCAGCCTAGACCTGCGCTCTCCCGTTTCTTCCGCCTTGGGGAAAGTGCGCCCTCCCTGCAGCAGCCGCCTGTGTGTCCGGAATGGGTGGGTTCTTGGTTTCACTGACTTCGAGAATGAAGCCGCGGACCCTCGCGGTGAGTGTTACAGCTTTTAAAAGCTGCATTGTTCCTTATGATGTTCGGATGTGTTGGGAGCTTCTTCCTTCTAGCGGGTTCGTGGTCTCGCTGGCTCAGGAATGAAGCTGCAGACCTTGGCGGTGAGTGTTACAGCTCTTAAGGTGGTGCGTCTGGAGTTGTTCATTCTTCCTGGTGTGTTCGTGGTCTCGCCGGCTTCAGGAGTGAAGCTGCAGACCTTTGCAGTGAGTGTTACAGCTCATAAATGCAGTGCTGACTCAAAGAGTGAGCAGCAGCAAGATTTACTGTAAAGAGCAAAAGAACAAAGCTCCCACAACCGGCAAACGGACCCCAGCAAGTTGCCATTGCTGGCTCAGGCAGCCTGCTTTTATTCCCTTATCTGGCCCCACCCACATCCTGCTGATTGGTCTGTTTTTCAGAGAGCTGATTGGTCCGTTTTGACAGGGTGCTGATTGGTGCATTTACAATCCCTGAGCTAGACACAAAAGTTCTCCAACTCCCCACTAGATTAGCTAGATACAGAGTGTGGACCCAAAGGTTCTCCAAATCCCCACCAGAGTAGCCAGATACAGAGTGTGGATTGGTGCATTCACAAACCCTGAGCTAGACACAGGGTGCTGATTGGTGTGTTTATAAACCTTGAGCTAGATACAGAGTGCCGATTGGTGTATTTACAATCCCTTAGCTAGACATAAAGGTTCTCCAAGTCTGCACCCAGACTCAGGAGTCTAGCTGGCTTCACACAGTGGATCCCGCACCAGGGCCACAGGTGGAGCTGCCTGCCAGTCCCACACCATGCACCCATACTCCTCAGCCCTTGGGGGGTCATGGGACTGGGGGCCATGGACCAGGGGGTGGCACTCGTCGGGGAAGCTCTGGCCACGCAGGAGCCCATGGCGGGGAGGGGGAGGCTCAGGCATGGTGGGCTGCAGGTCCTGAGTCCTGCCCTGCCGGGAGGCAGCTAAGGCCGGGAGAGAAGATGAGCACAGCAGCTGCTGGCCCAGGTACTAAGCCCCTTACTGTCCAGGGACAGCGGGGCTGGCTGGCTGCTCTGAGTACGGGGCCCACCGAGCCCACGCCCACTCGGAACTCGCGCTGGCCCACAAGCGCTGTTCGCAGCCCCGGTTCCTGCCCGCACCTCTCCCTCCACACCTCCCCGCAAGCTGAGACAGCTGGCTGTGGCCTCGGCCAGCCCAGGAAGGGGCTCCCACAGTGCAGCAGCGGGCTGAAGGGCTCCTCAAGTGCCGCCAAAGTGGGAGCCCAGGCAGAGGAGGCACCGAGAGTGAGCGAGGGCTGCCAGGGCTGCCAGCACACCTGGGAACCCAGCCACCCACGTGCCCCTCCAGGCCCGGACCTGCCTCTCAGCGCCCAGAGCTGCCCCTGCAGTGCCCCGTGTTCCCTCCCCAGCCACGCTTGCGGTTGGCGCTCCCCACGGTCCCGACGGGGCTTTCTCATGGGATCCATCAATGCGCAGTTTAGACACCCCAGGCTCTCCCGCCCTACACGGAGATGAGAAAAAGGTTGATAGAATAAATTACATTAGGCCGGGTGAGGTGGCTCACGCCTGTAATCTTAGCACTTTGGGAGGCGGAGGCAAGTGGATCACTGGAGGTCGGGAGTTGAGACCAGCCTGGCCAGCACGGTGAAACCCCGTCTCTACTAAAAATACAAAAATTAGCCGGGCGTCGTGGCAGGTGCCTGTAGTCTCAGCTACTAGGGAGGCTGAGAGGCAGGAGAATTGCTTGAACCCGGGAGGTGGAGGTTGCAGTGAACCGAGATTGTGCCACTGCACTCCAGCCTGAGCAAGAGCCAGGCTCCATCAAAAAAAGAAATATTACATTACACTCAAAACTTGAATTTATTAAGTGACAAAATAAGCTAAATTAGGCCACAGAATGGCGAAGATCTTTATAACACATTTATCTGATAGAATACTAGTATCCAGAATATATCATTATAATAGCTGGATTAAAATATATACACCTTATTTTTAAAATAGAGAAAAATAAAAAGGCAGATCATGAGGAGGAAAGAAAAAGGAAGAGAAGTTTAACCTCCTTAGAAATTCCCAAAACTGAAAATCCCAGAGCTTAGTAAATATTGGGAAGTCTAATCACACCAAATGAAGATGAAGATGCACAGCAGGAATTTTCAGGCACTGCTGGTAAGAAAGTAAATTATTTCAATCATGTTGAAAATGACTTAAAACCCTAGAATGTCCACTCTTCCATTCCAGGACATTTATATAGACAGAGACATGCACAAGAATGTTTAAAGTGATTTTTTTTGAGACAGGGTCTTGCTCTGTTGCTCAGGCCGAAGTGCAGTGGCATGAACTAAAGTAATATTATTTATAATTTTTTTAATATTAGAAATTGCCTAAATTTCATCCACAGGAGAATAGATAAGAAGATTATTGTATAGTATACAATGGAATTCAACATAGCAGTGAAAATGAACAAAATTGAAAGTGAATTAGCCAGCCATGGTGGGGCACACCTGTGGTTAGCTACTCAGGACTCTGATGGGGGAGGATCCCTTGAACCCGGGAGATGGAGGCTGCAGTGAGTGGTGATTGCACCACTGCACTCCAGCCTGAGCAACAGAGTGAGACCCCATCTCTATTACAAATAAATTGAGGCTGGGTGCGATGGCTCATGACTGTAATCCTAGCACTTTCGGAGGGCAACGCGGGCAGATCACGTGAGGTCAGGAGAATTGCTTGAATCCAGGAGGCAGAGATTGCAGTGAGCTGAGATGATGCCACTGCACTCCAGCCTGGGCGACAGAGTGAGACTCTGTCTCAAAAAAGAAAAGAAAAAAGAAAAGAAAAGAAGGAAGGAGAAAGGAGAGAAAGAAAGGGAGAAAGAAAGAAAGAAAGAATGGAAAAAAAGGCAGGAGAAAAAAGAAAAAGAAAAAGAAATTGAAAGTAAAAAATGATGCATAAAGACATGTACAACATGCTATCACTTATATAAAGCAGGCAAAACAGTGCTGTATGTAGCTTAGAGATAAGAGGCAGCAAAGGATAAAGAAATGGCTGGTAATGGTAAACTCCTAGCTCACTCTCTCTGTGGGTCACTTCCCCGAGGGAGGAAGAAAACAGGGGAGAGTGATAAGCAGGCCTCCTTTCACAGCACAACTCTTGGGCATAGCAAGCAGGACTGGGCGGGGGCTCTGGAGTTAGGCATCACAGCAGCTGTGAGGACACAGGGCTCCAGCCTCATGTCATGGAGGTGCTGATGGGCACGCAGGTGTCCATAGCAAGACTTCTCCCATTTTGCACATCTTAAGTATCACATGTTCTATGTTTAAATCCTTAGTGCAGGAATTGACAAGCCATCATAATATTTTAGCTTAGGAGCGAAAAGGTCAGGCTTAAATGTGAGAGCTGGGACTCCAATGGCAGGAGAGCAGAAGGACTGTGAGAGGAGAGCCTGGAAGCAGAGGCTCGCGAGGTGACAAAAGCCAGGAGTCAAGAGGATTCGGGTGTCACACCAGGCTCTGGCAGCAGGACCAGACAGGAAGAGGTGGTGAGCCGAGCCTGGCGACCATGCCGATGACGTCGTGGTGAGGCAGAAATTTAAAAATAAATATGCATTTATTCACTCCGAGAAAAGTAACAGTCAAGGCAAGCGTTAAAAAGAAAAGACCACGTTTTCTTCTGCTTAGCAAGCTCACTTCAGAGACAGTTATAGGATAATGCTGTTTAAAAAACCAAGGCCAAAGGAATGGGCTCCAGACAACACCCCCACCCCGCCTTCCAGGGCAAAGTTGAAGGAAAAAAAAGGGAAAAAGACAAATTCCTTTACTGTTACTCCTTTCCCTGGCTTCTTAAGCATAACTGTGTTTTACAAATGTCTATAATTTAGCCAGTTCTTGTTTTTCTTTCAATGCAGTTACAAGTTACAAGCTATGCAAGGCCACAAGTTAAGTGATGTTATGCTATAGATTATGTGACCTATCATGTGATTAACTGCTTTTGTTTGCTTCTGTAAGTTTGCTTATAAAAACCCCACTCAGTCTTTGTTCAATGCTCAGCTTTTTGGATATGAATCCACTAAGCCAGTGAGTACCTGAAATAAACAATCCTCCTGTTCTCCATGTCAGTCTCTCTAGTCCTCAGTTTCCCACAACAATGGTCCGCATGAGCGATCAGACAGATCCGCCAGGGAATCAAGGAGTGCCACCCAGGGAAGCAAGATGGTTGCTAGAAGAGCGGCAGATTGGATGGAGCAGGGAGTTCGGGTGTGACAGGATGACTGTGGTGTGGTGGTAGGACTTCGACGTGTGGACCCCCAGGTATTTGGAAATGTAGGTCCGGGGCGCACCTGAGGGCTCAGGACTGGAAGTGCACTTGGGGAGCCACGGATGCGCTCCCAGAAGTGCGCCCAAGAGGAACAGTGTGGGGCCTGAGCAGGCGGGAAGCTTGAGGAGTGCCCACCCGCAGGGAATGGGAAGGACAGCGCAGCAGCTTGAGGAGAGGACGCTCAGAGAGTGAGCTTCAGAGGAACACCCAGGGTGTGAGGCGCGCAACCCAGGCGTGGCACAGCTGCATGGAAACCCGGGGCAAAGTGGCATGAGCAGCTGCCAGGAAGTCCAGAGGGCTCCGTGGTAGGCAGACGTTCTGTGACGGAGCCCACGGCAGGTGCAAGTGTGAGCTGAGACCTGAGTCTGCTAAGGAGAAGTGAGGACGCCCCTGATAAGGTTTTGAAGCTGAAGGCGCCACAGGAGTCTTGATGATGGGGCAAACAGTCCTGGGGGTGGGCGAGGAGAGCACACTCAGCATGCGTGCTGGTAGGAGGGCTGAGGTGGGGGGGGACAGGAAGAGAAGGTTGGGATGGTGGGGGGAGAGCTACACTCAGCATGCGTGCTGGTAGGAGGGCTGAGGTGGGAGGGGACAGGAAGAGAAGGTTGGGATGGTGGGGGGAGAGCTACACTCAGCATGCTTGCTGGTAGGAGGGCTGAGGTGGGAGGGGACAGGAAGAGAAGGTTGGGATGGTGGGGGGAGAGCTACACTCAGCATGCGTGCTGGTAGGAGGGCTGAGGTGGTGGGGGACAGAAAGAGAAGGTTGGGATGGTGGGGGGAGAGCTACACTCAGCATGCTTGCTGGTAGGAGGGCTGAGGTGGGAGGGGACAGGAAGAGAAGGTTGGGATGGTGGGGGGAGAGCTACACTCAGCATGCGTGCTAGTAGGAGGGCTGAGGTGGGGGGGACAGGGGAAGAAGTTTGGGATGGTGGTGGGGAGAGCGACACTCAGCATGCGTGCTGGCCGGTGGGGCTGAGATCAGCGGGGACAGGAGGAGAAGGCTGGGATGGTCGGGGAGGAACAGCACCTCTTTTCCTGTGTACCTTGGGCTCCAGATGAAGACTGGCTGGCAATAGGCTGGCTGAGTTGAGGATTGAAGCAGCTTGGAGAGGGCTATCTTCTCTTTCGAGGTGGCTGCCCTCTCTGTACCCTATCTCCCCGGAGAGGGACAGTTCTGTGCTATCAGTGATCTGCATAAAGAAAGATGGCTGTAAGTTTACTTGTGAATCATTAGTACATTTTTATTTTTATTATAGCCCAGTGCGCTCTCACAGCTGTGATCAAATGAGCAGACAGGAACACTCTGAACTCTAGAAATGGATGGGCTCCAGGGCCATTGACTTCTAACCATCATCCAACAGATTTTCTAAAAAAAAAAAAAAAAAAAGAATGCTTGATGTTTTATGGTTCAATCCTAGAAAAGTCATAGAATATTAAACTTTGTGACGACCTCAGAGAGCAGCTAATTCAACTTTCTCATTTTACAATTTGAGACCTAGAAAGGTCAGGTGATTTTTCCTGGGGTCACACGGCTTGACACCTGTAGTTTTCTGTGAAGTGAAAGCCTCTCAGCATCTTTCAGGAATCTACAGAAGAAAATATGTTGGAATTTTTAGGCTTCACAGAGCAACCATCACTCCCTAAAACTTTGGCTGTAGAACATTCTTGCCTCCTGCAATTTAAAGTAAGCATGGGGCCGGGCGCGGTGGCTCACGCCTGTCATCCCAGCACTTTGGGAGGCCGAGGCGGGCGGATCACGAGGTCAGGAGATCGAGACCATCCTGGCTAACACGGTGAAACCCCGTCTCTACTAAAAATACAAAAAATTAGCCGGGCACGGTGGCGGGTGCCAGTAGTCCCAGCTACTCGGGAGGCTGAGGCAGGAGAATGGCGTGAACCTGGGAGGCGGAGCTTGCAGTGAGCCGAGATCGCGCCACTGCACTCCAGCCTGGGCGACAGAGCGAGACTCCGTCTCAAAAATAAATAAATAAATAAAGTAAGCATGGGTGGCTGGTCCGGTGGCTTATGCATGTAATCCCCACGCTTGGGAGGCTGAGGTGGGAGGATGGCTTGAGCCCTAAAGTTAAAGGCTGCAGTGAGCTATGCTCACATCACTGCACTGCGGCCTGGGCAGCAGAGTGAGATCCTGTCTCTAAAGTAAATACATTAATGAAAGTAAAGTGATCAGGAGGAGTGGGTTTGTGGAAGGGAAATAGTCCATGCTGCTTCTTCCTGTCCCCCAGGGCAGGTGAAGTTAATTGGCTGGTAGGAAGGCTCAGCTTGCATTAAACTTCTCATTTTCTGGGAGGAATTGAACAGATGAGGTTTTCCTGCCTCCAAATATAAGAATGTTTTTGTGTTTTATCTTTTCGGGAGAAAAATTATCTAACTTTGTATCCACCACAGAATGACAACAGCCTCTTTAATTTTCTGGAAGAATGAACTGAAGCCATTAGTCAAGGCTGAAGGCTAGGAGGCCTGGAAAATTGCTACAGGGTAACATTTCCATGGACGATGGAACACATTATGGGTTCTTACTTATTTAAGTGGAAATACACACATAGATCGTACTTCCAAATGGTAGTTTACGTCA
This sequence comes from Homo sapiens, assembly GCF_000001405.40. Taxonomy (NCBI): domain Eukaryota; kingdom Metazoa; phylum Chordata; class Mammalia; order Primates; family Hominidae; genus Homo; species Homo sapiens. Next base: position 76,794,674 of record NC_000018.10, read on the forward strand.
CTGAAGTTTGTACTGTACACTGCCCCAGAATGTTTTATAGAAGTGGAAACTCAAAAGATTGATTGACAATATATGTTTATTCAAAGTGGTTGAAAGAAAAAAAAGATTTATTAGGTGCAATTAAACAACAGAAATCTACATTTTATTTCATTAGGTGGGGAGGATGGCTGCAGAGCTTGGAAAGGGGTCTGTGTAGTTGTGTCAGAGGAGACATATTCAACTGTCCTCTCCAATGAAGATGTGTTGCCTCTCCCCAGGAACCTGCAGGGTCATAGCGTATCTGTGCTTGGCAGTTCTTTTTATGACCAAACAAGCTTCCCACCAACGTGAAGCTCTAAGCAATAAAATGAGAAGAGAACATTTCTGAATTGCTGATCCGTGTAAGAAGTGTGCTGTATCTTCTAGTATGTTCTGAATGTAGATGTTGTTGAAACAGATTGTTACTTCTGCCTCAGTCCTTGGTGCAGATGAATAAAGAAACAATGTCAAGGACCACAGGGCTGGAGAAGGGTGGTGTAGGATCCAGGTATAAACTCAAAAAATTGGAGTCGGAGCTGTTGTGGGTAAAGGTCATACAGAAAAAAGCCCTGGGCTGCAGATCTGAACATCTCTGGAGAACAGCTCTGCTGTTCATTTTCCACGAGTTGAGCACGTGTGTTAAAATTGGACTAACACCGCTCGTATACCTCAAATGGTGCTGTGAGAATCCAATGATAACAATGAAATATTTTATTAAAAAGAGATTAAACAGCTGGGCGTGGTGGCTCACACCTGTAATCCCAGCACTTTGGGAGGTTGAGGCAGGAGTTTGAGACCAGCCTGGCCAACATGGTGAAACCCCATCTCTACTAAAAATCCAAAAATTAGCCAGGTGTGGTGGTGGGAGGCTGAGGCAGGAGAATTGCTTGAACTTGGGAGGCGGAGGTTGCAGTGAGCGGAGATAACGCCACTGTTGTCCTGTAGCCTGGGCGACAAGAGCAAAACTCTGTTGAAAGAAAAGAGAAGGGAAGGGAAGGGAAGGGAGGGGAGGGGAGGGGAAATTATAGTTTAGGAGTCATGCAGAAGGAAGGAAGGAGGGAGGGAGGGAAAGGAGGGAGGGAAAGGAAGGAAAGGAAGGAAGGAAGGAAAGAAGGAAAGAAAGAAAGAAAATTATAGTTTAGGAGTCATGCAGCTAGAGGCTACAAGATTCTGACCCTCCCTAAGCTGCTCCTAAGATCAGTGCTTGAGATATTTTACAGACCCTGCACTCAAGCTGGCACCACCCAGATTGATAAACTGGCTCATGTGATCTTGTGGTACCCCACCCAGGAACTGACTCAGTGCAAGAAGACAGCTCTGTCTCCCTTTAATTTCATCTCTGACCAATCAGCACTGCCGGCTCACTGACTTCCCCCTACCCACCAAGTTGTCCTTAAAAATTCTGCTCCCCGAATGCTCTCGGGAAACTGATTTGTGTAATAATGAAACTCTAGTCTCCTGCCCAGCCGGCTCTGCATGAATTACTCTGTCTCTATTGCAATCCCCCTGTCTTGATAAATTGACTCTGTCTAGGCAGCAGGCAAGGTGAATCCACTGGGAGGTTACATTTGAATAACACTGTCCTTATTTCAGAGCAGCTGACTGTGCTTTTTGAAATCACGCTCTTGTTAGCAACCTAACATCCCCCCAGCCCCTCACCCCCAGCCCCCATCAGTTCCTTGCTGGTCCTCACATGATCCCTTCAATGATCCCTGTCATGTGGAACTGTGTCCACTTTCTTGGGCTGCCAAGTGCTTCCTAGAAAGTCATGAGATGAGGTTGCCTGGTATCGCTACAAATTTCAGATTGGATTTAGCAAACATTTGATTTATCTAGTTATTATAAGTTGTTATTAGTATTATTTTCACTATCATATTATTTCTATTTGCTTAGGTGCTAAACTAAGTTAACTGTTTACCCCTGGAACTACTCCAGACAGTTTCAACTTGATAAAGGAAAAACTTCAGCCGAATTAAATTTAAAGGAGTTTAATTGAGCAATGAACAATTTGCGAATCAGGCAGCCCACGGAATCACAACAGGTTCGCAGAGATTCCAGTGCGTCTGCATGGTGGAAGATTTATGGACGGAAAAAGGAAAGAGATGTACAGAAAATGGAAGTGAGGTACAGAAACAGCCAGATTGGTTACAACTCAGCATTTGCCTTATTTAAACATAGTTCAGGCTGGGCGAGGTGGCTCATGCCTGTATTCCCAGCACTTTGGGAGGCTGAGGTGGGTGGATCAGCTGAGGTTGGGAGTTCGAGGCCAGCCTCACCAACATGGAGAAATCCCATCTCTATTAAAAATACAAAATTAGCCGGGTGTGGTGGTGCACACCTGTAATCCCAGCTACTTGGGAGGCTGAGGCAGGAGAATCACTTGAACCCAGGAGGCGGAGGTTGTGGTGAGCCAAGATAATGCCATTGCACTCCAGCCTGGGCAACAAGAGTGAAACTGTCAACAAACAAACAAAACAAAACAAACAAAAAAACACAGTTCAAGCAGTTGGATACATTTGATTGGCCAAAACAGGTGTAGGCTATGGTCTGTTTACATGTCCACATGCTATATAGTTCACAAGACGTAGAGAGAAATCTTTAGGCCGAACTTAAAATATGTTAGGAGGCAGCTTTAGGCTAAACTTGATTTTCAAACTTCAGGCCAGTGTCAGGATTTAGTTTAATTTGGAATCTGTGAAATTAAACAACTCTGGAGTGAACTCAAGTTAAATTCTAGATCACAGTTTCCTGAACTACTAGGTATATTCTTCACTCTGCTTACCTGGTGTAAGAAAGAATGCAAGGCCTCTAGAGGCCCTGAGGCTGCTTTTCCATCCCAACTCCAAGACTTACTGTGTCATTTTAGGCGAATATTTAACCTCTCTTAACAAACTTGTAAAATGGGAGTCATCGTACACTCTTCAAGAAATTGTGAGACAATGAAAAGAGATTAAATATGTAACAGGCCGGGTGCTATGGCTCATGCCTGTAATCCCAGCACTTTGGGAGACCAAGGCACGTGGATTGCTTGAGGTCAGGAGTTCAAGACCAACCCGGCCAACATGATGAAACCCCAACTCTACTAAAAATACAAAAATTAGCCAGGCGTGGTGGTACATGCCTGTAGTCTCAGCTACTTGGGAGGCTGAGGCAGGAGACTCGCTTGAGCCCGGGAGGCAGAGGTTGCAGTGAACTGAGACCATGCCACTGCACTCCAGCCTGGGCAACAGAATGAGACTCTGTCTCAATAAACAACAACAACAACAACAACAACCTGTAACAGTGTCTGGTAGCAAATGATCGATGCCAACCTTTTTCCTTCTTCATCACCCTTGCATAGCTTGCACCCTATCTGCTGGTGTTTCATCCTTGGCAGCTGAGAACAAAAGGTAGGAACAGCAACAAATTCAAAAGCTGAAACATCGTTTCTATGACTTGAAAAGTGTGTGTTTGGTAAGAATCAAGAGAGAGAAATACTTCCCAATTCAGAGACCAGTGTTACCCTGATACAAAGACCCAAAAAACATGTTCCAAGAAAGACAACAACAAAAGAACAGGCTGAGAGCCCTCATGAATATGAATGCAAAACTTCTTAACACAATTTTAGCAAATCCAGCATTCATGCATGATAGAAACACTCACAAACTAGGAAAGGAAGGGCATGTCTTCAGTAGGATAAAGGGCTTCTATAAAAAAAACTACAGCCAGTATAATAATTAATGGTCAAAGACTCATTTTTCTTTCTAATAGCAGGAAAGCAAAACAAATATTTCCTGTTACCATTTCTATCTATCATTATACTAGAGGTTTTAGCCAGTGCAATAAAGCAAGACAAAGAAATTAAAGGCTCCAGTTTTGGGGAAAAAGTAAAACTCTTTATTTGTAGAAAATACATTTCTTTCTTTCTTTCTTTTCTTTTCTTTCTTTCTTTTTTTTTTTTTTTTTTTTTGAGATGGAGTCTCACTGTTGTTGCCCAGGCTGGGGTGTAGTGGCGCGTGATCTTGGCTCACTGCAACTTCTGCCTCCCAGGTTCAAGCAATTCTGCTGCCTCAGCCTCCCAAGTAGCTGGGATTACAGGCACCCATCACCACACCTGGCTAATTCTGTATTTTTAGTAGAGACGGGGTTTCACCATATTGGTCAGGCTGCTCTTGAACTCCTGATCTCAGGTGATCCACTCAAACTTTTTGTGTATGTTTGTTAATTTTAGAATTAAAAAATCGAAAAATATTGACCAAGCACATATGAGAAAGGACCAAATTACAAAGACAAAAAATAATTAAATCATCAGAGCAAATGGAGAGGTTTAACGGAAGACATAGTAAAAGATAAAATTGGTGAATTACAAAATAAATCTAATAAAGTTACCCAGAATGCAGTATAGAGAGAAAAAGAGAAAATATGAAAAAAAAGTTCAGAAACTTGGAGAATACAATGACAAGGCCTGTCATATGGGTGTTGGAATTTCAGAGGAAAGAGAAAGAATAAGGCTAAGATTATATTTGTAGAAATGTTTCTAAGATGATTCCTCAGAAATAATTTCTGAGAGGCAAGGTGTGGTGGCTCATGCCTGTAATCCCAGCACTTTGGGAGGCTGAGGCGGGTGGATCACCTGAGGTTGGGAGTTTGAGACCAGCCTGACCAACATGGTGAAAACCTGTCTCTACTAAAAATACAAAAATTAGCCGGGCGTAGTGGCGGGCACCTGTAATCCCAGCTATTCAGGAGGCTGAGGCAGGAGAATCGCTTGAACTTGGGAGGCGGAGGTTGCAGTGAGCTAAGATCACGCCATTGTACTCCAGCCTGGGGCAACAGAGTGAGACTTTGTCTCAAAATAATAATAATAATAATAATAATAATAATTATTATTATTATAATTCTTGAGAATTTCTAATGAATAAGTAAATGGAATAAATAAAAAGAACCCACAGTTAGGCACCATAATGAGTTATCAAGCACCAACAACTAAGAGAAGCCTCCAAGGCAGCCACTGAAGACGATGGAGATGTCCAAATGAACAAAGATTATCTATTTTCATCACCCACAACAGAGGCAGAGCTAAAAATGGAATATTGTTAGTGGGCTCAAAAGAAAATAATTGTGTACCTAAAATACTATATGTAGAAAAAAAATATATTTTAATATTTAGAGCGCCGGGCGTGGTGGCTCTTGCCTGTAATCCTAGCACTTTGGGAGGTCAAGGCAAGCGGATCACCTGAGGTCACGAGTTCAAGACCAGCCTGACCAACATGGTGAAACCCCATCTCTACTAAAAATACAAAAAAAATTAGCCAGGTGTTGTGGTGCGTGCCTGTAATCCCAGCTACTCGGGAGGCTGAGGCAGGAGAAGTGCTTGAACCCAGGAGGTGGAGGTTGCAGTGAGCCGAGATCGCACCATTGCACTCCAGCCTGGCTGACGAGAGCAAAACTCCATCTCAAAAAAAAAAAAAAAAAAAAAAAGAATTAGAGCAAAATACGGGTGCAGTGGCTCACACCTGTAATCCCAGCACTTTGGGAGGCGGGGAGCTTGAGCTCAAGAGTTCATGACCAGCGTGGGCAACATAGTGAGACCTTGTCTCTAATAAAATTTTTAAAACGTTAGCTGGGCATGGCAGTGCATGCCTGTAGTTCCAGCTACTTGGGAGGCTGAGGCAGAAGGATAACTTGAGCCCAGGAGATGGAGGATACTAGGCTATGATTGTGCCACTGCACTCCAACCTGGGCAACAGAGTGAGATCTAGTCTCAAAAAAAAAAAAAAAAAAAAAAGAATTAGGGTAAGATAAAGACATTTTCAGTTAAAAAAAATGAGTGTTTGCCACTAGACATCCTCACTAAGAAAACTTGTAAAAAATATACCTGTATATCAGGCAGAAGGAAGATGATGCCAGATGAAGGTCAGACACACAAAAATGTAAGGATGAAAAACTGGCCAATACTTAGGTCTAAACAAACAAACAAAACAAATTAGACTACATAAAATAATCCCTTCTGCAGTTTATGTATTTTTTTTTAAGGGGCCATGCTAGTCTTCTCTGTATCGTTCCAATTTTAGGTGAATGCAAAAGTAATTGTGGTTTTTGCATTGTTGGAATTTGCTGTTTGATATTGGAATATGTTCTTAAATAAATATGTCATACATCATTTTAACGGGCATTTCTCGCTTTATTTTTTTTGCTAATGACATTACTTGCTGTTTATTTTACGTTTATTTTAGACTATGGAAATGATGTTAGACAAAAAGCAAATTTGAGCAATTTTCTTATTTGAGGTCAAAATGCAGAAGAGACAACTGGCAACATCAACAATTCATTTGGCCCAGAAACTGCTAGGGCACACACAGTGCAGTGGTGGTTCGAGAAGTTTTGCCAATAGATGCCGGCCTTCAGAAGTTGACAGTGATCAATTGAGGGCAGTCATCAAAGCTGATCCTCTTACGCTACAGGAGAAGTTGCCAAAGAACTCAACGTTGGCCATTCAATGGTCGTTTGGCATTTGAAGCAAATTGGAAAGATAAAAAGCTCAATAAGTGGGTGCCCCATGAGCTGAGCGAAAATTTTTAAAAATCATCATTTTGAAGTGTCATCTCTTATTCTACATAACAAGAACAAACCATTTCTCAATTCTATTGTGATGTGTAATGAAAAGTGGATTTTAAGTGCCGGAGCAGTGGCTCATGCCTGTAATCTCAGCACTTTGGGAGGCTGAGGCGGGAGGATAACTTGAGGTCAGGAGTTCAAGACCTGCCTAGCCAACATGACGAAACCCCATCTCTAAAAACATTAGCTGGGTGTGATGGCGGGGCCCTGTAGTCCCAGCTACTTGGGAGGCTGAGGCAGGAAACTGCTTGAACCCGGGAGGCAGAGGTTGCAGTGAGCCGAGATCGCGCCACAGCACTCCAGCCTGAGCGACAGAGCGAGACCCCTCTCCCTGCCTCCCTCGCCCCCCAAAGAAGAAAAAAGAAAGCACAGCCTTCCGTTGAGGCCTCTGGGCGATCCAGTAGGATAGGTCTAGGCGCCGACTGCGTGGGGACCACGCACGACCGTGACAGGCGCAGTCTTGAGGACACTGGCTTTGAGAGCAGCTGAGGGACTGGGCAAAGAAGGGGCTGCAGGTATGGGGGTCAGGCCAGCCCAGGGGAAGTGCGCACGGGTGTGCGGGGGGGTCATTCAGGGCCCTGACGGAGCTAAGGGGAGGATTTAGCCCTGAGTCGGCTCTGGGGTGTGGGGTGGCGGGATGGGGTGCCCTCCCCGGGGCCAGGGCGAGCAGGGTGCGGGGCTCCTGGAGGCTAGCAGGATTAAGGTCGTTTTTAGGATGAGTGAGCTCTGCAGGTTCCCTGCTTTCAACCCGGAAGGAACCTGGGCCCACGTGGGAGTGGGATTGGGGGGTGAGACCCGCAGCCCACGGAAGGGGCGCTGAGACGCGCGGCCGCGAGGGTCAGGGGTGCCCCACGGGAGCGTGCGGCTCATATTATTAGGAAGGTGTCCAGTGCGTCGTGCCCCGGCCGGGCGCCAGGTGGCGGCAGAGGCCGGTGCGGCGCAGCTTCTTCGGCCGCGGGACAGCGGTGCCCCCAGGGTAGGAGGCTGGGGCTGGGCTGGAGCAGAGCCGGAGGGAGGAGTGCGGCCAACAAAAGACCATCCGCGAGCGCCTGAACTTGGGTGTGGAGTTGTATTTTAGGATATGTTAAAAAGTTAGGAATATTAAGTAATTGGCACTTGGCCGGGAGCGGTGGCTCACACGTGTTATCCCAGCACTTCAGGAGGCCGAGGTGGGCGGATCACCTGAGGTTGGGAGTTTGAGAACATCCTGGCCAACATGGCGAAATCCTATCCCTACTAAAAATACAAAAACTTAGCTGGGCATGGTGGTGCGCGCCTGTAGTCCCAGCTACTAGGGAGGCTGAGGCAGGAGACTCCGTCGCAAAAAAAAAAAAAAAAAAAAAAAAAGGCACTTAATCCCAGACTGAAACCCTCTTTTCAGACTCTACATTAAGATCTTAAAGAACTTAGGCCCAGGCAGGCGGGTCACTTGCAGTCAGGAGTTTGAGACCAGCCCGGGCAACATGGCAAAACCTGTCTCTACTAAAAATACCAAAATTAGCCGGGCTTGGTGGTGCGAGCCTGTAATCCCAGCTACTCCGGAGGCTGAGGCAGGAGAATTACATGAACCCGGGAGGCAGAGGTTGCAGGGAGCCGGGATCAGGCCGCTGCATTCCAGCCTGAGCGACAGAGCGAGACTGTCTCAAAAAATAAATAAATAAAATAAAATAAAATAAAGAGCTTAAAGAACTTAAGAAAACACCAAATACTTCAGAGGTACCAGTGGCAATGTAATTAATGAGGATATTCAAGGAAGGTGACATAATTGCCAAGGTAAAAATAATTAAACAATTTCCAAAAGTCTATTTCAGTGAAGGAAACATTTGTCTTTAAGGGAAACATCAATGAAAATTATGTTTATGGCAAAAATGAGCCCTTTCTGCAAGCTTCATTTAGAAAATTGTGGGCATAATTACCATTTTACACAAAATAACTCTGTAGAAAGCTTTTTGAAATAAGCTTCTATTGAAATAAAATGCCAATTAATTACCCATTTAACTTATTAAATGAGAACTATAGGGTGCTAATTTTTAAATATTTTTTAAGTTGCTTTGAAATAATACCTTTTCTTTGAGACTTGAGAACATATATAGCTAATATGAACTGATGAAACAAAGATTTTTAATTACTTCTTTTATTATTTACCTATATATTCTGTATCAGTTAATTTCATTGCTTAAATTATTAATGTCTAATATGCCACTTGAAGCATTCATATTCTGAAAATGATGTAAGTTACACATGTAGGTTGGCCGAAAGTATTATATACTAGGACACAGCGGAGTTTGGGAGTGTCTGCTGCCTGTCCAGGAAGCTGCAGGTTTATGAGTTGTAAATGTAGGAGAATTCAGTTCAGTATAAATAGTTTAGCTTCCTGTTATATTAGGATAGGCAGTTAAGCTTATGTTTTTGCCATAGACAAATTATCATTATCTGTCAGGCCTACAGTTTAGGTTTTGACGTAACTCTTCAAGTACAAATGGAGAATGCATCCCCAGCAGCACTGCAGTCCTCGTTCACACCGAGTTTCGGTACAGTCAGGGGTTTTGAAGTCAGTACCACGGGAGACGCAGACGGAGGATGAATGAAAGGCACAGAAAAATCCTAAGGTAGAAATGGGGGGAACGGAAAAGCAGACAGACACTAGAGGGCGCAGGAGGAAAGTGGGTCGGAGTCCTGGAAGAGGAGGCGGGCTGGGTGAAGGAAGACAGTGAAGAGGGCACTCTGAAAAACCCATCCGAATCTTTCAGTGTAGGTAGGCACCACCCACAGCATGTTGTCATTGCAAACTGGTTCCTTCCATACGTCCCGAAAGGCTCTCCATGGTAGCTTACATCTCTCTATTTGACACTTGATGGCTTTCTTAAGGTATTTAGGTCCATTTACTAAAAATGACTCATCACTTGTTAATTAAATAAGGTTTATACATTTTTTTCATTTTAATTTCAAACATAGGAGATAAAGAAAAAAGGTGCTTGTGGCCAGGCACGGTGGCTCACGCCTGTAATCCCAGCTGAGGGGAGGCCGAGGCGGGAGGATCACCTGAGGTCAGGAGTTTGAGACCAGCCTGGCCAACATGGTGAAACCCTGTCTCTACTAAAAATACAAAAGTTAGCCAGGCGTGGTGGTCCTAATCCCAGCTGCTCGGGAGGCTGAGGTGGGAGAATCTCTTGAGCCTGGGAGGCAGAGGTTGCAGTGAGCCAAGATTGCGCCACTGCACTCTAGCCTGGGCAACAGAGCGAGACTCCATCTCAAAAAGAAAAAAAAAAAAAAGAAAAAAAGAAAAAAGAATAAAAGTGCTTGTTCACCCGTACTTTGTGCATGTCAAGTGATATTGAAAACCAAATCTGTAGGCTGTGCCTGGTGGCTGACGCCTATAATCCCAGCACTTTGGGAGGCCAAGGCGGGCGGATCACCTGAGGTTGGGAGTTCAAGACCAGCCTGACCAACACAGAGAAATCCCATTTCTATTAAAAATACAAAATTAGCCCAGCGTGGTGGTGCATGCCTGTAATCCCAGTTACTCGGGAGGCTGAAGCAGGAGAATCGCTTGAACCCTGGAGGCAGAGGTTGCAATGAGCCAAGATCGCGCCATTGCACTCTAGCCTGGGCATCAGGAGTGAAAAAAAAAAAAAAAAGAAAACCAAATCTGCAGACGAACTTGAGTGCCTGTGTAACAGGTTGTGTTGTCTGTTGTCTATTGTGTTGTGGACTTGTGTTGTCCATATGCCCTTTATGCAAGTTATTTACCAAAATAGCGCTTTTTGAATCGTGTTTTCCATTTACTATTTCATAAGACATAGTATGTATCTATATTATAAAGTTAAGAACAGCAGAAAAATGTATTTTCATTTTACAAGAATGACTTCAATTTAAGTTAGTTTTTATTCACCAAAATCCATAATGTTCCATGTGTCACAATAAAACAAAGCAGACTTTGCCAGCGTGAATCCACTTTTACTGAAGATGAGGGTCATTCATGGACCTAGAGGTTACAATAGTCAAAGTGTTCTGCACGAGAACAAACACACAGATGTCTTTGAAATGTGATGCAAAAGTGCAGACTGCTGCCTCCTACTGATGAAAAGGAAATGAGTGAGATGCTATGAGTCACTAATTGTGAACTAGTCAGTCGACAACTCCAAGAGCCCACTTCATGCTGGTGACGAGGTCCACCAACGATGGTCTGGCATGTGGGGGCCTTAGTTGAAAGACAGGAGAGGTGGATCAGAGACAGCTAGAGGAGCAGGCATTTCCCGAGTGCTGTAAAGGGGGACTCATCCCGCTAGGAGAATGTCTATTAGGGAATTCAGACCAAGTTCTGGGAAGGAATCCACAAGGAAGTCTCCGGGAGCAAGGAAGAAGGGGAAAGGAGAGGCAGCTGGGAAAATGCGAGACACACACATCCACCCCTTCCCCAAAACCCTGGCTTACACACTCGTGAGAGCCTCCCGTGGCTCAGGGAAGTCTTAGGGGGTCTTAGGAAACATCACACATTTCACTTTCATCTGTCCACCAGTTAGCTACACTCGGGCTTCCAGATCATGAATTTTTTTTTCTTTTTAAAGGGAGTCTTGTTCTATAGCCCAGGCTGGAGTCCAGTGGTGTCATCTCGGCTCACTGCAACCTCAGCCTCCCAGGTTCAAGCGATTCTCCCACCTCATCCTCCCGAGGAGCTGGGACTACAGGCACGCGCCACCATGCCCAGCTAATTTTTGTATTTTTCGTAGAGACAGGGGTTTCACCATGTTGGCCAGGCTTGTCTTGAACTCCTGACCTCCTGATCTGCCCGCCTCAGCCTCCCAAAGTACTGGGATTACAGACATGAGCCGCCGCGCCTGGCCAACAGGTGTTTCTTAAAAGCAGAAGCAGAGAGAGGGCAGGAGAGAACAAACAGGAGGGGAGGGATGTCTTCCGGACACTGGGCTCTCTCCTCAGGAGAGAATGAGGCCTGAGGTGGGCACAGGGCCCTCTGGGTGTGTAACAGGCCCAGGGCAGCCTCGCCAGCCTCCATTGCTTGTCCATAAGCAAAGCATAACATTATGTGTAAAAACAAACATCATCACAAGATAGGCCAGGCACCGCCTTGCGACAGCAGCCTTGTGGCTACTGGATGTGTGTGGTTGACCTCAGTAAGGTAGGCGCCCTTCTCTGCAGGCCTGTCCAGACAGCTCCGCACCATGCTGCTCAGGATCAGGCCTGCAGTTCCACGAACTGGCCCCCTTGTGGGTTGCCTTCAGGAGCATACCTCTGACTCAGTGTCCCAACCTCCTCTGCCCTGCCCTGCCCGGGGCCCTCATGTGCACACACCCAGGATCTGCCCAGGGCCCTCTCTGCTCAGCCCACAAATACTGCTTCGTTCCCCTGGCTGACTGGCTGCACCTCCAGGTAAAGCAATGCTCTCAGGCCCCAGCCAGGTCATTCTTTACGGGGTTATTCTATGTACTGTGGGAGGTATAGCAGCACCGCTGGTCTTTACGATGACCGGTTGTGACATGTGAGCCTCAGTCCTCGCTATATCAGGGAGTAGCTTCCTCCGACTATCGGAATCACCCTTGCCTGATGGCATCTTCTCAGCCCCGTGCTTAGTAAGTCCCCACATTCCTTTACAGGTGTTCATTTAATTCCCTTTGGGTTGATTCTCAATAGTTTCTTTCTCTAAGAGTAACCTGATTTCTGACCCATACAATGACCACTGTGGTCCAGCGGACCATTTGCCTTTCCCACTTTTCCGTCCCCAACACGCACACGCTCCACCCCCTTGCATAAAATAACAGTAAGGAAGAAGCAGAATGAAATTCCACCCCTGCATCAGCTACTGGAGTTGGGGCTGAGTTTTGTCTGATTAAGAACTGCCGGATCAGTGGCTCACGCCTGTCATCCCAGCACTTTGGGAGGTCGAGGCGGGCAGATCACCTGAGGTCAGGAGTTCGAGACCAGCCTGGCCAACATGGCGAAACCCCGTCTCTACTAAAATGCAAAAATTAGCTGGGCGTGGTGGCACACATCTGTAATCCCAGCTACTCGGGAGGCTGAGACTGGATAATCGCTTGAACCCGGGAGGCAGAGGTTGCAGTGAGCTGGGATTGCGCCACTGCACTCCAGCCTGGGAAACAAGAGTGAAACTCTGTCTCAAAAATAATAATAATAATAAAAATAAATAAAGAAATAAAATCAATCACCGGGTAAATCCCCATGGGGATGCACTGCAGAGGAACCTGGGTGTTGGCGTGGCTCCGAAGAGGACCGAGCTAGGTGTAGCTGGAAGGGTCAACAAGAGGAAGGCATGAAGGGTCGATGTCAGCAGAAATACAACCTGGACAATCACCCTGGTGGCTGTGGTATGGATTGCGTGTCTATTTTATTTATTTTGTTTTGAGACAGAGTCTCACTCTGTCGTCCAGGCTGGAGTGCAAAAGCATGATCTTGGCTCATTGCAACCTCCACCTCCCAGGTTCAAGCGATTCTCCTGCCTCAGCTGGGATTGCAAGCCTGTGCCAAGCCCGGCTAATTTTTGTATTTTTGGTAGAGACTGGGGTTTCACTACATTGGCCAGGCTGATCTCGAACTCCTGACCTCAGGTGATCCACCCGCACTGGCCTCCCAAAGTGCTGGGATTACAGGCGTGAGCCACTGTGCCTGGCCAGGTTGTGTGTTTTCTCTGTTGGAGGCCCGCCCGGCATGCGCAGGACCCTCTTTAAGGCCTTCCACCTCTGCTCCTACATCTTCCACCGGGTTTGTTACAAATAGTCCCAGATCTATTGTACATCTTCTCATACTTTTTGCTATTGAAACTTCTTACAAAGTTTTCTCACCTGCCAGAGGGCAGAGAAACAAATTGTCATGAATGTTCTAGGACCTAGAACAGAGCTTGAGGCAGGGAAAGTATTCACAATGTTGTTGGCTGCAGTCAGGAATAATAAATCAATGTTGAGTGGATAAACTAATGAATAGTTTTGTTTGGTTTTATGCCAAAAAATAGTAATCTCCTGGGTAGCCGGGTACAGTGGCTCATACCTGTAATCTCAATGCTTTGGGAGGCCGAGGTGGGAGGATCCCTTGAGCTCAGGAGTTCAAGACCAGACTGGACAACATGGTGAAACCACATGGCTGCAAAACATCCAAAAATTAACCAGGCATGGTGGTGCGCATCTGTTTTCTCAGCTACTCAGCCTACTTGGGGAGGCTGAGGCGGAAGAATCACCTGAACCTGCACTCCAGCCTGGTTGACAAAACAAGATCCTGTCTCAAAAAAAAAAAAAAAAAAAAAAAAGAAGTGATCTCCCATCACCCTCAAAGAATTCCAGATAAGAGCAACAGGTCAGCCCGATCACACTCCTCCAGGTATCTTTGAGTCTCAGGGCGGTGGTTGCCATGCTTGAGGGAGGGACGAGGAAGCTGGTTGTTTTCACCACCAGTAAGACCCTGGGAGGCCTGCCGTGGCTTTGATTGCAGTTCCGACAGATCCTTCCTTCCCAGCTGGTGCACACCCAACGCACCCCTGCAGAGAGAGCCAAGGATCCCCCCACAGGCATGTTTGTGGAGGAGCGTGCACAGTCCTAACGGGTGGCCTGTGGACTCCTGCAGGTCGGCTCCCAGAAAATCCCAGTCTTACAACCATGAAAAGGAAGTAGGATTCACATACTGTAAACGGTAGGCAGGCCCTTGGTAATGCTGGGGCTGCTAAGTTTTGAAAACCTAAGAGTTTTATTTTCTAAAGCAGAATACATTCCATTAACTTGACATCCTTTAAAAAGTTATTAAGGCCGGGCATGGTGGCTCACGCCTGTAATCCCAGCACTTTGGGAGGCCGAGGCGGGCGGATCATGAGGTCAGGAGATCGAGACCATCCTGGCTAACACAGTGAAACCCCGTCTCTACTAAAAAATACAAAAAAAATTACCCGGTCATGGGTGGCAGGCGCCTGTAGTGCCAGCTACTCGGGAGGCTGAGGCAAGAGAATGGCGGGAACCGGGGAGGCGGAGCTTGCAGTGAGCTGAGATTGCGCCATTGCACTCCAGCCTGGGCGACAGAGGGAGACTCTGTCTCAAAAAAAAAAAAAAAAAAAAAAAAATAGCTGGGCGTGGTGACACGTGCCTGTAGTCCCAGCTACTCAGGAGGTTGAGGCAGAATTGCTTGAATCTGGGAGGCAGAGGTTGCAGTGAGCTGAGACCGTGCCATTGCACTCCAGCCTGGGTGACAGAGCGAGACTCCACCTAAAAAAAAAAAAAAAGAAAAAAAAGGTTATTCCATGGAGGTATTTTAATTATGCAATAAAAGGCAGAAGCGACTTTACTGCTACAACTCCCAGAGCAATTGTTTGCATGTAGGTTTTTTTCCAGTCTCCAAGGGGTCTTGATTTTCGAAGCCACTATCACCCCAGCAAACACCTGTGAAGCTGAAGGCATCTCTTTCCGCTGTTCTCTCCCATGCACTGCCCTTGATCAGCCTTCAAAATCCAGGGTCCTTGGGGTCACCGGGCTCTGGAAGGGAGCCCACAGGTTGATCTCTCCAGTTCCACTTACCTCTCCCCCTCGTATCGTAGTATTTGCTGCCTCTCCCTTTCCCACAAAACCTGCAAGTTTCTTAAGACTGGGGGTGGGCTTTTTTTCATCATTGTATCCCATTCCCACTGCATGGCATTCCACGGTATGTGTCCCATTAATCTCAAATGAAAAGCATTCTTCTTCTTTCCCCACAGAGGCCAGTTTAGGAAACAGGAGCCCTGGCATTGTCATGCCCTTGGGGGAATTGTGGATAAGGACTGGGTTAAGGATGAAATGACTTTTTTCACTTTTGTGATCTCTGTAGGCTTCCCAGGGGTGCTGAGCACTAGTGCTGAGTGCAGAGATGAGCGATGCCGGAGACCATCATCTCCTCCACCTAACTCGGCTTCCCAGGGGTGCTGAGCACTAGTGCTGAGTGCAGAGATGAGCGATGCCGGAGACCATCATCTCCTCCACCTAACTCGGCTTCCCAGGGGTGCTGAGCACTAGTGGTGAGTGCAGAGATGAGCGATGCCGGAGACCATCATCTCCTCCACCTAACTCGGCTTCCCAGGGGTGCTGAGCACTAGTGGTGAGTGCAGAGATGAGCGATGCCGGAGACCATCATCTCCTCCACCTAACTCGGCTTCCCAGGGGTGCTGAGCACTAGTGGTGAGTGCAGAGATGAGCGATGCCGGAGACCATCATCTCCTTCACCTAACTCGGCTTCCCAGGGGTGCTGAGCACTAGTGGTGAGTGCAGAGATGAGCGATGCCGGAGACCATCATCTCCTTCACCTAACTCCATTTGGGCTCCTCGGGGTACTTTTTCCTTTTCCCCTCTTTTTTTCTTCTCTCCATTCTAGGCTCTGGGTGCTTTTTCAACTAGGTCCTGACTTCTGGATTTCTGTGTTATCTCTGTATTGTCCAATTTTAGCAAGAGTCCTGCTCAGCCAGTTCAGCTACACCCCCGACCCTCGATATCTGACAGGTTCCTCATCCTCCACCCTCCGCCAGGCCACGTCTGATCTCCCTGGCCTGCCCTCTGCAGGTCCTGTGAGGTTGGCTTAACCAGAGTCCTCCCTCTGATGTCTCCTCTTAGTAAGTTTCCATCCAGTGACCTTCCACCTTCTCCTTAGCTATAAATACCCACTTTTTCTTGTTGTATTTACAGTTGGGACCAATCTCTATGCCCTTTTGCAAAGTGGTCCCTACTCAAGGTCCCTACAAAGGGGTCCCTTGAGTAAAGATCATGACCCTGCTTGACTAAAGCCTTCCTTATCGTCTTTAAGAAGTGTCATGAATATATATTTATATATATATATATATATTTCTTGAGACAAGTTCTCACTCTGTCGCCCAGGCTGGCATGCAGTGGTACGATCACGGCTCACTGCAGCCTTGACCTCTTGGGCTCAAGCGATCCTCTCGCCTCAGTCTCTCAAGATGGGACCAAAAGCACTTGCCACCACGCCTGGCTAATTTTTTTGAAAAAATAGTCAGGGTCTCATTATGTCGTTCAGGCTGGTGCCCAACTCTTGGGCTCAAGAGAGCCTCCTACCTCGGCCACCCAAAGTGTTGGGATTACAGGTGTGGGCCACTGCACTGGGCCTGAATTTTTTTTTTTTTTTTTTTTGAGACTGAGTCTTGTTCTGTTGCCCAGGCTGGAGTGCAGGGGCATGATCTCGGCTCACTGCAACGTCTGCCTCCCAGGTTCAGGTGATTCTCGTGCCTCAACCTCTCATGTAGCTGGGATTACAGGCATGTGCCACCATGCCCGACTAATTTTTGCATTTTTAGTAGAGAAGGGGTTTCACCATGTTGGACAGGCTGGTCTCGAACTCCTAAGCTCGAGCCACCCTACTGCCTTGGCCTCCCAAAGTGCTGGGATTATGGGCGAGAGCCACCATGCTGGCCGGTATCTATTTCACAGAAGCCTTTGATGATATGCTAAGAAAAAGGGGTGGATGGTTCATGCTTCCTCTTTTTAGACCACATAGGGTAAGTTCCTGACATTGTCACAGCATTTGTAAACTGTCATGGCATTGGTGGGAGTGTAGCAGTGAGGACGACCAGAGGTCACTCTCGTTGCCATCTTGGTTTTGGTGGGTTTTAGCTGGTTTCTTTACTGCAACCTGTTTTATCAGCAAGCTCTTTACAACCTGTATCTTTTTTTTTTGTCGGAGACGAAGTCTTGCTTTTGTCCACCAGGCTGGAGTGCCACGGTGAGATCTCGGCTCACTGCAACCTCTGCCTCCTGGGTTCAAGTGATCCCAGGAGGGGATCTGGGATTCTGGGCTCTCAATTCCATTCTATTAGACTGTATATCTGTCTTTGTCAGTGCCACCATTTTCGTTACTGTAGCTTATTCCTTATTATTTTTTTTCTTTTCAGAGATGTGGTCTCACCATATTGGCTTGGCCAGGTTGGCCTTGAACTCCTGGCCTCAAGCATTCCTCCTGCCTCGGCCTCTCAAAATGCTAGGATTTACAGGCATAAGCCACTGCACCTGCTTTTTTTTTTTTTTTCTCAAGAGACACAGCCTCACTATGTTGCCTCAAACTCCCGGGCTCAAGTGATCCTCCCACTTCAGCCTCCCAAGTAGCTGGCATTTTAAGCATACACCACTGCTCGGAGCTAATTACTGTAGCTTTGTAGCAGGTTTTGAAATCAAGAAACACGAGGCTTTCAATTGTATCCTTCTTTTTCAAGAACGACAGTTATTTGGGTCCAACTACATAACTTTTGAAAGACTCAGAAACTGGCAGAGCTAAGCCAGACCAACAAGCAAGTTTTCAACATCAAACTTCCTTTGCTTTTAATGCTTTTTAGTGATTTTAAGGAGTGTGAAGGTTAATTTTATGTATTTCTGGGTGTGTCTGTGAGGGCATATGCAGAAGAGATTAGCATTTGGGTTGGTTGACGGGCTAACGAAACTCCACCCTCAGTATCGAGGGTGGGCATCATCTCACCGGTTGAGGGCCCACACAGAAGAACAAAAAGGGTTGAGAAGCGCCAATTTGCCTTTTTACCTCAAGCTGTGACTTCCCTTGTGCCCTGGACATTGAGCTCCTCCTGGTTCTTAGCCCTTTGGCCTCAGAATGAATGACTGTACTGGCATTCCTGGTTTTCCAGCTTGCAGACGGGAGACATCTCAGCCTCCATAATCATGTGAACCAATTCTTTAATAAGTCTCCTCTTTTATATCTTTTATATAGCTTATTGGTTCTGTTTCTCTGGGGAACCCCAACTAATATAGTGAGGTATTCATTCATTCCCTTAAAAAATAATTCGGGTCTTCCCCACTCAAGATGGAATGAAACGGACTGAATTTAACCCAATTTCTAAAAAAACTAGACAGAACACATGAAAAAATCACTGTCATGACTTTAGACATCAGACAGCAAGGAACATTGATGTCTGAGAGACAGTAAACAAGTGGTACCTTCGGGGCTGATGCCTATCTTCATTATCTTTTTTTGAGACAGTCTCGCTCTGCCGCCCAGGCTGGAGTGCAGTGGCACAATCTCGGCTCACTGCAACCTCCGCCTCCTGGGTTCCAGCGAGCATATCCAGCTTATTTGTTGTATTTTTAGTAGAGACGGGGTTTCACCATGTTGGCCAGGCTGGTCTCGAACTCCTATACTCAAGTGATCTGCCCACCTCGGCCTCTCCCTCAGTGCTGGGATTACAGGCATGAGCCAACATCCGGCTGTAAGTTTATTATCTTGATTGGAGTGGTAAGTAGTTTCATGGGTGTATACATATGCTAAAATGTATCAAATTGTAAGTTTTAGATATGTGTGGCTTGTTGCATCTCATTTATGCCTCAGTAAAGCTGTTAAAAAATTAGAAATACTCTAGATATTATGAAGAAAGAGAGAAGCCTGCAGCACCAACCAGGCAGAAATATAATAGCTACAAGTGGTCCTAACTGGGGAGGAAGGGAAGTTTACCTTTGTATCCTTTACCATGTATCCTTTTATCAATAAGAGGAAAATTGATTAATATATTAGATTGAATCAAGACTTTATTTTTTTTAGACAGTCTCTCTGTGTTGCCCAGGCTCGATGGAGTGCAGCGGCAGGACCTCGGTTCACTGCAACCTCGACCTCCAGGCTCAGGTGATTGATTTCCCACCTCAGCCTCCCTAGTAGCTGGGATTACAGGTGTGCACCACCATGCCTGGCTAATTTTTGTATTTTTAGTAGAGATGGGGTTTGCCATGTTGCCCAGGCTAGTCTCGAACTCCTGGACTCAAGTGATCCACCTGCCTCAGCCTCCCAAAGCGCTGGGATTACAGGCATGAGCCACCAGGCCTGGCCAACTTAACTGAAAGTGACTTCAGGACATCAATATCTAAAAGTCATCAGCAAAATAATGGGATTTTTGTGAGTTTTCATCCTGGAAAGGAAGGACACCCACTGAAGGGGCTGAGCGAGGTGGTGGGAGTGGCTCTGATGTTGTACTGTCACCAGCAACACTCACGGGAGTCTCATCAATGATCAATGTGCTCGCTACTTGCCACTCAATAGATGCTTTACATGTTTTATCGCGTAAAATCCTCACAAAATGCTGGTATGTTCCATCTTCTCTTACTAGAGAAGGGGTCAACAGGGAAGAAGCAGGGAAACTGGTGGGGACACCAATGAAAGGGAGCAGGGCGTGGCACCCCAAAATATGCCATGTTGGCATATTAGTTATTTCAAGCTGAAGACAGTTTACATAGCTATAAAAAAGAATTAAGTCATGTCCTTCGCAGAAACATGGATACAGCTGAAGGCCATTATCCTAAGCGAATTAATGCAGGAATAGAAAACCAAATACCGGTCCAGCGCAGCGGCTCACGCCTGTAATCCCAGCACTCTGAGAGACTGAGGTGGGCGGGCCACCTGAGGTCAGGAGTTCGAGACCAGGCTGGCCAACATGGTGAAACCCTGTCTCTACTAAAAATAAAAAAAACCCCAAAACAAACAAAAAAACAAAAACAAAAAGAAAAAAACAATTGCTGGGTATGGTGGTGCATGCCTGTGATCCCAGCTACTTGGGAGGCTGAGGCAGGAGAATTGTTTGAACCCAGGAGCCGGAGGTTGCAGTGAGCCAAGATTGTGCCACTGCACTCCAGCCTGGGCAACAGAGCAGGACTCCATAAAAAAAAAAAAAAAAAAAAAAGAAAAGAAAAAGAAAACCAAATACCATGTTCTCACTTATAAGTGGGAGCTAAACACTGGGTACAATGGACATAAAAATGGCAACAAGAGACACTGAGGACTACTAGAGGGGGAGAGAAGGAGGGGGTTGTAAGTACCATGCTTACTGTAATACCTGCATGATGGGATCATTTGTACCCCAAACCTCAGCACCACACAATATACCCATGGAACGAACCTGCACATGTGCCTCCTGAATCTAACATAATTGAATTTTTTTTAAAGGCACCTGAATTTCTGAAATCCCTATTCTGACTAAAAGCAGAACCTCCATAAAGAACTCAATTGTCATAAATCCCCTCCCAAAAGCAACTCTAATCTCAGTGGTGAAGAGCCAGCACCACACTGAGACATTGACACAAGACTATCAGAGACGGAGTCTCGCTGTGGTCTAGGCTGGAGTGCAGTGGCGTGATCTTGGCTCACTGCAACCTCTGCCTCCCGGGTTCACGTGATTCTCCAGCCTCAGCCTCCCGAGTAGCTGTGATTACAGGTGCGCGTACACCACCATGCCCGATTAATTTTTGTATTTTTAGTAGAGATGGGGGTTTCACCATGTTGGCCAGGCTAGTCTCGAACTCCTGACCTCAAGTGATCTGCCTGCCTTGGCCTCCCAAAGTGCTGGGATTACAGGTGTGAGCCACTGCACCCGGCTATCTTATTTTTCTAAAGGGCCCCTTATCTTTCCAAAAAGTCATTTTATTTTCTACAAGTGTCCTTTCTCCCCACTCCTCTTCCCTACTAAGTTAGGTATCTAGACCTTAAGGCCGGGTGTGGTAGCTGCCACCTGTAATCCCAGCACTTTGGGAAGCTGACGCAGGCGAATCCCTTGAGGCTAGGAGTTCGAGACCAGCCTGGTCAACACGGTGAAACTCCCATCTCCACTAAAAATACAAAAACTAGCTGGGCATGGTGGCGCATGCCTGTAATCCCAGCTACTAGGGAGGCTGAGGTGGGAGAATCGCTTGAACCCGGGAGGTGGAGGTTTCAGTGAGTGGAGATTGTGCCACTGCACCCCAGCCTGGGCAACAGAGAGAGACTCTGTCTCAAAAATAAATAAATAAATAAATAAATAAATCTCAAATTCTAACGACCCCTTTGAGCACTCCCGTGTGCATACCTGATGCACATGTGAATAACTTCTGTTTGCTCTTTTCTTGCTTCTCTGGGCTGGAGCCTGGAGTTCAGCTAGACGGAGATGCAGGTAGACAGCCATCAGCACAGGGCCGATGTGTGAAGGCAGGTAATTGAGATCATCAAGGAGTGGGTACAGCAGAAGCCCAGGAATGATCCCTGCAGTGTTAAGGGGCTGGGAGGAGCTAGGGACCAGCCCAGGAGGCTGAGGACAGCAGTGAAGTCAGAGCCGGAAGTGGCGAGCCGCCAGATGCACCTGGGAGGTCGGAGGACGAGCATGGACCACTGTGTTTGGCAGTGTGGAGATCACTGTGACCTTGAAGTCACATGGGTGAAGGTGTGACATGGGGTGGGTGGGAGCCTGATTGACATGGGTTAGAGAGAATGGATATAAGGACGTTTCTCTCCTGGTTGTGGCCAACTAGGTGAATCAGACTAAGGCTCCTACTGAGGGCAACGAAGTGCTCACAAGTTAGTTAGAAACTGTCAGCCCAGGATCCGAGAGAAGACAGGTTAAGTCAGCATTTGTAAGCTGTTTTTGCCTAGGTGTTTTTTTTTTTTTTAAATCCAGACTACTAAGGCTGGGGGCCCTATGAAACTGCTAAGCACTGAGAGCTGAAAACCCCATGGACTGTACCTAGGAGGAAGGGCAAACTGGAAGCAAATCTGCTCCTGCACTGGGCTATGGCCATCCTTGAATCATGGGGTGGTGCCGGCTGTCCAGTCTGAAATAAAACAAAGGTGGTCACAGAATGCCAGGAACCTGGCAGAAGCAGATGAAAATCTTTTATTGGAGAATATCATCTTATACCTTAAATTACTTTTTAAGTAATTTTCCAAGTCATTTCTTTCATATATCTAGACAAACAAGAAGGCAGGGCAACACAAGAAGAATCAGCACAAATTAGAAACCAAAAAAAAAAAAAAGACACACAGGCACTCCCTACAGAATTATCAGGAATTAGGTTCATGAGGTTAAAATGAAATAGAACATATATATATATATATATATATATTTTTTTTTTTTTGAGTCTCACTCTGTTGCCCAGGCTGGAGTGCACGATCACAGCTCACTGCAACCTCCACCTCCCAGGTTCAAGTGATTCTCCTGCCTCGGCCTCCCAAGTAGCTGGGATTACAGGCATGCACCACCATGTCTGGCTAATTTTCGTTATTTTTAATAGAAATGGAGTTTCACCATGTTGGTTAGGCTGGTCTTGAACTCCTGACCTCAGGTGATCCACCTGCCACAGTCTCCCAAAGTGCTGGAATTACAGGCTTGAGCTACTGTACCCGGCCTAGAACATTTTATTATTATTATTTTTCTTGAGATGGAGTCTTGCTCTGTGGCCCAGGCTGGAGTGCAGTGGTGCGAATCTTCACTCACTGCAAGCTCTGCCTCTCGGGTTCAAGCCATTCCCCTACCTCCACCTCCCGAGTAGCTGGGACTACAGGTGCCCGCCACCATGCCCGGCTAATTTTTTTTTTTGTATTTTTAGTAGAGATGAGGTTTCACCGTTAGCCAGGATGGTCTCGATCTCTTGACCTTGTGATCCGCCCGCCTCGGCCTCCCAAAGTGCTGGGATTACAGGTGTGAGCCACCGTGCCCGGCCAGTATATTTTAAAAAATTACTTTGGGCTGGGCATGGTGGCTCATGCCTGTAATCCAGTACTTTGGGAGGCCAAGGCAGGTAGATCACTTGCACCTAGGAGTTCCAGACCAGCCTGGATAACATGACAAAACCCCATCTCTACAAAAAATACCAAAAAAAAAAAAAAAAAAAATTAGCTAGGTATGGTGGTGCACACCTGTAGTCTCAACTACTTAGGAGGATCACTTGAGCTTTGGAGGTCGAGGCTGCAGTCAGCTGTGTTTGCGCCGCTGCACTCCAGCCTGGGTGACAGGGTAAGACCCTATCTCAAAAAACAAAACAAAGCAAACTCTGCTGACGTGAAAAAGAGTCAACTAAAATTCAGGAACTGAAAAATCCAAAACCCAACTTAAGAACTTAATAGGTATGTTCAACAGTAGTTTTGACATAGCCACAGAGCAATTTAATAAACTGGAGGATAGATCAGAATAAACCAGAACGAACGATAAAGGAACAAAAAGATAAAAACCTCATATAGAATAATTTTTTTTTAAAAGTGTAAGATGATCCAACATGTGTGTGTTTTTTTTTTTTTTGAGACGGAGTCTCGGCTTGTTGCCCAGGCTGGAGTGCAAAGGTATGATCTGGGCTCACTGCAAGCTCCGCCTCCTGGGTTTGAGCGATTCTCCTGCCTCAGCCTCCGGAGTAGCTGGGACTACAGGCATGCGCCACAATGCCTGGCTAATTTTTGTATTTGTAGTAGAAACAGGGTCTCACCACGCTGGCCAGGCTCGTCTCGAACTCCTGACCTCATGATTTGCCTGCCTCGGCCTCCCAAAGTGTAGGGATTACAGGTGTGAGCCACAGTGCCCGGCCTCCAACACATGTTTAATTAAACTCTAGTAGGTTAGAAGAGAGATATTTGGGCAGAAGCAGTATTTGAATATATAATAGCCAAGAATTTTCCAAAATTGAAGACATACAACAATCCAGACACTCAGTAAGTCTAATCAATTCCCAATAAGACGAATAAAAAGGCATATACATCCAGATAAACTATAGTAAAATTGAAGAAAATTGAAGACAGAGAAACACTTAAACGCAGTCAGAGGAAAATATTTATTTCAAAAAACAGCAGAAAATATGGATGCACATAACAGTGGAGTTACATCATTAATGTGTTGAAAGAAACGAGCTGACAACCTAGAATTCCATACTCAGAAAAAATATTTTTTAAGAATAAAAATTAAATACAAATATTTTCAGACAAACACAACTGAGATGATCAGCAGACCTCCTCTAAAGGAAATAATAGTAGGGGTACTTCAGGTGGAAGGGAAATGACCCTAGAAAGTCACAGAAGGATAAAACACAATGATAGTGGCATATATGTGGGCCATCAAAATGAACATCAACAGTACTGTGTCTTGTGAAGTTTTAAATACAGAAATAACTAAAATATCCAATAAACTGTTTTAGCATTGTCTGGGAAGAGGAAAAAATACTAATTTACATTAGACATTGATAAGTCAAGAACGCATGTTATAATCTCAAGTGTACCACTAAAAGCTATTTATATGTATAAATCAGCTATATATATGCAAATATACATAGCTTTATACATAAATATATGTAATATAGTGTATATATAAAATACTCATATATATAAAAATATATATAAAGCTTTTTTGAGACAGTCTCACTCTGTCACCCAGGCTGGAGTTCAGTGATACAATCTCAGCTCACAGCAACCTCCCAGGCTCAAGTGATCCTCTCCCCTCAGCCTCCTGAGTAGCTGGGACCACAGACACACGTCACCATACCTGGCCGTTTTTTTGTATTTTTGATAGAGATGGGGTTTTGCCATGTCGCCCAGGCTGGTCATGAACTCCTGAGCTCAAGCAACCCACCCACCCTGGCCTCCCAAAGTGCCGGGATTACAGGTGTGATCCACCTCGCTGGAATGCAGTGACGCTGTCTCTGCCTACTGCACTCGCTGCCTCCTGGGCTCGAGTGATCCTCCCACCTCAGCACCCCAAGTAGCTGGGACTATAGGTGCTCACCACTATGCCCAGCTAATTTTTTGTAGAGATGGGGTTTCACCATTTAATTTAATTTAAAAATTACTGATAATTTTTAAACATCAGTAATCCAAAAGAAAGCAAGAAAGGCGTAAAGAACATAAAACATATGAGTCAAATGGAAAGTGTGAAAAGACATCTTTACATGTAAAAATATCAGTACTTTGCATAAATGTACCAAATGATCTAGCTCTTAAATTTTGCTGTACATCGTCAAATTACCTGCAGATCTTAAAAAACAACAATAACGAAACACCAATGCATGGTTCCCATTCCTGTCAGATTTATGGATGTGAGGTATGAACAGGGCATTGGGACTTTTAAAAGCTTTCCAGATCATTCTAAAGTGCAGCAAATTTGGGAGCCACCACTCTCATTCAAGATAAAGATTATCAAATTGGATTTAAAAAAAAATACTTGGCCAGGTCCGGTGGCTCATGCCTGTAATCTCAGCACTTTGGGAAGCCAGGTAAACTCAGGAGATTGACACTAGCCTGGGCAAAATGGTGAAACCCCATGTCCACAAAAAATTAGCTAGGCATAGTGGTGAGCACCTACAGTCCCAGCTACTTGGGGTGCTGAGGTGGGAGGATCACTTGAGCCGGGGAGGCAGAGAGTGCAGTAGGCAGAGACAGCGTCACCGCATTCCAGCCGGGGCAACAGAGCCTGACCCTGTCTTAAAAACAAACAAACAAACAAACATCATACACACACACTTCTTTTTTTGAGACGGAGTCTCGCTCTGTCGCCCAGGCTGGAGTGCAGTGGCGGGATCTCGGCTCACTGCAAGCTCCGCCTCCCGGGTTCACGCCATTCTCCTGCCTCAGCCTCCCGAGTAGCTGGGAATACAGACGCCCGCCACCACGCCCGGCCAAGTTTTTTTTTTTTTTTTTTTTGTATTTTTAGTAGGGATGGGGTTTCACCGTGTTAGCCAGGATGGTCTCAATCTCCTGACCTCGTAATCCGCCCGCCTCGGCCTCTCAAAGTGCTGGCATTACAGGCGTGAGCCACCGCGCCCGGCCACACACACACTTCTTAAACTCACTTAACTCTAAAGGTACACACAGGAAAGAAAGCTGGTGGTGTTATTTACATATGAGGCAAAGTTGACAATAGCAAGCATTATTAGAAATAAAGAGGAACATTTCACAATTGGAAATATTCAAAAGAGCTGGAATACATTTGTCTTATTTAAGGCATAGAGAGAAGACTCGCATGGCTGTAGACAAAACTGATTGGAGGATGACCAGGTACTAGGCTGTATCTGTAATCTAGGTGAGAGAGCATGGCTCAGGGGTAATATACGTGGGAATGGCTTGGATTTGGTTTATATATTGGAGCTAGATCTTTGATGAGATTGAGTGAAGGCTGCAGTGGGAAAGGGTAAGCAAGAATGACTCCTAGACACCGCTCAGCAATAAAAAGCACTTAAAATATTTATCAATATATAGATGAATTCCAACATAATTATGCTCAATGAACAGCCCCCACTTCCCTAAAGATTACGTGCGATACAATTCCATTTATATAAAACACCAAGAAAAACAGGTTGGGCACAGTGGCTCACATCTGCAATCCCAACACTTTGGGAGGCTGAGGCAGAGGGTCAATTGAAGCTAGGAGTTCCAGAGCAGGCTGGGCAACACAGAGAGACCCCATATGTTTAAAAAAAAACAAAAAGCTAGACATGGCGGTCCTCACCTGCAGTCTCAGCTACTCGGGAGGCTGAAGCAGTTGGATTGCTTAAGGGCAGGAGTTTGAGGCTACAGTGGGTCCCGATCGTGTCACTGCACTCCCGCCTGGGTGACAGAGCAAGCGAGACCCAGTCTGTATAAAAAGATATTTAAAAACTCCAGGAAATTCAAACTATAGTGACAAAAAGCAGATGGGTGGGAGGGGGAGGAGGGAAGGAGGGAGAGAGGAAAGGGTTACAGAGAGACGGGAGGAACATCTTCACTGTTGATTGTGATGATGGTTTCACAGTGTATACATGTGTCAAGATGTATCAAACTGCACACTTTAATTTGCGCCACTGCACTCCAGCCCAGGTGACAGAGTAAGGTCGCTTTCCCCGGGCTCGGCCGGCCTCTCCACCCGGCGCTCGGGTGCTGCGCTGCCTGTTCCTGTTGCCACTTCGTGTAAGTTAGCGCAGGCAACAACACACAAGACCAGCACACGTGAAATGGTCCATTTTAATGCACTGCCCCCAGGGAAAGGAACATTACCGGCTTCTGGCCATGTCGTCTTCCCAGTCCCAGATGGCGGTTCCGGGTTTGGGCTCCGAGGCCCTTCGCAGCACTAGGGCGGCGCGAGTAGGGCCGCCCTCCGAGCCATGCTGCGGTCCGAGGTGACGCGCGCACGCGAGTTCGCGGACACGCACGAGACGCCCGGGCCACGGAGGCGCGGGGCTGGCCCAGGGTCCCCGCCAGGCCGAGCTCTAGGGCTGCCGGCCCGGCCCGGTGACCCCCGCGCTCCCCTCCGTCCGCTAAGGCCCCGCGGCGCCGCGCATGCGCCCCGCCGCCGCCCCCGCCCCCACCGCGCCCGCGCCCGCGCCCAACGCCCCCACCGCGGCCCGCGGGCCATGGAACCTGCCAAGGCCGGCGCGGTTCGAGCGCTCCGGTGCGCGCGTTCAGGCGCCTTTCCCCCGTGAGCCCGGCGGCGCTCGGACCGGGCCGCCCGCCGCCGGGCAGCTCCGCCCGCCTCTAGCGCCGGCTGGGCGCGCCCCCGCCCCGGTGCCCGCGCGTGCGCGCCCCCGCCGCCGCGTGTGAGTGTGAGTGTGAGTGTGAGTGGGTGTGGGTGCGAGCCGGGCCGCCGACGATGCCGCGGGGCCGCCCCCCGAAGCCCAGGGAGAGCAAGGCGCGCGGCGACTCCGGTAAGGCCCGCGGCCGCGCCCTCGCGCCCCGCCGGCGGCCGGTGCGGGGCCCGCGCCCTGCCAGTCCCCGGATGCGGCGCGGGGGGCGCCGGGAGCGGCGGGGCGGGGGCGGGGGCCGCGCAGACCCGGGCCGCCGCCGCCGCCGACTGGCCGGGCGGGCCGCAGCGCGGGCGGAATGATACGGGCGAGTCGCCGCCCGGCCCCTCCGCGCGCTGGGCCTACTTTCCTGGGCCGGGCGGCGGCTGAGGCGGGAGGCGGGAGGCGGGTGAGGGAGCAGGCGGCCGCCTCCTGCGCGCGCCCTGCCCCCGCTGGCCCTGCCGCGGCCCGCGCTGAACTTGAGGGAAAGTGGCCGCCCCGTGTTCCGTCCCGGGGCCGGAGGGCCGCGGGGCGCGCTGGGGAGGCGGCCTGGCCAGAGCCCGGGCCTGCGGATACCGCGCCCCGGGCTCCTCCCGGACGGCGCCCCCGCCCGACCCTGCGCGGCGCCGGCTGCCCCGGGGACGTTGGGCTCGGCCCACAGGGAGGCCGTGGAGCGCGGGGTCGTGCACACAGTAGGCGCCAGCGTTGTCCGGGAAGCGCAGGGTCGTGCACACAGTGTGCTCCAGTGTTATCTGGGGCGCGCTGTGGGGCGTGCATACAGTAGGCGCCATTGTGATCCGGGAACTTGAACCCTGAGCCTCTGCAGACGCTGTGGGTAGTGCATACAGTAGGCGCCATTGTGATCCGGGGGGCTGGAACCCTGGGCATCTGGAGAGCGCTGTGGGTCGTGCAAACAGTAGGCACCATTGTGATCCGGGTAGCTTGAACCTGGAGCTTCTGGAGAGCGCTGTGGGTCGTGCATACAGTAGGCATCAGTGTTATGTGGGGAGCGCTAGATCGTGCACACAGTAGGCGTCAGGAAGTGTTTTCCCCAGTAATTTATTCTCCATGGTACTTTGCTAAAGTCATGAAATAACTCAGATTTTGTTTTCCAAGGAAGGAGAAAGGCCCAGAATTTAAGAGCAGGCAGACACACAACCGGGCACCCCCAGACCCTGGCCCTTCCAGCAGTCAGGAATTGACTTGCCTTCCAAAGCCCCAGCCCGGAGCTTGAGGAACGGACTTTCCTGCGCAGGGGGATCGGGGCGCACTCGCCGGTGCCGCGGTTCCCAGGTCGAGGGCAGTGGGGTAGGGGGCGCCGCGCTTTTTCTCGCGGGCGCCGTGGTTCCCGTGCGGCCTTGGACGCGAGTCTCCCCCTGCAGGCCTGGTCCCTGGTCCTGGTCACCCGTGCAACTGGAGCGGCGCTCCGCGTTTGGAAAGGGTTTTGAAGGGGGTTCTAAGGGGGAGTGGGCGCCTAGGACTCCCTATGGGAGTCGGTGGGTTATACCTTGACTGCCGTTGATTTTTATTTAACTGTTTAGCTTAGTGACTCAAGTGTTCCCCTTTTCTTGGGGATGAGTAAACTGAGGCTCATTAAAGAGCTTGTGACCAAACAACACAGGTGCCCCAGAGAAAGGTCGGGCCTGGAAACTACAAAGGATTGTGTTAATTTTGTGTTTAGGAAGAAAGAGGTAATGGGTAGGAATCAATGTAAACTTATTCATAGGCCACACCAAACCAGGAATTCTTGTCGTGATTGCACTTGGTAGAGTTAACACACGTGCACATTACGGAAACGTTGGTGACCAACAGGCGTTTCAGCGAGCTTTCGCACACCTCATGGGCCTTTGTGGGCTGCTGGAGAGATGTTGGCTGCACCATGACCCAGGTATGCAGATTTGTAGTTGGATAACAGCAGTGCTCAGAATTTTGATTAATGGTTGATGGTGTCTGGCCTTTAAGGAAGTCTTTGTTGCCTCTCCCGCTTTTGAGTTTTGGCCTTGACCTTATTTCGTTAGTTTAATTGTTTTGTTAGTATGCCATCTGCCAAAAATAATGTAAGGTGCAGTGTCTCAGTTACTTGGAAGAAGGCTTAGGATAGAGAAAGAATGTAAAATTTCCACGGCCACAGGCGGGGCACCCATTCCCCCAGTATCCCCATCTCACCGATGGTATCCCTGTCCACCTGGTGTTTCACCCTCAGGCCTCAAGAATTATTCTATTTCTTTTATCCCCCAACACACTTCCTAATTTAGTGTTGCAGCTTCTACCTCGGGAATGTATTTCCAGTGGGCCCTCCTCTTTCCATCTCCAGAGATACCCTCTGACCCAGCCTCCCTCTCCGGGCTGGAGAGCTGCAGGAGCCCCCTTCCTGGGCCCTGCTAGTCCTGGGCTCCTGTAAATAAATCTGTCACTTGTCAGCGTGGATGAACTTGTTAAATGTAAATCAGATGGCTACACCCTGATTAAAAGCGTGCATTGGCTTCCTCATCCCTTTAACAGAAACCCATTCCTCCAGGATCCTGTTGATCGGGCCTTGTCTGACTCTTCTCTCTTTCCTTGCTCTGGCATGCAGTCTTTTGTGTTCCTTGATGCCACATTAGTTTTTGTCTTAGGGCATTTGCCATTTCCTAGTCTGAGAAGCACTTTTTGCTAGTCTTGTGGCTCCAAGTGATTTAGCGTCTTCAGAGAGGCCTTCCTCAAACCTGCTTAAAAGTTACCTTTCCCTTCTGAACACCAGTCCTCCTGTAGCAAAGTGGTTCTCAAACTGTGGTTCCTGGACCCCTGGGGGTTCCCTGAGATGTTTTCAGGCTTCTGTAAGGTAAATATCATAGACTAAGACTGTTAGGCTTTTTCACTCTGTTAATTTTTGCACTAATTGTACAAAAGCAGTTGTTGGCACAACTGCTGACATCTTAGCACGAATCTAGGTGGTGGTGGCGGTGCCTAAGAGTGAGGCTGTATTACCTTCATGTATCACAGTCAAGAAGAACAGGTTGCACCAGAGAAAATGCAGAATAGATATGACAATCCAACTGTCTTCTGTTAATCGAGACATTACAAAGATTTGTAAAAATGAAAACCATTCTTAACTATTTTTGGGGAAGACATATTTTTCATAAAAATAATTATGTTAATGTGTAGTAGACATTTTAAATAAGTAAATATTTTAAAAATTGCTTAGTTTTAATTTCTAATAGGACAAACATCAATAGATATAACTTACATAAACTAGAAGGCTTCTAGGGCCTCTTTTTTTTTGTTTTGTTTTAAATAGAGATGGGGTTTCACAATGTTGCCCAGGCTGGTCTTGAACTCCTGGGCTCAAGTGATTCTCCCACGTCAGTCTCCCAGAGTTTTGGGATTACAGGCATGAGCCACTGCTTCCAGCTGAGGGCTGCATTTAAGAATGTATCA
This sequence comes from Homo sapiens, assembly GCF_000001405.40. NCBI lineage: Eukaryota > Metazoa > Chordata > Mammalia > Primates > Hominidae > Homo > Homo sapiens. The sequence goes on from NC_000018.10 coordinate 76,825,936, forward strand.
AGGGGTCCTGAAACCAAAATGAGGGACATTGCTCTATCACTTACTGTGTTAATCACATTTCTCGTAAGTGAAGTGGTTTTATTTTCTTTGTTGCCCTATTATGAATTTCATTCCTAAGAAAACTCTGCAAGGGATGTAGGGATTTTTACAGATAGGGGAATGAAGCTCAGAGCGGATACCTGATTTTTTTTTCTTTTTGAGTTGGAGTCTCTATTGCCCAGGCTGGAGTGCAGTGGCGCGATCTTGTCTCACTGCAACCTCCGCCTCCCGGGTTCAAGCAATTCTCCTGCCTCAGCCTCCCGAGTAACTGGTATTACAGGCGTGAGCCACCATGGCTAGCTATTTTTTTTTTTTTTTTTTGTATTTTTAGTAGAGACGGGGTTTCACCATGTTGATCAGGCTGGTCTCGAACTCCTGACCTCAAATGATCCGCCCGCCTCGGCCTCCCAAAGTGCTGGGATTATAGGCGTGAGCTACCGCGACCGGCCTGGAAACCTGATTTGGAAAGTCCACCCAGTTAGTGAGTGGCAGTTGGGAACTGGATCTCCATTTGTGTCCAAAGCATGCATTTTAGGCCTGTCATGGTGGCTCACACCTGTAATCCCAGCTCTTTGGGAGGCTGAGGTGGGCAGATCACTTGAGGCCAGGAGTTTGAGACCAGCCTGGCCCCCATGGTGAAACCCCAGCCGTACTAAAAAAAAAAAAATACCAAAGTTAGCCAGGCATGGTGGCTGGCGCCTGTAGTCGCAGCTACTTGGGAGTGCTGAGGCATGAGAATCGCTTGAGCCCAGGAGGTAGAGGTTGCAGTGAGCTGAGGTCGCGCCACTGCACTCCAGCCTGGGTGACAGAGGGAGACTCAGTCTCAAAAAAAAAAAAAAAGCATGCATTTTAGTGTTCTGCCTTGATAAATATAAAACCCTTCATGTACACTAATTCCTGTATTCAACAACTATTTTTTTGTTTTTGTTTTTGTTTTTTTTGAGACAGAGTTTTGCTCGTTGCCCAGGCTGCAGTGCAATGGCACGATCTTGGCTCACCACAACCTCCATCTCCTGGGTTCAAGCGATTCTCCTGCCTCAGCCTCCTGAGTAGCTGGCATTACAGGCATGCGCCACTATGCCCAGCTAATTTTGTATTTTTAGTAGAGATGGGGTTTCTCCATGTTGGTCAGGCTAGTCTCGAACTCCTGACCTCGGGTGATCCTCCCACCTCGCCCTCCCAAAGTGCTGGGATTATAGGCGTGAGCCACAGTGCCCGGCCTGTTGTTGAGACGGAGTTTTGCCCTTTTTGCCCAGGCTGGAGTGCAGTGGCTTGATCTCGGCTCACTGCAACCTCTGCCTCCTGGGTTCAAGTGATTCTCCTGCCTCAGCCTCCTGAGTAGATGGGACTACAGGTGCATGCCACCATGCCCGGCTAATCTTTTTGTATTTTTAGTAGAGATGGGGTTTCACCCTGTTAGCTAGGATGGTCTCGAACTCCTGACCTCGTGATCCCCCCACGTGGCCTCCCAAAGTGCTGAGATTACAGGTATGAGCCACCGTGCCTGGCTGAACAACTATTTTTAGAGCACTTCCTGTGATAGGTGAGCCCTGTGCTAGGGTCTAGAATACAAAGCTGAACAAGAGACATGATCTCTAGGTATCCTTATAAAGGTAGAAAGTGTTCATGGTGACAGATTGGGCACCTGAAGTCTAGGCTTCCTGGAGAAAATGTTGTTAAAATTCAAGCCTAAAGAGATGAGTAAGAAGAGGCCCACTGAAAGAATATTTGTTGAAGTAGTCAGGACGTGAGAAGTGAGTCTCACAGGCATCGATGGGGCAGCATTCATTCAGCACTTGATGTGTCCCTGGCACTATCCTGGGGATAGAAGGATGAGTGAGATATGCTTTTTTTCTTTATCATAATTATTTTAGCAATAATGTGACCTTGAGGGAAACCACATTTTGGAATCTTGTATGATTTCCATCTGTTTTCTCCAATGGAATAGTGCAAAATTTTTCTTTTTAGCTTGCCCCTTTAGTTGGCCTCCTGCTGTTTCTTTTTCCTTTTGGAGGGATATTTGTAATACTTAGTTCATTTCCAGAGAGCGGAGACAGGCAGACCATGAGCCCAATGGATAAACAAGTCTTTTCCTGATTAGGTTACCAGTTCAGGAATTTTCAGTTTTCTTGGATGAATTCAAGAGCCCAAGGGGAGGCACCACCAGTGTAAGCTAGGGGTAGTAGGGCTTTACTTTTTTTTTTTTTTTTGAGACAAGGTCTCGTTCTCTCACCCAGGCTGGAGTGCAGTGGCATGATCTTGGCTCACTGCAACCTCCGCCTCCCAGGTTCAAGTGATTCTCCCACCTCAGCCTCCTGGGTAGGTGGGATTACAGGTGCATGCCACCATGCCTGGCTAATTTTTTGTATTTTTACTAGGGATGGGGTTTTGCCATGTTGGCCAGGCTGTTCTTGAACTTCTGACCTCAGGTGATCCACCTGCCTTGGCCTCCCAAAGTGCTGGGATTACAGGCGTGAGCCCCCACGCCTGCCAGACTTTATCCTTTGAAGCGGCAGGAGGCAGCCAGAGCTGTAATCCCCTCAGGCTTCTGGTAACAGTGCAGTCCTTACTTGCTTCAGGGAGACAGCTTCTGCTTAAAACAGTAACTTTCTAACAATATCAGGTGTCTATCCAAGGATGAAACCCTCCACTCTCCATAATTGAACTTTTTAGGTAGGCCGAAATTTGGAGTATGTGTTTATTTATTTTGGAGACGGAGTCTCGCTCTGTTGCCCAGGCTGGTATGCAGTGGCGTGATCTGGGCTCACTGCAACCTCCGCCTTCTGGGTTCAAACAATTCTCCAGTCTCAGCCTCCTGAGTTGCTGAGACCACAGGCACATGCCACCATGCCCAGCTAATTTTTTGTATTTTAGTAGAGACGGGGTTTCACCATGTTGCCCAGGCTGGTCTTGAACTCCTGAGCCAGGCAATCTGCCCCGCTTGGCCTCCCAGTGTTAGGATTACATGTGTGAGCCACCGTGGAGTCTTTAGTAATTTGAAGGAAGTGTGATTAGATAACCTCTAAAGATTTTATAATCCTGGCATTAAGTAGTGACATCACATGGGTTTAAAACCTTGGTCTTTCATGCAAAACGAGCTTGGGAAAAGCTATAGTGTAAACCGTAATTCCTTATTAGATAAAGTCAATTCCACACTTTCGGAATGCTTTTTATATTTCAAGCCTTTATGTTGTCTGTGTGTACAGAGATAGTGCGTCTCTGCTTTCAAGAAAGTAGCAGTGTTTTTCAAGCTATGTTTTGTCATAGAACTTTTCTTCACATGAAGTATCATGGCAAGGCCTGGAGCGTGGCTCTCACCCTTGGCAACTCACGCATTATGGAATCTCCTGGGGGAGGTTTTTTTTTTTTTTTGGACGGAGTCTCGCTCTGTCGCCCAGGCTGGAGTGCAGTGCTATGATCTCGGCTCACTGTAATCTCTGCCTCCCGGACTCAAGCCATCCTCTCACTTCGGCCTCCTGAGTACCTGGCACTACACCCTCGTGCTACTACGCCCGGCTAATTTTTGTATTTTTTGTAGAGATGGGGTTTCGCCATGTTACTCAAGCTGGTCTCAACTTCCTGGACTCAAGCTATCCCCTGCCTTAGCCTCCCAAAGTGTTGGGATTACAGGCATGAGCCATGGCACCCAGCCGGTTTATGATTGCTAAGAGAAGCCAGAAATGTGTATATTTATTTGAAACCTCTTTGTTGTTAGGTTTAAGTAACTATTTTAATCACAAAAAACATCTGCCTAGAAAAGTGCACAGGTTTTAGGTGAGGAGCTTCATGAGTTTTCCTGTCAAGCCAGCATCCAGTGTGTTCGTGCCCCTCGCAGTCACAGGCCTTCCCCGCACTGTCCTGGCTTCTGATACGACATGTTAGCTTTACCTGTTTTTGTTTTGCTTTTTCTTTTTTGAGACGGAGTCTCGCCCTGTTGCCAGGCTGGAGTTCAGTGGTGCGATCTCCACTCACTGCAACCTCCGTCTCCCGGGTTCAAGTGATTATCCTGCCTCAGCCACCTGAGTAGCTGGGATTACAGGCACGCGCCACCACGCCTGGCTAATTTTTTGTGTGTTAGTAGAGATGGGGGTTCACCATGTTGGCCAGGCTGGTCTTGATCTCCTGACCTTGTGATCCACCCACCTCGGCCTCCCAAAGTGCTGGGATTACAGGTGTGAGCCACGGTGCCTGGCCAGCTTTACCTGTTTTTGAACTAAATTGAATTTATAGTATGAACCCGTATTTTTTTCTGGCTTGATTCATTCAATATTTATTTTTATGAGATTTTTCCTGTTGCTATGCAGCAGAACTGTGTTTATTTTGATAAGTATATAGTATTACATTATATGAACCTACCATAAATTACTCTTCTCCTCTTGATATTTGGGTTATTTCCAGTTTTTGGCTCTTTTGAATAAGTGTTGCTACAAACTTTTATGTATTTATGGGCCGTAGTGGATACAGCCAGCCAGTCGCCCAGTGACAGTCCTGGCTTCCTCTCCTACCAGCAGGGGATGAGCGTGCATTTGTTCCGCAGGCTCGGTAGCACTTATTATTGCCTCTCCCCGGAGATTCAATCTTTCAGCTTCCCTGGGCCACATTGGAAGAACTGTCTTGGGCCATACATAAAATACGCTAACACTAATGATAGCTGGTGGAGTTAAAAAAAAAAATCTCAAAAAAAGTCTCATAATGTTTTAGGCAAGTTTACGAATTTGTGTTGGGCCATATTCAAAGCCGTCCTGGGCTGCATGTGGACTGTGGATTGGACAAGATGGGCCTGTCCCTTTATTGTTTAGCTGTTTTGGTATGTATAGTGGTATCTCATTTTGATTTTTATTTTGAGTTCTATACTAATACAGTTTTTATGTTTGTCAGCCATTTGTTCTCTTTTGCTAAGCTCCTGTTGAAGACTTGGCCTGTTTTTCTACTGGGACATATATTAAAATTAATACTTTCTTTTCTAGAGCAGTTTCATGCTTACCCAAAATTGAGCAGATAATATGGAGCAGATAGTATGGAGACACCTTCTGTCTCTCCTCACAGTTTCTCCTATTGGTAACATCTTGCATTGGTGTAGTAAATTTAGCCAATGTTGATACATTGTTATTAACTAAAGCCCATCATTCGCATTAGGATATATTTTCTATGTTGTGTATCCCATGGGTTTGGACAAATGCATATTTGCCGTATAGTGTCATACAGAATAGTTTCACTGCCCTTTCCTCCGCCTGTTCATCCATCCCTTCCCTGACCAATGGCAAGCACTGATATTTTTATTGTCCTTATAGTTTTGCCTTCCCCAGAATGTCACATAGCTGGAAGCATTCAGTATGCAACCTTTCAGATTGGCTTTGAGTAAGACATGCATTCCTCCATGTCTTTTCAAGGCTTGATAGGTATTTCATTTTGTTGCTGAATAATATTCTACTGTATGGATGTATCACATTTATCCATTTACATTTTGAAGGACATCTTGGTTGCTTCCAGTTTTTAGCAATATGAGTAAAGTTGCTATAAATATTTGTGTGCAGGTTTGTGTTGGATGTAAGTTCTCAAGTCATTGGGGGTAAATCTCGGGGACTGTGACTGCTGGGTTGTATGGGAAAACTATGTTTAGTTTTTTCTAACAGGCTGCGAAGCTGTTTTCCAAAGTGGTTGTACCATTTTGTATTCTCACCAGGAATGAATGAGAGTTTCTGTTGTACATCCTAACCAGCATTTGGGATTAATTAGTTTTTTGGATTTTAGCCATTCTGTTAGGCGTGTACTGGATATCTCATTTTAATTTGCAATTTCCATCGTATGTTTAATTTTTAACATACGATGTTGAGCATCTTCTCATAGGCTCATTTGCCATCTGTGTATCTTCTTTGGTGAAGGGCTGTATGCCGTTTTATTACTGATTTATAGGAGGTCTTTATATACTCTGGATGAGTTTTTTATAGTCTCCTATTCACTCTTTTAAAGATACCTTCTAATCAATTAAACAAGTTCTTAATAACAATTTGTCAGTCCTTTAGTACTTTTCGGATCTATTTAAATAATATTTGAAAATAAGTAATATTTTCCTATGTTTTCATCTAGAGGCTTTATTGTTTTACATCTTTATTTTATTTTTTTGAGACAGGGTCTCGCTCTGTCACCCAGGCTCAAGTGCAGTAGTGTGATCTTGGCTCACTGCAACATCTGCTTCCTGGGTTCAAGCGATTCTTGTACCTCAGCCTCCTGAGTAGCTCAGATTACAGGTGCGCACCACCGCACTTGGCTAATTTTTTGTATTTTCAGTAGGGATGGGGTTTCACCATGTTGGCCAGGCTGGCCTCCAACTCCTCGCCTCAGGTGGTCCGCCCACCTTGACCTCCCAAAGTGCTGGAATTACAGGTGTGAGCTGCTGTGCCCAGCTATACGTCTCACCTTTAGATTGACACTTCATCTGAATGTGATTTGAAGAGGGAAAGGTCAGGATTTTTTTTTTTTTTTACACATATAGATACCCAATTAATCTGTAGTATTTGTTGGAAATACCATTTTTGTCTTTTTTTTACATGGTTGCAAATCAGGTGAAGAATTGTTCTGTACTTACTCTTTTCCACTGTTTTTTTTTTTGTTGTTGTTCCTGGCTAGTCAGTTTCACACTGTCTTAATTATGCTATTCTGAGTCTTGGTATCTGGTATGGGAAATATAAGTCCTCCATTTAGTTTTTAATTTTTGCGATCATCTTGACAATTGTTGGTACTTTTCAATTTCATGTAGATTTTTGAATCAGCATATAAGTTTTCCTAAAAAAACTTGCTGGGATCTTGATCAAATTATATTGACTCTATAGATAATGTGGGTGGAACTAATGTCTTTACAATCTTGAGTCTTTGAATCTAAACATGATCTCTCCTATCATTTCTTTCCTCGTTATCGTCTCTTGGTAATGTTTTGGGACTTCAAGATACAGGACTTATACAAATATTGTTAAATTTACTCCTAGATATTTGATATTTCCTGAAACTATTGTTGATGGTATTTTAAAAATTTCATTTTCTATATGTTGCTTGTTCATAGAAATACAATTGGTTTTTAAAAATTGGTATTGTATCCAAAGTCTTTTACATATTTATTATTTGTAATAGTTTAGCTGTAGATTCTTTTGGAATTTTCTCTGTAATCATATTTGTAAATATCAACAGGTTTATTTCTTCATTTCCAATCTTTATCACTTTCGTTACTGTTTTTTCTAGCTCATTGTACTGGCTAGGATCTCTTCTATAACGGTGAATAAATGCGGTGAATAAGGGACATTCTTGACTTGTTCCCAACTGCAGGAGGAAAATTATATTATTAACTAGGGTGCTTGTTGTGGGTTTCTTTTGGGGGGTGGAGGTAGATATTATAAGATTACATAAGTTTTATTTCTATTTTGCTAAGTTTTTTATCATGAATGGGTCTTGAATTTTATCATGTTTACTTTGTATTTTTTGTGGTGATCATGTGATTTTTCTTTTATATTTTGTTAATAGGGTGAAAAACATTGATTTTTCTAATGGTAAGCCAAACTTGTATCCCTGGGATACAGGCAAACTTGTTGCGATATTATTCTTTTTTGTATATCTGGATTTGATTTGTACATACTTTATGCTTTTTATATCTGTGTTTATGAGCCACATTGGACTACAATTTTATTTTTTTATATTGCCATTCTCAAGTTTTGATACTAGTATTTTGCTGGCTTCATAAAATAGGTTGGGAAGTCTTCCTTTATTTTCTTTTCTCTGTAAGAGTTTATAATAAGGTTGACATTATATGGTTTTTAAATCTGTGGTAGAATTCCCTGTTAGAATCATCTGGGCTTTGAGATTTCTGTGGGGAAATTTTATATTTTTAATTTTTAAAATAATTTTAAAAATAGACATGAGGTCTTGTCATGTTGTCCAGGCTTGTCTTGAACTCCTAGGTTCAGGCAGTCCTCTCACCTCGGCCTCCCAAACTGCTGGGATTACAGGCATGAGCCACCATGACTTGGCCTTTTGGGGAAAATTTTAAATTGCAGATTCAGTTTCTTTAGTATATATAAGACAACTGAAGTTTAAAATTTTACTTTGTGTCAGTTTTGGTAAGTTTTGTTTGTAAGAACCATCTAATATTTTAAAATTTATTAACAGAACATTATTCATAAGTATCTCATTATCTTTTTATGACTGCAGGCTCTGTAGTAATGGCCCTTCTCTCTTCCCTGATGGTGGAGATTGTGCTTTTTCTTATTTTTTTCTTAGTCATGGCAGGGTTTATGAATTTTAACAATCTTCTCAAAGATCCAAGTTTGGACTTTCAATTCAATTTATAGATGTTTGTTTTATATTCCACTAGTTTCTTCTCTTTATCATTTTCCTGCTTCTACTTTCCTTAGGGTTTTTTTTTTTTTTCATTTCAAGTTTTAATGAAAGCTTGTATATAAGATTACTTTATTCCTGCATCTGCTCAATTGTTTCTTCCTTATATTTGCCCTTTTACTTTTCTACTTGGCGAGATTTGGCTTTCCGTTCAAGGAGCATTTTGCGGTCTTTGTCCAGTTTTAGCCTAGTGATAACCACCTTGCTGGGGTGAATGCCTGTGTGCACAGTTGGGGTGAATGCCTGTATGCACAGTTGTGCCATTATCCTTTTCCCGTTGCACCCATTCAATGTAGAGGACATATTTCTTCCTGTAAACCCAGACTACTTTGCCAGTTTGCTGACCTTTATAGTGTCCTCATACAACCTGAACATCATCCTTTCGGATGGGCATGGATCGAACATTGTACTTGTCTCTTAGCTCTTTGGAAAGAAGGGAAGACAAAATCTTCCTGCGAATGTGGGAAGGTGCATTGAAATGCCTTTTGTGGTTGTTACTTTGGTCAGAAGTCACAAAGGGATTGAACTTCATTTGGGCTGCTCCCGCTTCACTGATGGTCACAAAAGGGAAGAGAACTACATATACGCCGCTTCCGGTTCTGTACCTACATTTTATTTTCTGTTTTTTTTTTTTTTTCTCAGCTTCTTGATATGGATACTGAACTAATTTTCAGCCTTTCTTACTTTCTAATATCTACATTTAAGGTTGTAGGTATTAAGGCTATTGGCAATTCTACAGTTTTAACTGCATCCACAAAATTTTGATGTGGTTTATTCTTGTCTTCACTAAGTTCAAGATTATTTTCTGATTTCTATTGTGAGTTCTCATAAGTTATTGCAAAAGATGTGGCTAAATTTTGAAATTACCTTCATTGTTACTGATTTCTAGTTTACTTGGGTTGTTGTCAGAGAACTTACCTTGAGTTATTTAATTATTTGAAAACTTCTTGGGTCTTTTCATGTTATGTGGTTATATTTGGTAAATGTTCCATGTGCACTTGAAAAGAACATATATCTATTTTTTTCTGTCAGTTACTCAGAAAAGTATTAAATATTAAATTCTATGATTGTGAATTTGTCTATTCTTCTGTCAATCTTTATATTTTGAGCTACATTTTTAACCATACAAATTGAAAGATCTTATATTTTCCTGGTATAGTAACTCTTATCATTATGAAATGAGTCATACTTTATATCTAGTAATGACTTTTGCCTTAAAGCCTCCTTTGTTTGATGTTGGTACACCTGCACCATGACTGCTTTGGTTAGTGTTCTATAGTATTTATTTCTCAATTCTTTTACTTTGTCTTTCTATCCTTATATGTAAGTTATATCTCTTGCAAGCAGCCTATAGTTAACTTTTCTAAGTATGGCCTGATGATCTTTGTCTTTAATTGATATGCTGATTTTAAGTACATTTAAGGCCGTTTTGAGACATAGTTTTCTACTTGATTCATCATTTTATATTCCCCTTTCTTTCTTGCCTTCTTTTGGCTCAATAAAGCATTTTTAAATGTCATTTATACCTCTCCATCCATTAGCCTGCTATTTATACATTCTTTTTTTTTTGAGATTAAGTCTTGCTCTGTTGCCTAGACTGGAGTGCATTGGCACAATCTTGGCCCACTGCAACCTCCACCTCCTGGGTTCAAGCGATTCTCCTGCCTCAGCCTCCCAAGTAGCTGGGATTACAGGCGCCCACCACCACACCCAGCTAATTTTTGTATTTTTAGTAGAGACGGGGTTTCACCATGTTGGCCAGGCTGGTCTCGAACTTCTGACCTCGTGATCTGCCCACCTCGGCCTCCCAAAGTGCTGAAATTACAGGTGTGAGCCACCACGCCTGGCCTATACAGTCTTTATAATTTTTTTTTCTTTGAGGCAGTGTCTCACTCTTTCAGTTGCCCAGGCTGGAGTGCAGTGGTGCGAGCATAGCTCACTGCAGCCCCAAACCCCCGGGCGCAAGTGATTCTCCTGCCTCAGTCTCCCAAGTAGCTGGGACTACAGGTGCCCACCACCATGCCTGGCTAAATTTTTATGTTTTATTTTTTAAAGACAGGATCTTGCTATGTTGCCCTTAAACGCCTGGCCTCAAATTATCCTCCTGCCTTAGCATCCCAAGTAGCTGGGACTGCAGGTGTGAGCTACCATGCCTGGCCCTTTTCTCCTTCTTGATAGTGCCCTTTGATTCACAAAGGTTTTATTTTCATTTATTTATTTATTATTATTATTATTTTTTGAGACAGAGTTTTGCTCTGTCGCCCAGGCTAGAGTGCAGTGGTGCGATCTCGGCTCACTGCAAGCTCTGCTTCCCGGGTTCATGCCATTCTCCTGCCTCAGCCTCCCGAGTGGCTGGAGCTACAGGCGCCCGCCACCACGCCTGGCTAATTTTTTGTATTTTTAGTAGAGGCGGGGTTTCACCGTGTTAGCCAGGATAGTCTCGATCTCCTGACCTCTTGATCCATCTGCCTTGGCCTCCCAAAGTGCGGGGATTACAGGCGTGAGCCACCGCGCCCGGCCTATTTATTTGTTTTTTTGAGACACAGTCTTGCTCTGATGCCCAGGCTGGAGTTCAGTGGTGCAGTCTTGGCTCACTGCAACCTTTGACTTCCAGGTTCAAGCAATTCTCGTGCCTCAGCCTCTGGAGTAGCTGGGATTGCAAGCGTGTGCCACCACCCCTGGCTAATTTTTGTATTTTTAGTAGAGATGGGGTTTTGCCATGTTGGCCAGGCTGGTCTTGAACTCCTGGCCTCAAGTGATCCGCACCCCCTCCCCCCCCCCCCGCCCCGCAAGCCTCCCAAAGTGCTGGAATTACAGGCATGTGCTGCCATGCCCAGCCTTCACAAAAGTTTTAAATTTTAATAGAGTGGAATTTGTGTTTGTTTCCTCCTGGTTATTTGTAGCTTTTCGTGTCAAATTTAAGACACTGTTGCCAAATCCGTAGTCACGAAGCTTGTCCCTTATGTTTTTCTTCTAGGAGATTTATAGTTTTAGTTGTTAAATTGAAGTCTTTGATCTGATTTAATTTTTGTATATGGTATGAAGTGAAGGTCTGAATTCCTTTTTTTCTTTTTCTTTTTCTTTTTTTTTTTTTTTTTTTTGAGACAGAGTTTCACTCTTGTTGCCCAGGCTGGAGTGCAGTGGTGGAATCTTGGCTCACTGCAACCTCTGCCTGCCAGGTTCAAGCAATTCTCCTGCCTCAGATTTCTGAGTAGCTGGGATTAAAAGCGTGTGCCACCACGCCTGGCTAATTTTTTGTTATTTTAGTAGAGACAGGGTTTCACCATGTTGGCCAGGCTGGTCTCGAACTCCTAATGTCAGTCAATCCGCCCGCCTAGCCTCCCAAAGTGCTGGGATTACAGGCGTGACCCACCGCGCCTGGCTTTGAATTCAGTTTTTAACCTTTGTATATCCACTTCGGCTAGAACTGTTTATTGCCTCATTGAATGGTACTGGCATTCTTGTTAAAAATCAATGGATGATAAATATATGTGTTTACTTCTGAACTCTCACTAGTGTCTCTGTCCTTTTGCCAATATCATACTGTTTTGATGTGTCAATGATACTTTATGTCAAGACACATTAAAATGGATAGATAGCCATTAGAATTAGTTATTTGTGTATCACTTAACGTCACCTCACAAATTGTTGGTGGTACATGTCATATTTAGAAGACATTGCACATTTTTAGGAAATACATACCTTTGCATTGTTGGGCAGCAAACTAGGCTCAAATACTCATCATCACATTTATCAGCTTGAAAATGCTTGGCAGAGAACATTCAGTGGAGGGGTTAAAACATATGGAGTGAAGTACATTGATCTTGGGCACAGAAGTCAGAAAGAGACAACTGTCTTTATTGTGTTAATTTTCATAAAGTTACTATTTAGGAGAACAACCAGTCTTTCTATCCCATGACTAAGACAAAGGGCCTTATCAGCTTTAGGGAGATTATGGTTAAGTAAACATTAGAGCTTTTTACTGTAGAAAATAATGCATAGTGCATGTAAACCTTTAATGCCTTTATCTCTCAGAGACTTCACTGTGGTGGGAGGAGTGCTGTGACCTGTGGAAAGTCGTGGAAATTTCAGGGATTGCAGTCGTGATGGCTGTGATTCCAGATGGAGTCATAGTTTACAGTGTAGTGCAGGAGTTGGCAAGTATTCTTTATGTCAAGGGTCAGGTGGTAAATGTTTTAGGCTTTGTAGGTTGTACGGCCTCTGTCGTGACTACTCAGATCTGCTATATGCCTGAGTTTCAGCAAACCTTTGTGTACCAAAAAAGGCTAGGCCACAGTTACTTGACCCCCAATCTAGAGGAAAAGACAGGAAGAGAAAAGAAAGTTATGTATTATAGCACTTTACTTTTGAGTAAACTATATTGATATATAACACACAGAGAAGAACAGAAATTGTGGTTGGCTCAATGAATTTTTCTCAAAGAGAACTCACTTATGTAGTCAGCACCTAGATTAAGAAAGAAGACATTAAGTGGCACCCTAAGAAATCTTCACTGTGCTCCATCCCAGTAAGGACCCTCCTTGTTGCGACTAGCCACTTTGCTGATTTCTAACAACGTAGGTTAGTTTTGCCTATTTGTTTAACTTTTTAAATAAAATGAAACCATACAGATTGTTTTCTTACGTCTGGCTTCTTTTGGTAAAAATGTGAGATTTGTCCGTGTTTTTATGTAGAGCAGAAGTTTGCTCATTCTCACTGTTTGATAGTATTCCATCATAAAATCTCCTCCAACATATTTGCCCCTTCTGTTGTTGGAGGGCATCTGTGTTGCTTTTTGTTGCTGCTGTTGTAAATTGTGCTACTGTGAATGTTTAAACATGGCGTTTGGGTGCACATACGTACACATTTCTGTTGGAGATGTACCTAGGAGTGGAACTGCTGGATTATAAGTTATGCATGTATTTAGCTTTAGTTGATGCTGCTAAATAGCTTTCAAGAGTGGCTATAGCAATTTTCATGCCCTCTGGCAATATATGAGATTTCCAGTTACTTTCTTTTCTCATCAATCTGTGGTATTGTCTGTCTTTTTAGTTGTAGCCATCTGATGGGTGTGCATCTTAAAAAGTATTTTAAAAGTTATTTCATATTTATTATATAACTTGGATCTTAACAACCCTGTGAGTAGGTAGGACAGAAATCATTATCTTTATCTTTGGGTGAAGAATCAGGCTGAGAGAGTTTATTTGGCTTGCTGGAGACTCACAGCTCTTGGCAGGAATGAGACTCACCCTCAAGTCGTCTGACTCCAAGTGCTGTATTTATCAGTGTCTTCCCAGTCTCTGCTGTGTATCTGTATTTTGATATACAGATATCCACCTTTCAAGATGCATGTTTTATTGAACATGGGGACAGAATCTCAGAATGGGCTCTCCACAGTTCTCTGTGGCGCTCTTTAGCTCTATTTATCTAAAAGTTAATATGTGTGTTGTTTTGATGTTCACACAAATTGTATGTTTGTAGAGGTGAAAACAGAATAATGGCAGCAAACAAAACAAGAAATTATGCTATATATAGAAAATTAGTTTTTTGCACTGTCAATGGAAGCACTCTACTTTGCAATATGCTGCTGGATCATTTTCAGAAAGGCCCTGTTACTTTCAGATCCTGAGCCTAGAATTCTTAGAGTTCTGGTTAAAGGTAAGGCTATAGACACTTGAGGTGTTATTTTGTTATAATTTAATATGCTGTGGTTTTTTTAAATTTGGGTAATGTGTGTGTAGTGCATGAATATACATTTACCCAAGTTTACAGTCTTTCTTTAGAAATACAAATTTACAGGTAGTAAAGCAAGTATTTCAAAGGGGGTCGATGTTTCTTTAAAAAATGAGGGAGACCGGCCGGGTGCGGTGGCTCACGCCTGTGATCCCAGCACTTTGGGAGGCCGAGGCGGATGGATCACCTGAGGTTGGGAGTTAGAGACCAGCCTGACCAACATGGTGAAACCCCATCTCTACTAAAAATACAAAATTAGCCAGGCGTGGTGGCACATGCCTGTAATCTCAGCTTCTCAGAAGGCTGAGGCAGGAGAATCGCTTGAACCCAGGAGGTGGAGGTTGCAGTGAGCTGAGATTGTGCCATTGCACTCCAGCCTGGGCAACAAGAGTGAAACTCTGTCTCAAAAAAAAAAGAAAAAGAGGGAGACGTTAATAACATTAAGCATGAAAAGAAAGAGTTTACACGAATACAACGAATACATACAGATACTGACAAAATTAGCATTGAAAGAACACCTGGGTAAAGGTGAATTTTTTTTTTTTTTTTTTTTTGAGACGGAGTCTTGCTCTGTCACTCAGGCTGGAGTGCAGTGACGTGATCTTGGCTCACTGCAACCTCCGCCTCCCAGGTTCAAGTGATTCTTCTTTACTGCAACCTGTTTTATCAGCAAGGTCTTTATAACCTGTGTGTGTGTGTGTGTGTGTGTGTGTGTGTGTGTTTTCTTTCTTTCTTTTTTTTTTTTTTTTGAGATAGAGTCTCGCTCTATCGCCCAGGCTGGAGTGCAGTGGCGTGATCTCGGCTCACTGCAACCTCCACCTCCCGGGTTCAAGCGATTCTTCTGCCTCAGCCTCCCAAGTAGCTGGGATTACAGGCACGCACCACCATGCCCAGGCTGGAGTGCAGTGGTGCAATCTCACCTCACTGCAACCTCCACCTCCCGGGTTCAAGCGATTCTCCTGCCTCAGCCTCCTGAGTAGCTGGGATTACAGGCACGCGCCACCACACCCGGCTAAGTTTTATATTTTTAGTAGAGGCAAGGTTTCACCATGTTGGTCAGGCTGGTCTCTAACTCCTGACCTCGTGATCCACCCACCTCGGCCTCCCAAAGTGCTGGGATTGCAGGCGTGAGCCACCGCACCCGGCGTCGTTTTTGTATTTTTAGTAGAGACAAGGTTTCACCATGTTGGTCAGGCTGGTCTTGAACCCCTGACCTCAGATGATCCACCTGCCTCGGCCTCCCAAAGTGTTGGATTACAGGCGTGAGCCTCCGCGCCCGGCCAGGTGAATCTGTTCTTGGAAAACAGTCTGCTGTAATAATATGAGCGAACCGACACTATTAAGGACCACTTAATGAGTTTCTGAACAGATATTTATCATGTCACAGTTTATTTCATACATTTATTATGGCAAATACCAAAGTTTTGGAATATAATTGTTTCATTGGAACTACTCATGCCTTTGATAATTGGGTACTTTGGCTTGGCTCCTAATTGAATCAACAGTCTTAGGCTTACATATTAGTATACATTGTTGTTGATAAAATCCAAATTTGTCTGTCGTTTTTACACTAGGCTCAAAGTAGCAACTGGGTTTTTTTTTTTCTTTTTTTTTTTTTTCTGAGATGGAGTTTCAGTCTTGTCATCCAGGCTGGAGTTCAATGGCACGATCTCGGCTCACTGCAACCTCTACCTCCCAGGTTCAAGCCATTCTTCTGCCTCAGCCTCCTGAGTAGCTAGTATTACAGGCACGGGCCACCACGCCAGGCTGATTTTTTATTTTTATTTTTAGTGGAGACAGGGGTTTGCCATGTTGGCCAGGTTGGTCTGAAACCCTTGACCTCAGGTGATCTGCCTGCCTCAGCCTCCCAAAGTGCTGGGATTGCAGGCATGAGCCACTGTGCCTGGCCCAGCAACTGGTGTCTTATCTCAGAAGCCATTATCTTAAGAGGAGTGGAAGCAAAATTAATTAGGAGAGTATCCTGGATTATTAATTGAAAATTATTACTAGCTATGCCACTGGTTTAATTATGTGATTTTTACTAAGTGGCTTAATTTCTCTGGATGTTAGTTTTCTTATCCACAAGGGCATTGATAATATGACTGGCCTTCCCCCCACCCCCCATAAAGATTATTTATTTTATGTTTAATTCTTTTTTGTTAATACGTTATCACCATTCAACCTTCACCCGTGATAATTATGTACCTCTCCTTTACCAGCCCCCATTCCCAGTCAGATAGTTGCCTTTTTCACAGGGAACCAATGCTACTTTTTTTCTGTGGTTTTACAGGAACATTTTTTGAATATACAAGCAAATGCATGGTGCATCTCTGCTCCACCCCCCTCAACTTTTTTTTTTTTTTTTAAGAAGTGATACCATAGCCTGGTGCGATGGCTGACACCTGTAATCCCAGCACTTTGGGAGGCCGAGGTGGGCAGCTCAGCTGAGGTAGGGAGTTCGAGACCAGTGTGACCAACATGGAGAAACCCCATGTCTACTAAAAATACAAAATTAGCTGGGTGTGGTGGCGCATGCCTGTAATCCCAGCTACTTGGGAGGCTGAGGCAGGAGAATCGCTTGAACCCGGGAGGCGGAGGTTGCGGTGAGCAGAGATCGCGCCATCGCACTCCAGCCTGGGCAACAAGAGTGAAACTCTGTCTCAAAAAAAAAAAAAAGCGATACCATTCAGAATATATTACTTTTCCTGTTGAATACAGGTTAGGGATGAATTTTCCATATGAGTTACATTTCATTTCCATTTGAGTACCCACTTATGAGTAAATACATTTGAATAGATAATTGGTAAAATTCAGAAAGGGCAGGAGTCTTCTCTGGCTCTCCCAACTTCTCAGTGCAGGTGCTTTTGAGTGACAGGTGAGAGCTCCTTCTTGGAAGAAAGCAGGTGCCTGTGGCTGGTGCTGTTACCCAGTCCGAGCATTTGGCTTTCTGAGGGACTCTGCAAAGAAAATAATGCAGACTTATTTCAGCTGGCTCCTGGGAACAACCACATGGCCCAGGTATGTGTGTATAAAATAAGAATAGTCAAAGGGTACTTAACAAGCTGGAAAAAGATTAAATCTAACGTAGGCAGTTTTGAGGTGGAGAGCATGAGCCGGTGAGGCTGAAATGTGGGAATCAGATAAACTGGTTTTGGGAGCTTCAGACAACTGGGAAGAGGTTAAAAAAAAAAGCTATTAGGGCCTATCTATTTCCAAATATTTAATGTGTATTTGTTAGGTACACATTACATGCCAGGCTTTGTGAAGCAAAAAGGGCTCCAGGATCCAGACACTTCAGAGTTTCACCTGATAAAGTCCAGCTGTGTTAAAACCTGAACGCTGACAAATGTGGCAGGAGCAGTAGAAACAGGGAAGAAAGTAGAAGGGAGTTTTAAATAAAAGAAGAGGCCGGGCACAGTGGCTCACGCCTGTAATCCCAGCACTTTGGGAGGCAGAGGTGGGCGGATCACGAGGTCAGGAGTTCGAGACCATCCTGACTAACACAGTGAAACCCCGTCTCTACTAAAAATACAAAAATTAGCCCGGCATGGTGGCGTGCGCCTGTAGTCCCAGCTACTCAGGAGGCTGAGGCAGGAGAATCACTTGAACCTGGGAAGTGGAGGTTGCAGTGAGCCAAGATTGCACCACTGCACTCCAGCCTGGGCTACAGAGGGAGACTCCGTCTCAAAAAAAAAAAAAAAAAAAAAAAAAAAAAAGTAAAGAAGAGACCGGGCGCAGTGGCTCACGCCTGTAATCCCAGCACAGGGAAGAAGGTAGAAGGGAGTTTTAAATAAAAGTAAAGAAGAGGCTGGGTGCAGTGGTTCACGCCTGTAATATGAGCACAAGGAAGAAGGTAGAAGGGAGTTTTAAATTAAAGAAGAGGCCGGGTGCAGTGTCTCACGCCTGTAATCCCAGCACTTTGGGAGGCTGAGGCGGCGTCAGGAGTTCGAGACCAGCCTAACCAATGTGGCGAAACCCTGTCTCTATGAAAAATGCAAAAATTAGCCAGGCATGGTGGCACATGCCTGTAATCCCAGCTACTCTAGAGACTGATGCAGGAGAATTGCTTGAACCTGGGAGGTGGAGGTTGCAGTGAGTGGAGATCACACCAGTGAACTCTAGCCTGAGTGACAGAGTGAGACTCCATCTCAAAAAAAAAAAAAAAGGAAAAGTAGAGAAAGGGTGGTAGAGATGACCTAAAGCGGTAGCAATTTGGAGTGGCCTGATGCCTGTCAGGTGTTCCAGGCATACTTCTAACGACAGCATCTGGTCTCAGGATGAGAGGGTGGGAGCAGTGTGGGTGCCTGGCCAGGGGGCTGTTGTCTTAGAGGAATAGGGGGTGACGGAGTAGGGTTCTGAGGGTGGTGCACACTGACAGCAGAGTGAGGAAGATCAACCATATGTTAGAACGATTTTTATTCAAAATGTAAAAACAAAAACATAAAAAGCTTGGGGGTTAGGTCAGTTATTTTAGAAAGTACTCAGAAGCTGAAACTGTTATATCTCTCATTTTAATATGAAATACATCATTAAGATTTATGGATAACTGAGATTTTAAATGCACACTGCTTACGAGTTTGTCATAAGAGGCCAATTTGAGTTAAATCCATGGAATGCTATAAATGCAATAAGTTTTGTTGGAACTCGGCATCCAGTAGACATTTTGTATAAATCAATGTAGGGTCTCTAGGTGGGGAATAAAAGACCTTTGCCATTAAGATTTAGCTGGTTAGCCTGATTGCTGGGCCTGATCGGGGAAGAAGAGCCATTTTTAAGATAGCTTATCTGGTGCCAAGTCATGACAGACCAGGCCTGAATACAGTCATGGAATAGCAGGATTATGGAGTGATGGGTAGGGCATTGAATAAAGAGATGGCCGTGGTCCTAAGTTATTGGCAGGCCCTTGTCCTAGTAGCTACAGGAAACATTGTCTTATTTATTCCGCACAACTGTGAGATAGGCTTTCTTATTTTTGGGGTGGTAAACAGCTATTATTCTATTTAGAATATTTATGTAAAGCCTTAAACTGATTTTGAAACTAGTCTCTACTTAAGGCAAACAAAGCTGCTCATTTTCTGATCATTGTGCAATCAGTTTTTGTTTAATTTTGATAGTTTAAAGTTCTTGGTAGCAGAAAGGGTGAATAATTAAAGCAAACAGTGGTCATATTTTTATGTGTGAGGTGGCTGTGTGGGTAAACTGCCTTGGAATTCTACATATGCACCCCCTGTGTATAGTGAACTCTTACAGTGACCTACCCTCTGTCTTCTTAGGGGGCAGAAACAGGTAGCTGAAAAGTACTGTTCTAGATCTTAGATTTGATAACAGTTAAACGCAGGCAGCTTTGTGCATATTTTGGTATGTGTGTTTGTGCATGAGTGGCAGAGAATACCTATTCTGACTTGGGAGGCATTAGGAATGTCTGCTGCTAAAAACCTCAAGTCCTTCTTTTAGCTGTCTTTAAAAAAAATGCAGCTGGGGCTGGGCACGGTGGCTCATGCCTGTAATCCCAGCACTTTGGGAGGCAGAGATGGGTGGATCACGAGGTCAGGAGCTCGAGACCAGCCTGACCAACATGGTGAAACCCTGTCTCTACTAAAAATACAAAAATTAGCCAGGCGTGGTGGCGCACACCTGTAATCCCATCTACTTGGGAGGCTGAGGCAGGAGAATCAATTGAACCCGGGAGGTGAAGGTTGCAGTGAGCAGAGATCGCACCATTGCACTACAGCCTGTGCAACAGAGTGAGACTCCATCTTAAAAAAAAAAAAAAATTAGCTATCCCCCAGAAGGCCATCCCATGAAGAGGCGGTCATTCATTTGATCACATGTTTCTTTGATCACTGGTCCCCTAATGGATTTGATGACCTCTGTGGCTGCAGAGACCCCTGCACAATGGAGGTGTGTGGAGACGTGTGCATATGTGCAGGTGTGGGTATGCTGTTCCAGCAGGGTCCACAGTCTCCTGCAGCCTAGCTGGGGCTCCTTTCAGTTAAAAGCCCTTATCTAAGGATGCATTAATTAAGGACTGTCTCTTTTTAAAAAATAGAGACAGTCTCGCTATATTGCCCAGACTGGTCTCAAACTACTGGCCTCAAGCAGTTCTTCTGCCTCCACCTTCCAAAGTGCTGGCATTACAGACATGAGCCACCATGCCCAGCCAGGATGCATTAATTTGATAGACCTCGTTCTGAACAACAGATACTCTGGGGACCAGAAATTTGAATGAACTTGAAGGCATGATGGACCAAAGGTGTTATTTGAGGCCTGGGACACTGCCCAGAAAGGGCTGACTTTGAGCAGAAGGAAAGCAAGCGAAGTGGGGGCAGTGGAGGCCACCACGTCCTGGCAGGAAGGTGTCAGGGTGGAAGGTGCTTCCACAGAGCGAAGGGAACTGGCTCCCTGTACAAAGGTGTGCCCCTAGGTAGAGCAAGAGTCTAGACCGCCATTGGGTTTCAAAATTATGCTCAGTGTGGAAACTAAACCATGTTGTTGTTTTTAAACAATTTTCCAGTCATACTTTAATTTGAATTACTGTTTTAAGTTTGTGTCTGAACCAAATTAATTCTGTGTTATATCACTGTTTGGAAGAAGAGACTTACCGAAATAATTATTATTTTTTGAGTTTGTTAACGTGCAGAGTCTTGCTTCTTAAGATAACTCTTTTTCTGGAAAATTCTTAATTCATAAGTAAAGCAACAACATTTTTCTTTTTTTTTTTTTGAGACGGAGCCTCCCTCTGTTGCCCAGGCTGAAGTGCAGTGGTGCAATCTCGGATCACTGCAACCTCTGCCTCCTGGGTTCAAGCGATTCTCCTGCCTCAGCCTCCCTTGTAGCTGGGATTACAGGCGTGCGCCATCAAGCCCGGCTAATTTTTGTATTTTTCGCAGAGGGGGTATCACTATGTTGGCCAGGCTGGTCTCAAACTCCTGACCTCTGGTGATCCACCCACCCTGGGCTCCCAGAGTGTTGGAATTACAGGCATGAGCCACTGTGCCCGGCCTCGACATCATTTTTCAATTTTAAATGTATAGTCCGTATCTCCTAGGGTTTTATCTATCAATTTCAGTTAATTCCTTCTCATTTTTGGGCAACATATTAAGTAGTTTCAACATAGAGGCTGTGAAAATTGTTTTATCATCCTGAGATAGCTTTTTAATTTTGCATTTCAGAAATTAAGTTGAGCTCTTTTATTAATGTACTCAGCCTTTAGGTTAAAACACTTGTAACTGTGTTCTGAAAACCCAATTTTCAACAGACATTTTATTTGTCTCTTCCTAACCTCGAAGCTGTTTCTTACCATACTACACAGTTTTCCAAGGGAATTGTATATCAATTGCTAGGGTCCCAACAATCATTTTATTTTATTTATTTTTATTTATTTATTTTTTTTTTAGGCAGAGTCTCACTCTTTCACCCAGGCTGGAGTGCAGTGGCGCGATCTCAGCTCACTGCAAGCTCGGCCTCCCAGGTTCACGCCTTTCTCCTGTGTCAGCCTCCCGAGTAGCTGGGGCTACAGGCGCCCACCACCACGCCCGGCTGATTTTTTCTGTGTGTCTTTAGTAGAGACAGGGTTTCACCGTGTTAGCCAGGATGGTCTTGATCTCCTGACTTCGTGTTCCACCCGCCTTGGCCTCCTGCCTCCCAAAGTGCTGGGACTACAGGCGTGAGCCCCTCCGCCCGGCCCCAGCAATCATTTGATTTGGGCCTGGGAAGTCATAAAACATTTGCTGTTAGTTTTAGTGTAGAAATTTTGGAAGTATGGTCTTTGAACAGGATGTGAATATAGTTAAGAATAAATAGAATAAAAATTATGCATATCTTTTTCTTAGTAGACTCACTTTTTATGTATGAAGTTGCAGTCTTTTGAATTGCATTGTATTTCTTGAAGCCGGAATTTGCCTTTTCTCAAGGTTCTGCGGAATAATGTTTGCAGCTGTTGCTGACTTCCTCCACCCTGTCTCTGTGCCCCTCCCATGTGGGCTTCACCTACCTCCTGTCTTTTGGAATCTCCAGGTCCTTGCTACAAGGCAGATTCAACTTTCAGCCAGGAGACTTTTGGCAGAAATGGGAACTGCAGGCTGTTTTCTCAAAACAAAGATTTCAAGGTCTATAGAACATTTCAAGTGCCTGTGTTTATCACACAAACTCTTGAGAACAAGGGGCTTTCTTGAGCTACTTGGTTCTTCAGCTTACCCTGTACTCTACTCCCAAGTTTCTGAAGTCTAATATTTTTGGATCAAATTTGATACAAATAGCTGTGTGTAACATATTTCTGGTCTTCACATAGCAAAGTATATTACGTATTTATGTCCAAATTATAACACTTGAAGTATATTTATTTTTAAAAATTGTAGAGATTTAGGGCATCTTTATTTTACGGCATTTTTGACAAGTTTTGTGATTATTCTGTGATATGTTATTTGTCATATATAGTCTTATTTGAAAATACTTTTAAGTTAAAAGCACTTTACCTGGGTGGGTTTATAGAAGCTCTTTGTAAAAATTGAGGATTGTCTGAGGCATTGCAGTCTTGTCTTCCTGAACCTCCTAAGCCATGTCTATATATGAGAGAGCAAAGGTTTTATTTTTAAGAGACAGGGTCTTGCTCTGTGGCCCAGACTGGGGTGCAGTGGTGGGATCATCGGTCACTACGCCCCGAAACTCTTGGACTCAAGAGATCCTTCCACCTCAGCCTCCCGAATAGGTAGGACTACAAATACGTGCCGCCATGCCTAGCTAATTTTTTAGTAGAGATGGGGTCTCACTGTGTTGCTCAGGCTGGTCTTGAACTCCAGACCTCAGGCAATTCTCCTGCCTTGTCTTCCCCAAGTGCTGAAATAAAAGGCACGAGCCACTGTGCGTGGCAGTTTTTCTTTTTTACTTAATCTTGTTTTGCAGCAGTTTTGAGACATTGAGTTTGTGAATTAGCATTTAAAGGCTTTAATATTTCTACTAGAGTTTTGTTTACTGAGTGGTTTAAGATACTGGAGTTTTGTTTACTGAGTGATTTAAGAAACAATGTGGATTATTGATGAAATCTTAAAGTGATTTGGAGGTGAAATGCGTCAGTGGTTTGTAGTGACTTTGAAACACTATACAGTAGGTTCACATGGTTTAAGAAGCATCATTATGGCTTTTGTGTGTTTTGGTGTGTGTGGCTGTGAAGCCTCAGGAATTTAGTTTAAGCTTCTGAAAAGCCCACCAATATGTATTTAGAATTCTGTTGTCCCATATCTTAGTCATCTCAATGTTTCTCATTTCTAACTTTAAAACATGTCAATTAAAAAAATTCAGTATATCATTAATTTCGTCTAAAATGTCACATAAATCTCTGACATAATTTGGTTTTTAAACAATAACCAATAATTTGGTTTTATTTATGTGATGAGAATAACAACTGGTATTTATTGTCTATACTTATGCAATTTTATAGATGGAGTTTTAACATTGAATGCGGAGAACACTAATTATGCCTATCAAGTTCCAAACTTCCATAAATGTGAAATCTGTCTACTATCTTTTCCAAAAGAATCCCAGTTTCAACGCCACATGAGGGATCACGAGCGAAATGACAAGGTATGTATTTTCAAAGGTGATGTCAGGAATGTGAGCGTTGAAACTGGAGGTATTGTAAAAATGAACAAGTAAAATCAAAACTTTTAATTTAGGTTCCTAAATAGTAGAACATTTTATATTCTACAAATAAATATTTTGGCCTTTTTAAAAGTTGTAGTTGTATTCCTAGCTATTATTTGATAAGGCGAGAGAGTGAGAGCTTGTCCTGGTGAATTTGTATATTGAAGTTACTTATTTGTGGACAAATAATTGTTTAAAAAATATGACTTTTTAAAAGTAGTTTCAATTTCCTGTATGACTGAACACAGAAGTGGTGTGTTTTGAAGTATTTTTCTCCAGTGGGGAGTTTTATCTTTAAGTGATCTTGCATTTAAAAATGGTATTCTAGATGTTTTAGGTTGTGTTTCAGGAGGGAGCAAATATTACATACTATCTTAAATAGAAATTTGCACTCTTTTTTGCAGTACCTCTTGTGGGATCTGTCAAGAATTTTAGTGCCTTAATGGAATGATTTTCCTGATAGATGGAAAGTGACAGTTAAAACTATAATTAAAAAAGTGATTGTCAACTTTTCTCTAGGTAGGAGCATGTAAGCTAGTGAGCCATTTGAGACTGGAAAAACACCATGGACCTCCTTTAGAGAACAGGATGTGACCATCTCAGGCTTGACTTTCAGCACAAATGGTGCTGCTGTAGCTATGATAATATAATATAAATATAATATACCAGTATGCACCAGTATTATTTTCTCAGGTTCGACAATCTGAAGATACTGACTTATTCCTCATTAGGATCTTGTTACTTCAGAGATAAATACCAGTGATTATCTTTTTACAAGTGAATAGCAGAATACCTTCCATTATGGGAAAATCTTAGACCTAGATAAGCAAACTCTGTTAAAATCTAGTAAAATTTTTTATGATTATTTTACCTGAAGTGTTTTTGTTTTTTTTTTGAGATGGAGTTTCACTCTGTTGCCCAGCCTGGAGAGTGGCACCATCTTGGCTCACTGCAACCTCCTTCTCCCAGGTTCAAGCGAATCTCATGCCTCAGCTTCCCGAGTAGCTGGGATTACAGGCATGCACCACCATGCCTGGCTCATTTTTATGGTTTTAGTAGAGATGGGCTTTCGCCATGTTGGCCAGGCTGGTCTCGAACTCCTGACCTCAGGGTGATCCGCCTGCCTCAGCCTCCCAAAGTGCTGGGATTACAGGTGTGAGCCACCACCCCCGGCCTGCTTGAAGTGATTTTGTTTATAATGATGGATTTGGTCAGAAATAGAAGGGAAAAATCCAACTTAATGAGTTGAAATTTTTCAGAGACTACAATCCAATGAATTTATACGCAGCTTTTTCTTTCTTTTTTTTTTTTTAAAAAAAAGCTTCATCATAAACTCTATTATTTCAATGAATAGAAGAGTTTGACAGAAAATGTTTGGAAGAAAACATTGAGAATACATTATTAGAATATGTTTCTTTCTCTATGTGTTCATTTTACAGCGGTACCCATACACACTTACAAACGGCAAATGTAAGCATGCATACTTAGACGTTCAACACAAACCCATGTCATGCAAACACATGGAGAAAGAAACCTTTTTTTTTTTTTTTTTTTTGAGACAGAGTCTCGCCCTCTTGCCCAGGCTGGAATGCAGTAGTGCAATCTTGGCTCATTGCAACTTTGGCCTCCCAGGTTCAAGTGATTCTCTTGCCTCGGCCTCCCAAAGTGCTGGGATTACAGGCGTGAGCCACCGTGCCTGGGCACAGAAATATGTTTTAATAACATGTTTTAAAGGTTATCTTTGAAAGGTGTTTCATTGTCAAACACTTATACTCACTGAAAGAAAACAGCTTATATACAGCATTTCTTATTAGAAATATTTCTTTTGTGTATGTATGTGTTTTCATCCTTATAATCCTTTCAGTAATTCTGTCAGGTGCTTTACTGTGTTTATTTTGGATTTATTGACTTAAGAGCCAGAGGAGACTTCAGAAGTTTCTGTAGATTGTCTGTACATTATGGTACTTGTTAATATTTTCATTTATTGAACAAGCATCTGTGAAAAGATTGTATTTCAGTGGCTTCTTCACTTTTCTCTCCAAATAGCCACATCGATGTGACCAGTGCCCCCAAACATTTAATGTTGAATTCAACCTGACACTTCATAAATGCACCCACAGCGGGGAAGATCCTACCTGCCCTGTGTGTAACAAGAAATTCTCCAGAGTGGCTAGTCTCAAAGCGCATATTATGCTACATGAAAAGGAAGAGGTAATCATCATCATTTTGCATATACTTTGTTAACTGATTGTTAAAATACATCTGATCATGAGTCAGGAGGATTTTAGATATAAACTTGTTTTGAAAGCCTTTTGTGTAGATTTCAAGGAGTGAATTGTCATTAGATTTGCCTTGACACCAGTTGACTGATAAGACATTTTATTTTCTGGCCCTGTCAATGCCTTAGGGTAGAGACATTTTAATGTGTAGTATATTTGAAGGATCAAAGTATATCCACATTGGCTGGCAGAGGCTCCTCCTGGCGCCTCACCCTCCTCTTTGTAAACAGAAACTAACATTTATACGATTCTGCCATGGCCAAAAGTAACTTTTCTGCTTTGAAGATGGTAGAATCTCCTTGCTTGCTCCTGGGTCCTCTGACTGTGAGAATCTGAGGGAAGAGAATCATTTCATGATGGCCCAAAGCAGCTTATACACCAAAGTGACCACTCCTGGGAGCTCCACAGGCCCAATGTCTGGGACAGCTTTGAGGATGACAGGCCACAGTGCTGGGTTGGGGGCTGAATCTAAGGTGCCAATGGCTATTGCTTAAAAAATATGCTCCTCCTTCGTCAGGTGCAGTGGCTCATGCCTGTTATCCCAGTGTTTGGGAAGCTGAGATAGGAAAATTGCTTGAGGCCAGGAGTTTGAAACCAGCCTGGACAACATAGTGAGACCCCATCTCTACCAAAAAAAAAAAAGAAAAAGAAAACCTTCTCTGAACTCCCCCTTTGCATTATTACTGTAGAAAATTAGGAAGATACAAAAAGTTAAAGGAGAAAGTCATCTCTAATTCTGAGATAATTACTGATAACTATTTGGTATATTTTCTTCCGGAGACAGAAAAACACAGTATTGAAATTGCATATTCAGACGATCCCTGACTGAAGATGGTTTAGACTTAATGTTTTTTGATTTTACAGTGGTGTGAAAGCAAACACATTTCTTAGAAACCTTACTTCTCTTGTGATGTTAGGCAGAGGCAATGAACTGCAACTCCCTGTCAGCCACACGCTTTTGGCTTGTGATATTTCCAATTCACCATGGGTTTATCAGGATGTAATCCCATTGTAAATCAGGGAGCACCTTTATAAAATTTACATTGTGAAAGCTGACTTCACACTTTCTGTTTTTTGTTTTTTTTTTTGAGATGGAGTTTCGCTTTTGTTGCCCAGGCTGGAGTGCAATGGCGCCATCTTAACTCACTTCAACCTCTGCCTCCTGGGTTCAAGAGATTCTCGTGCCATAGCCTCCCGAATAGCTGGGATTACAGGTGCCTGCCACCATGCCTGGCTAATTTTTGTATTTTTAGTAGAGATAGGGTTTCACCATGTTGGCCAAGCTGGTCTTGAACTCCTGACCTCAAGTGATCCACCTGCCATGGCCTCCCAAAATGCTGGCATTACAGGTGTGAGCCACCGCGCCTGGCCTGACTTCATATTTTCTACGTGATTTTGGATCCTGTTTTTATCAATGTCTTTACTATTTTAAAGTAATTTATTTTTATCTCAACATCTTATAATACAAGTAATGCATATTTATTTTGGAAAAAAATTAGTTATAAAGGTAACATTAAAACCACCCATAGTGGACTTTAACAAAGCTGAACACATAGAAACAGCAAAGTGGTGGTTACCAGAGGCTGGGGGATAGGGGGATTGGGGAGCTGTTGGTCAAAGGCCACAGTATTTCAGTTAGACGGGAGGAGTAAGTTCAAGAGATCTGTTGTACATCATGGGGACTAAGTTAATAAGAATACATTGTATGTTTGAAAATTGCTGGCTCGGCATGGTGGCTCATGTCTGTAATCCCAGCACTTTGGGAGGTCAAGGCGGGCAGATCACTTGAGGTCAGGAGTTCAAGACCAGCCTGGCCAACATGGTGAAACCCTGTCTCTATTAAAAATACAAAAATTAGCCAGGCATGGTGGCAGGCCCTATAATCCCAGCTACTCCGGAGGCTAAGGCGGGAGAATCACTTGAACCCAGGAGGTGGAGGTTGCAATGAGCTGAGATCATGCTATTGCACTCCAGCCTGGGCAACAGAGCAAGACTCTGTCTTTAAAAAAAAAAAAAGAAAAGAAAAGAAAAAGAAAATTGCTGTGAGAGTAGATTTTAAGTGTTCTCTCCATAAGAAATATATATGTGAGATAACGCATGCAAAACAGGTTGATTTAGCCATTCCTCAGCATATACCAAAACATCATGTGGTACACCATAAATATGTACAGTTTTACTTATCAATTTAAAAATCAATTAGTTAAAAAAATTATAAGAAAGAAAACATACTATGTGGAGAGAATGCATTTGTGGTATTTCAAACTTTTTTCTATACATGCTTTTCTTAATAGTTTATGTTTAAAATAGTTTTTTAAATACAAAAATAGGATTATGTCATTATACAGACTACTTTTGTAACCTACCTTTTTCCATAATATATTGTAAATACCTGCTCCCTCTTTTCACTCATCATCAAAGTTATCACTCATTATCAAATATTAATATTTTAAATTATTAAAATCTGCAGTATCTCGGGTGGGTGTGGCAGCTCATGCTTGTAATCCGAGCACTTTGGGAGACCGAGGCACTTGAGCTCAGGAGTTTGAGACTAGCCTGGGCAACATAGACTGTCACTACAAAAAAAAAAAAGTCTTTGGCATCTGGATTTAGCATAGTAAAATTTAATAGTTTTCATCATTGTTTAACATTTACATTGTTTATATTTTTAAATATTGTAAGTAATATATCTTTGCATATGAATCTTCTTATGCATCTTTAATTATTTCCTTAGGATGGATTCCTACAGTTAGATTAATTGAATTAACAAATAAGACTTTTTTCCCCCAAGTTCTTTATAGAATGCCATATGACATTCTAGAAAGTACATGCCAATTTAACACCTTCTCTTGCAGAGTTTAGGAATGCCTGTGTCACTTATCAATAGTGCTATTCAAAAATGGCTATAGTTATATTTATATTTTTATTTATTTTTGGAGGGAGAAGAGTCATGTTCTGTCCCCCAGGTTGTAGTACAGTGGCATGATCTCAGCTCAGTGCAGCCTCTGCCTCCCAGGTTCAAGTGATTCTCCTGCCTCAGCCTCCCAAGTAGCTGGGATTACAGGCGCCCCACCATATCCAGCTAATTTTTATATTTTTAGTAGAGACGGGGTTTCGCCATGTTGGCCAGGCTAGTCTTGAACTCCTGACCTCGAGTGATCTGCCCACCTCAGCCTCCCAGAGTGCTGGGATTACAGGTATGATCCACTGTGCCTGGCCAGTTCAATTTCTTAAAAGCCGAAAATGTATTAAATAATGGTGTATTAATATATTTTGGAATAAATCCTAGGTGCACACGGTAAGAAATCAAACAATAGAGAAGGCTATAGAGAGCAAAAAGTTACGTCTCCTTTGGGTTCCTAAGTTCCAGTTTTGCTCCTCAGAAACAACTTTCATTAGCAGTTTCTTCTGTATCCTTCCAGGGACATTCTATGCCTATACACATCTCCTCTGTACCCTTATTAGTCAACCCATAATATTCTGTGCCTTTTCATCAGTTAACTATGTGTCTTAAGTGTAATTCCACATCTGTTAATCAGAGAGCTGTCACTTTCTTTTTAACAGGTGCATGGTATTATATTGTTTAAATGTGTATCATAATTAGGAAGTCACTGCTGTTAGGCATATAGGTTGTTTCCAGCCTTTTCCAGACAAAGCTATGGTGATCAAATATTTTTGTCGATGTTTGAGTTCTCAAGATGGGCAGTGTGGTATCCCAGAGGAC
Source organism: Homo sapiens (assembly GCF_000001405.40). NCBI lineage: Eukaryota > Metazoa > Chordata > Mammalia > Primates > Hominidae > Homo > Homo sapiens. The sequence continues at coordinate 76,855,729 of NC_000018.10, forward strand.
ATTTGGTTATCACTGTTGTGGGGCTGGGCGTGGGTGGGGTGCTTCTGTTATCTTGTGAGTAGAGGATGCTGCCGAACACCCTGCAGTGCCCAGCACAGCCTCCATTGCTACGAGTGACCTGGCCCAGAACATCAGTAGTGTGAGGTTGAGGAAACCCTGGGTTAATAGAAATGTGAGATATATTCCTGCAAATGGAGTTGTTAGGTCAAAGGATATGTGAATTCAAAATTTTGATATTGTCAAATTGTTTTCCAAAGAGATTTTGTCAGTTTATCCTCCAGCCAATAAATGGTGTGTAAGATTGCTCATTTCTTCATACCATTTTCTTTCTCTTTAAAAAAATTATTACTTAAAAAAAAATAGAAATCAGGTCTCACCATGTTGCCCAGGCTGCTCTTGAACTCCTGGTCTCAAGTAGTGGTTGGATTATAGGCGTGAGCCACTGTGCCCAGCCCATTTTCTTTTCTTTTTTTTTTTTTGAGACAGAGTTTTGCTCTGTTGCCCAGGCTAGAGGCACAATCTCAACCCACTGCAACCTCTGCCTCCCGAGTTCAAGCGATTCTCCTGCCTCAGCCTCCTGAGTAGCTGGAATTGTAGGCACCTGCCACCACGCCTGGCTCATTTTTGTATTTTTAGTAGAGTTGGGGCTTTGCCATGTTGGCCAGGCTGGTCTCAAACTCCTCACCTCAGGTGATCCACCCGCCTTGGCCTCCCAAAGTGCTGAGATTACAGGCATGAGCCGCTGCACCTGGCCAGCCATCCCATTTTCAATACTCTGTTGTAAAAGTTGTCTCCTCCAATCTGGTAATTTAAAGATAGTATGTTTTTGTTTTAATTTATATTTCTTTAATTATGAGTGAAGTTTAGCATCTTTCCATGTTTATTAGCCATGAATAATATTTTTATTTTAATTAAGTAATTTTTTTTTGCAAGGTGGATGTGTGGGGATTATTGGTCTTATTCTTGCAAACTTGTGTAAAGTATTTACATTCCTGGAAAGTTAGGTTTTTCTGCCTTGTGTGACAAAATTATTTCTTGGTTTCTGGTTTCATTATTTTTCTCTTCCTGGCAGAAATTTTTAAATTGTCATGGACTCAAATTTTCAGTCTGTTCATTTATGGATTCTGGTTCTTATGGCTTGATTAGAAATGCTTCCCAATTCTAAAATTATTTTCTAAAATATTCCACACGTCTGGAACATCCCACACTGATCTGCCTGGTACAGATCCTCATACATGCAGAGCAGAACTCGCATGGAAGGGATGCATCCACACTGATGCTGCAGTGTAGCCCATCCCCGCAGGGCCTCCCTGCCTCCCCCTAGTTCCCACGTGGACCACTTCTCTCGCAGGGCTTCCCCATGTCCCCCCAGTTCCTATGTGGGCTCCTTCTCTCGCAGGGCCTCCCCGCCTCCCCATAATTCCTATGTGGGGTCCTTCTCTCGCAGGGCCTTCCCCCAGTTCCTGTGTGTGCTCCTTCTCTCCCAGGACCCAGCGCCTGGCAGCACCAGCATTATTACTCACTCTCTCATCCTGAATGCTCTGAAGGAGCCGTCTGCTCAGCCAGGACCCCCATGGTCTTCCTGTCCAACAGCCCTCAGGGTTCCACATTTCTCAAGCCAGCCCCCCGACCCTACTTCAGATGGCAGGCACAATTAGATATGGTCTTCCTCCTCTGCCGTGGTTTTGTGAAGTCAGCAGGGTCACCTACTTCACTTTGCTGCCATGTGGGACCTCTCCCTTCCCATTCTTATGATTCCAGGCCTTCAGTTAACCACCCTCCTTCAGGTTACATTATCTGACACAAAAGACACAGTGCAAAGCAGAGGAGAGTAGAAGGCTCGGGGTTTAGTTTTTGAATATTTGGATATTAACCAACTGTTAAAAGTCAAAGTGACACAGGCAGGTACACTTGGAGGAGAGCCCATCTCCTGCACCCTTGCCCGCCCACTCACCTCGGCCTTTCCCGGGCTGCCTTCCTGCTCTTCTAGTGTGTCTCTGCTGTGTCTCTCTTTGTAATGAGAAGCAAATGTTTGTATGTTCTTATTTTCTTTTTCTGGCTTATCATAATGTGAAATTTAGAATTTTATATAGTTAATTATAGGCTGGTATTTTTATTGTTCTAAATATTTAGATTCAGGGGAGAACTGATCATGTTTATAATGTTGAATCTTTATGAGAACACGGAATGTGAAAACATCAGCGATGTTTGGTTACTATGGATTCAGTACACTTTTTACGTTTCTTAAGTATTTTAAGATTCTAATGATATTGTGTAGGGAGGTCTTTTGGCCATATGTTGTGTTACGTGCCTGTAGGAAAGCGATGCATTTGTGTGTGTTAGTTTTCCCTGCCATCCTCCCTGATTCTCTATGCAGCCTCATCTACACATAATAATCGGGTAGTAAGTTTTTGGTTCTGTGTTGTTGCAACTAGCATATGCGCAGTTTTTAAAAAAAAATCACCCTTATATCATTTATTCGTTTTCATAGTATGTAGCGATGGCATATTCACTTAACTTTTTATTTTGAAAAATTCCAATCCTAAGTGAAGATTTGAAATAATAGTACAATGGATATTTGTATAACCTTTTCCTGGACTCACCAATTGATAAATTTGCCAGATCTCACCTCCCCCCTTCTCCCTTTTTTGAACAATTTTCAAGTAATCTACAGATTTCACGTTATTTTACCACTAAATACTTCAGGATGTAGCCCCTAAAAACAAAGACACTTTTCTTCATTTCACAAAACAGTGATCACAGTTTAACATTGCTGTAATATCCATTTTCAGAGGTCCCTATCTGGAGGGGAAAAGAGTGACATTTTACAAGGGGAGCAGTTAGTTTTGAACAGATGAGATACTTCTCTTTTGACCCTGGAAGAAGTGGAAGAGGGCTCAGGTGGAGGCGAGTGCAGGTGGAGGAGGAAGGGGGAAAGGGCTCAGCTGGAGGCGGGTGCAGGTGGAGGAGGAAGGGGGAGAGGGCTCAGCTGGAGGCAGGTGCAGGTGGAGGAGGAAGGGGGAGAGGGCTCAGCTGGAGGCGGGTGCAGGTGGAGGAGAAAGGGGGAGAGGGCTCAGGTGGAGGCAGGTGCAGGTGGAGGAGGAAGGGGGAGAGGGCTCAGCTGGAGGCGGGTGCAGGTGGAGGAGGAAGGGGGAGAGGGCTCAGCTGGAGGCGGGTGCAGGTGGAGGAGAAAGGGGGAGAGGGCTCAGGTGGAGGCGGGTGCAGGTGGAGGAGGAAGGGGGAGAGGGCTCAGGTGGAGGCGGGTGCAGGTGGAGGAGAAAGGGGGAGAGGGCTCAGGTGGAGGCAGGTGCAGGTGGAGGAGGAAGGGGGAGAGGGCTCAGCTGGAGGCGGGTGCAGGTGGAGGAGGAAGGGGGAGAGGGCTCAGCTGGAGGCGGGTGCAGGTGGAGGAGGAAGGGGGAGAGGGCTCAGGTGGAGGCGGGTGCAGGTGGAGGAGGAAGGGGGAGAGGGCTCAGCTGGAGGCAGGTGCAGGTGGAGGAGAAAGGGGGAGAGGGCTCAGGTGGAGGCGGGTGCAGGTGGAGGAGGAAGGGGGAGAGGACTCAGGTGGAGGTGGAAGTGGAGCAGCTCCTGGTATGTCTTGCACGTGTTCCCAGCTTTCCTCAGACTGTGCTTTCTTAGTGTCTCATGAAGTTTTTTATAGACTTTCAGGCAGAACCCAAGGGTCTGCGTATTAACCAGTTAGATCTGTATGATCTAGTAAGTATTTCTGTCTTAATAACTTAATAGTTATTTGAAAGACCAACCCGGGTGTGTTGGGTACTGCACAGCGTCTGTATCCTTGCATTTCCTATTTACAATCATTCGTACATTGATTTTGGAGTTTTCTCTTCCACGTGGTTCTTCACTTCATCTTTGATCTTTAACCACAGCAACCGTGGAAACTTAGCTTCACAAAGACATGATGTTATTGAAACTGAAGTACCTCAATCTAGTTTCTGGGTGTTATTGGTCAAGTGTGGAGCACCGCTGTTTCCCTTGAACATGTGACCTATTCCTGGGCCTCCTCATAAGCTTGTTATGGTGCACTGCAGTGCCTCAGTTCATGGGCTGGGGCTGAGGCCTTAGAGCCCACATTTCTCTGGGAAATGGAAACATTACTCTGTCTTCACCAAAAACATGGGGTGGCCTGAGGCATCTAGAGATCTGCATGGGGTGCCTATTTTGGGAAATGAGAGCAGAGCCTGAGTGGGGCACATCTGTGGGTAGCCCTGGGAGCTGAGAGCCCATCTGGTTGTGGAGTCTGGGCTGGGCGGGGGTATGGTCTGCTTTCCACCGCTCAGCCGCTGGGAGGAGTGGAGATGGTGGTTTGCCTGGAGGTGGGGGCTTCTGAAGCATGTGCTGTGGAATAACAAAGGAGTCAGGGCCATGGGAATGTTGGCGGGAGAGCTGAAATGTTGAGCCGTGTGGTCTAGGCAGAGAGGTGAAACTTGAGGGGTGTGCGTGAACCCTCTGTTAGGATGACACAGGTAAAGGTGGTTGAAGATGTCTGTGCATGCCACATGTTCTGGGTGGCCCAACCCGAGGACGACATGAAGGGCAAAGATTACCTCTAAGGCTACACCCATCTACAGGGGTCACCAGCACAGTGAGCTTTACCGTTTTCCATTCTGAAGTTCCTTCAGATGTGCCTTTTAATACTTCACTGTGATTTCCTCCATCACTGGAAAGAGAAACAACTGTTAGCTGTCATTCGCAGATGTTCTAAAGTATTTATACCTTATTTTGAAAACCTTCCCTTCGTCCTGTTTTCTCTTCCACAGATGGGCCAGGTTCTTTCCAGATCACTTCCCACAGTGGTGCTCACATTCTTTGCTGTTTGCTTCAGTCCCTGCCTCTGCTGTTGTGTGGTTTTGTTATGCCGTGGTCTCCTGGGTAGGACCACATCATCTGAACTTTGTGCAGCCTACTCTCATCCAAACCCTCAGTTCTGTTTGTAAAACTCCAGCTCCCTTCGTCTCTTGCTGTTGTGGTTGTAAGAACTTACACATTCCTTCGCTTCTGACTCCTTTTTAAATTTTTTTGAAAAGTCTTTTGAGAAATATGTGTTTTCTGAAATCGCTTGACTTTACATTTCTATTACTACTCACCCCTGCTTCTGGTTTCTCCCTTCAGCACACAGCAGGCTGTCTTTGATTAATAACTGCTAACAGGAGAAGAAAGCGGGGAAGAGTCATGGAAGAGGCTTTGCTGAAGTCTGGCGTGAAGCTGGTGAGGGAGCTGTGAGGATGCTTCACAGCTTCCTTGGCACTGTGTGTCTGTGCTGCCGGAGGAAGGGTTCTGGAAGTTGGGCTGTCACATTCAGCCACCTGAACTTAGCACCCTCATACTGAGCTCAAGATTTACATGAGCAGAGGGGAAAAAGGCCTCATTGTGCTTGTTCTGTAATAACGTGTTGGCAATATGTTGGCTCTCTTTTTTCCAACTGTTGTGTTGATGCTTAGGTCAGAGTTTGTGACTGTGCCTCCCTCACCTGGCAGGCTGGCGTATGTGGTACAGAGCTGGTAGGGCAGCCGTGCCCTCAGGTTTGTCCAACATCTTCATTTGTTATCTCTGAGTTCTTTGCTTCTGAACCATGGTTTACAGTGAGAACGGGAGGAGGAAGGTGCACTGCTTCTCTTTAAAGGCGTTATCTGGAAGATGCATTTCAGTCCTGCTCACATTCAGTTGGGTAGAACGTAGTCATCAGGCCAGTGATCTAGTGGTTGGGCGGCTGCGAAATAGTGTTGAGTTGATTAGCTGTATGCTCAGCCAGTAAGTCTATTATTGCATAAGAAAGGAAGAATCAGTATTGGAGCACAATTAAAAGTCTTTTCCCTGTATGTCAAAATAATACATTCCTTGCTGCCTTTGCATTTTGTGTTTGATTTTTCAGTTAATTGATTTGAATATGGCATATTAATAGTAACTAGAGGGATAATTTCTTACCTTTAATTGTATTTAAAAATAACCTCTAAGGTTCCAGCCACAGTGGAGCAGCTTCCTTCTCCTAGGGGTCCCCCGTATCACTATTGTTAGAGATAACCAGCCAACAGGCACAGAAGGACTCTGAAAGGCATCAGAGGTGGCGGACGGTTGGAGGGACTTGAGGAATAATGTGGCCGTCAGCTCCCATTATTTCTTTTTTCTTTTCTTTTTGAGACAGAGTTTCGCTCTTGTCGCCCGGGCTGGAGTGCAGTGGTGCGATCCAGCTCACTGCAAGCTCCACCTCCTGGGTTCAAGCCATTCTCCTGCCTCAGCCTCCCGAGTAGCTGGGACGACAGGCGCCCGTCACCACGCCCGGCTAGTTTTTTGTATTTTTAGTAGAGATGGGATTTCACTGTGTTAGCCAGGATGGTCTCAATCTCCTGACCTAGTGATCCGTCTGCCTCAGCCTCCCAAAATGCTGGGATTACAGGCGTGAGCCACCCTGCCCGGCCTGGGTTTCTTTTTTTCTTCCCAGACACCTGGACACGGTTTTGAAGAAGCCTGCAGCCTTCTGCCAACAAGCGGAGAAGAAAAACACTCCAAGAAAAGCTGGTTTCCCTTAGCCAGTACTGGGAAAAGGTTGGTCCAACAGAACAGAAAATCTTTTTATGGTATTTACTCAATTCCAATGAAATGCCAACTGAAAAGCTGCTCAGCGGAGCCGAGTACAGCATTGAACTTCTATCCCATTCTGCCCCCGTCCCTTGGGAGCTGGCAGCACTTCGATTTCCCCGGTGCTTGGGCCCAAGCAGGGAGCTAACCTTGCATCCAGGAGGGGGATTCTCCTGGCAGAGGGAGGAGACACCCAGAATTCCCCTCCCAGCGTGTTGGCAGAGTCTATCTTTGGAAGCCCGGCTTCCATCCTCCCTTAGCAGAAGCAGGGAGTGTTCTGATTCTCCCTCCAGAGTGTGTCAGTGGGTCCACTAGGGAGTTGGGCCTCCCTCCCCATCAGTGATGAGACAGAACCATGCAAGACAGACAAGTCTGCACTGTGCTTTCCTCCCACTGCGGTCAGTGGGGCTCTGCGAAATGGGTCTCTGCTGCTGCTGGTCCTTACACTGCATCTGAACAGGGCAGCTGCTGCTCAAAGGAGAGCCCAAGAGCTGGTCCCACAGTTTAACACCCAAAGTGTCTAGGACACAGACACGAGCCAGCACAGTCCCTGCTGGAACAAGGAAAGAGCGGTATCAATATGAAGAGAGCCTGGACATTGGAATTACCTGACAAGTACTTTAAAGCAGCTGTCAAGAAAATGCTTTATGAGTTTTGAAACAAATGAAAAAACAGAAGAAAGAAATAGAAGAAATAACCAAAGGGAAATTATAGAACTGAAAAATCCCATGATTGAACTAAAGAACTCAGCAGAAGGGCTTACTGGTGGACCAGAGAGGACAGAGGAGAATCAGAGGAGAACCTGAAGATAGAGCAGCAGGAATGACTTAGGCTGAGCAACAGAGAAGAAATAGAAAAATTAACAGGGCCTCAGGGAACTTTGGGACAATAACAGAAAATTCTACATTTGCATCATGGTCATCACAAAGGATAGGAGAAAGAGTGTGGGGCTGGAAATGTATTTGAAGAAATAATGGCTGAAAACGACCCAGACTTGGTAAAAGTCATAACTCACAGATTGAAGAATTCCAAACAGGATAAACCCAAAGAAATACACACCAAGACATATCATAATGAAACGTTTGAAAACTAAACCTAAGAAAAAAATCTTGTGAGAGACTAGAGAGAAATGATCTGTTGTTTGCAGAAGAACACTGATTCAGGTGACAGCGAATTTCTCATCTGCCTCCATGGAAGCTAAAAGAAAATAGCACAAAAATTTTCAATTGCTGAAAGAAAAGAATTGTCAATTACAAATTATTCTTCTTCTTTTTTTTTTTTTTAAATTAGAGACGGAGTCTTGCTGTGTTGCCCAGGCTGGTCTCGAACTCATGGGCTCAAGCGATCCTCCCACCTCTGCCTCCAAAGTCCTGGGATTACACATGTGAGCAACCATGCCTGGCTACAAATTCTATATGTGGTAAATGTCCTTCAGGAACGAAGGAGAAATAAAGACATTCTTAGATGAAGGAAAACAAACTCTTGCTAGCAGACTTACCCTTAAAGAATCACTGAAAGATCTCCAAACAGAAAGGAAATGACACCAGAAGGAGGCTTGGAACTTCAGAAAAGAAAGAAGAATGGTGTGGTGGTTAATTTTCTGTGTGAACGTGGAGAGTGTTTTTGGATGAGATTAACATTTAAACCATTGAGTAAGCAGATTGCCCTCCATGATGTGGGTGAGCCTCCTTCAGTCAAAGACCTGAATAGAATGAAAAGACTGACTTCCCCAAGTGAGAGGGATTCTCCCGCAGACGGCCTTTGGTTGTCACTTACATTATCAGCTCTCCTAGGTCTCCATCTGCCAGCCCACGCTGCAGATTTGGGGCTTGTCAGCCTCCATAATCATGAGACAATTTCTTACAACAAATATCTTTTTTTTTTTTTTTTTTTTTAAGACAGAGTCTCACTTTGTTGCCGAGGCTGGAGTGCAGTGGCACTGTGTCGGCTCACTGCAACCTCCGTCTCCTGGATTCAAGCAATTCTTCTGCCTCAGCCTCCAGAGTAGCTGGGATTACAGGCATCCACCACCACACCCGGCTAGTTTTTATATTTTTAGTAGAGATGGCGTTTCACCTTGTTGGCCAGGCTGGTCTTGAACTCCTGACCTCAGGTGATCTGCCCGCCTCGGCCTCCCAAAGTTCTGGGATTACAGGCGTGAGCCACCGCACCTGGCCAACAAATATTTACACACACATACACACACACGCACATGTGTTTGTTCTGTTTCTCTGGAAAACCCTAACACAAAAAGAATAAGTAAGAATACAAAATTGGGGTGAATATAATACACTGTTCTTCTCCTTATGAATTCTTAAATCATAGTTGATGGTCGAAGCAGAAATTATCATCTAGTGTGCTCAGTGTACATGGAGGAAATACTCAGGACAGTGATATTTAAAGAGGGAAAACGGTACAAGACTCTGAATGGAAATAAGGTTTTCCGTACTTCTCTCAAGGTGGTAAAATGTCAATGCCAGTAGATTGTGATAAGTTCCGTATGTATAATCCTACCTAGCACAATCTCCAAGAATGCCATACAAAGCAATGTACTCGAAAATACTACTAATAAATCAAAATGAATTCTAAGAAATTCTAAAAAGTAATCCAGGAAGGGAAGAAGAGAAGCAGAGGAAAAGAAACAGTGAGCGATCAACAAATAATGACAGACTTCAGCCTTCAGATACCAATAATTACTTTAAATGTAAGTACGTGAATTAAAAGACATTGCTGGCTGGGCACGGTGGCTCACGCCTGTAATCCCAGCACTTTGGGAGGCCGAGGCGGGCAGATCACCTGAGGTCAGGAGTTCAAGACCAGCCTGGCCAACATGGTGAAGCCCCATCTCTACTAAAAATACAAAAATTAGCTGGGTGTGGTAGCGGGTGCCTGTAGTCCCAGGTACTTGGGAGGCTGAGGCAGGAGAATTGCTTGAACCTGGGAGGCAGAGGTTGCAGTGAGCTGAGATCATGCCATTGCACTCCAGCCTGGGCCACAAGAGTGAAACTCCATCAAAAAACAAAAAACAAAACAAAACAAAAAAAACCTCTCATATGATCTAACAATACATTGTCTCCAAGAAACTTACTCCAAACATAAAATGGCCCAGCACAGTTCCTGGCAGGTAGAGAGTTCAACTAGTGACAGCTGTTGGAATTATTGCTTTTTAAACTATTCACCACTTAGGACATTCAGAGAGCCTTCTGAAGAAAGCCACTTCGTTTGGTAGAAAGTGCAGGTACTTTGAGGTCTGGGGGAGCTGCTGTTGCTCCTTCAGTGAGGTTGAAGATGAAGTGAGATGAAAGTCAGTGAAGCACCCAGCAGTTTGTTGGGTGTAGACAGTATTGGGGGCACCAGTGCAGGGTCCCCTGAAACCTTGGAAATAGGACTAAAATTGCTTCCTAAGGGTTAAACTCTGAAATCATCAACATTGGATTGGAGTAGTAAAAAGTTACAGTTAAAATGGGTGCATTTGTTATATGTAAAGTATGCCTCATTAAAATTGGTTTAGAAAATAACCTGTAAACATGTCTTCTTAAATATACTTAGGAACTAAATTAACTTTTTAGTTTAAGGTGTTCCGTTTTTAAGTTTTACTTTCAGAACACTGAAATCTAATTTTTAGTTACTGCTCTATTGAGATTTATAGTCTAAAATTCACACTGGTCACTACTCTGTCCAAATAAATCTCAAACCCAGAAGAGTAAACCAGAAAAATTACTGTAGTTTTTAAATCACTTAGGAATTTTTCTTAAAAGTCACATAATTATTGAAGGTCACATTATTTTTTGAGTAAATCACTTCCCTTAAGGGGTGTTACAGAATGTTTGGAGAAACAACACATGCATGCCCACACACACTCAACACAAACAACTTTCCCACGGAAGACATTGTTCACATTTATTGATCATCTCAGTGGCACGTACAAATGAATAGTGATGGATCAGGTTCTGTAAGTGTTGAGGGAAGAGCAGCGTTTTGTGGGGTGGGTTTGGGGTTTATTTTGTGTGTTGAGCAGTAGCCGAGGTCAGCAGAGGCACACTGCATTAGGAAAAGAAGCATGGCTTCTGAGAAGGCCAGGACAGGAGACAGGATGATGATGGGGGGGATCCTGGAGGGGATTCGGAGAAGGGGAAAATCCCAAACACTCGGAGTCTGGTGAACACACGCTGCCATCCGAGGGCCGGGGTTGGACAGGAGAGCAGCCTTGATGCAGTCAGTACCTAGCATTGCACGCTCTGGTCTTTTAGAGATGATCGTATCTTCAGCAAGGTGGAGACAGATGAAAATGCCATGCATTTCTCTTGATGATTTCCCATGGCCACTTAGCATCATGAGAATTACCCCAGGACAGCCTCTGCCTCTAGGTGAGAGATGTGATGTTAACTCTGTATGGAGGGTGCAGTAAGTGGAAGGCCCGTTGTCCTAGTGGCCTGTGACTATACATGGGGTGTTGTTCTTCTTACAGAAGAACACTTCCTCAAGTGTTGCCAGGGCGCGCAGGGGGAGGGAGGAGCATCGTGGCTCTTTTTGGCTTGCAGGAGAGAAAGCAGAAAGACAGTGATGTAGCCGTCTGTAAGCTGGCAGGTCTTGGCTGTGGCCTGGGAGGTGCTGGATCCTGCTCGCACCATCTGAGCACGTCGTGCATAAACTGGGGTTGTCACTCAGACAGATCCAACAAATGCCTGAGTAATATCCGTGTAGATATCCCTGAAACACATGAATCAGATCATTTGGTAAAAGAGTAAGTGAAAAGAGGGTGGGTGTGAGCCAGGGCAGTATCAGTACGGAGAGGAGCGGGCTGCGAGGGGTTTTGTGATGTGATTTTGAGACAGGAGGCATAGTGGGGAATCATTGGTAATGAAAGCAGTGCATTTTGTTCAGATGCATTCAGGACTGCAGAGGTTTTTTTTTTTTTTAAGAGCTGCATCAAATTATGATTTTTTTTTGTGGGGAGTTTCCTAGAACAAATTTTCTTTTATCAACAAGTCACTAAAAATTTAGTAGTTTATTATTTCCTTAAATTATTATACAATAATACTACTTTAAAGTTATTTAAATGATTTTTGGATTTCTCAAAACATTTCACTTTTCTTTGTCTTTTTCTGCAGTGTAGCTAGAGGTAGTATCAATTAACAGCCTCATTTTAATGAGGTTTACAAACATTTATTTACAAGACTAGTATATGCAGATCAGAAAAAAGTCTGATAGGAAAAAATCAATGTATTTTTATTTGGAAATAACAGTTTATGCTCATTGACAGGTCATGTTTTTTCATGTTTGTACAGTTCATTTTGAGGATCATTTAAGTAAATACTGTAATTGTGTGATGGAACTCCAAATGAGTGAATTAACTGAAATTTGTACTAAGTCAGCAATGGCTACTGATGAAGTAATTATTGAGTTCTCACTCTAGGCCACGCACAGTCAGCGTCTTACAGGTGTCATTTTGTCTAACCTCGTAACAGCCCTGTGAGGGCAGGGGTGATTGTTATCCCTGTTTCATAGGCTCAGGGTGGGCAACACACCCAAACTAGCAGCTTAGCTAGTGATTGGCAGCCTTAAGGTGAACCTAGACCCAGCTGTAGAACATCTAGACCAGCATCATCTAAGTGAAAGATGAGGAATTTAAAATTTTCTAGTAGCCACATTTTTAAAAGAAAAAAAAAACCCAAACAGGTGAAATAAATGTTAATATATTTATTAAAATATGTCCAAAATATGAACTCAAATATGAAAGATTACTGAGCTGTCATTCTTGTATTTTTGCTCGGAGTCTTTGAACTCCTGTGTGTGTGTGTGCTGCAGTTACCCCACGCCTTGCTTCAGAGGGTCCCTGGTTCACACGCTCAGTCAGCCGGGCCACAGCCTGCACTCTGCTCTGCCTCTGAACCAAGCAAGACAGTGATGTGGTCTATCTACTAAAAACTTGGAAGCTGGCATTTTGTTTCAAGGTCGTCTCTTAAACCATAATCTTACTTTGAATTCTTTCCTGACCCTTTGTAGTGCTGAGGTCATCCTACTTCTCTCTAAAGCGCTCACAGAATAGGCGGACCCAGTGCCATTACCCAACACCACTTCGAAGCAGAACTCATTTTGCTCAAAAATTGTGTCAATCTCTCACCCTTTTCCCAATGTTTCTGTCTTTTTCTTCCAATAAAGAAATGATTTTTGTATATTCAAATACATTTTTGAGAGGTGAAAGTGATGCTTGTTCCAGAGGAAAGTATTAGATCAAAATCAAGATTAGAGAGACCAAGTAGTTTTCATTTAATTTGTGTATTAACCGTTGATCATACCAGTTCTTTGAAGGAGTGGTTTTGAAAGGTTTGCTCTGCTCACCGATGGGTTTTCTCTTCCAGAATCTCATCTGTTCTGAGTGTGGGGATGAGTTTACTCTGCAGAGTCAGCTGGCCGTGCACATGGAGGAGCACCGCCAGGAGCTGGCTGGAACCCGGCAGCATGCCTGCAAGGCCTGCAAGAAAGAGTTCGAGACCTCCTCGGAGCTGAAGGAACACATGAAGACTCATTACAAAATTAGGTATGAGTCATTACATGGGCTTGGTCAAAAATCCATCTAATATGTTAAAAGCTGGCGCACTTTGGTACGACCCACTGGAAATATTTGCTGCAAGAACCCAGCAAAGTGGAACCCCACAGATAATTTGGTGTCAGAACGTCTTTTATAACATGCATGGTGCATCCCTACACATTAATGAATAGTGTCAGGCTATGTGAGTAGAAGTGTTTACCTAGTATTATAATGTTGAAAGCTGTAGAACAGGATACTGGCAATACATGTTTATGGGTAGGTAACAAAATATGTCAACTAGACTCACAAGGGTTTAATTAGTACTCCTTTTAATAAATTAGTTTGTGGTACCCAACCGTTAAAACTCATATGTGCCTGACACTGTTCTTAGCGTGTATATAAACAGAACCTCATTTCATCATTACAAACAACCCTGTTAGGCCAGAGTACTTTTATGTTCCCATTTTGCAGATGAGAAAACCAAGATTAGAGGAACCAAGTAGTTCTATGAGATTTTGTAGCTTATAAGTCAGGAGTTTGAAATTTAAACCATAAGAGTCTGATTTTAGAGCTCATAATCTTAACAACTGACTATATTTGAATGCATTTATACATTTATTCGTAGTCAAACTTAACATGTTTTTAAAAATTTTATATTTTGCCTAATTCCTGATAATATATTTTTACTGATGTTTCTGTTTCTTAATAAAGTGAAATAAAATATTCTTCCTGGCCCTTTGCTCAAGTTAGCTAATGGTGATAATCAGTTTTCACACTAATTTAGCTAATTTCTCCAACAAACTCTAAAAGGCAATATTGGGCCAGGCACAGTAGTTCACACCTGTAATCCCAGCACTTTGGGAGGCCAGGGCAGGCGGATCACCTGAGGTCAGGAGTTTGAGACCAGCCTAGCCAACATGGTGAAACCCGGTCCCTACTAAAAATATAAAAATTAGCTGGGTGTGGTGGCACATGCCTGTAGTCCCAGGTACTCGGGAGGCTGAGGCAGGAGAATTGCTTGTACTCAGAAGGTGGAGGTTGCAGTGAGCCGAGATCGTGCCACTGCACTCCAGCCTGGGCGACACAGCGAGACTCTGTCTCCAAAAAAAATAAAATAAAATAAAGGCAGTATCAATTATCATTTTAACTACTATATTATCAGTTTAGCTTGCCATCCTTCTAAGCTGCAATGTTTAGGAAATATCTGTACTTCTTAACAACAAGAAGTTCCGTGCCAGTTGATTACCACAGTTTATAAAATGCCTGAAGACTCTAATGTTTATTTAGCCTCTTAGACATTGCATTTGAGAAATGTGGACTGGACATCTCTGTATGATCAGCTGTCTCCTGTCTTTTTCATTTTGCCTCTTGTTGACTAATGTGGTACGCACCTAATGCTTTATGATTTCAGTGATTTTTTTTTTCTTTTTTCCCCAACCAATTTGATGGTAATTTCAGTGATTTTTAAACCCCCAAATATAATACATGGTCTCTATACACTCCAGATTTTTATTCTCATGAGGCTTTAATGCAGGCATTTTTGATGTTTCCTTGGAGGTTTGAAAGATGATTGAAGATGTTTAGGTGCTTGTGGCACTCAGACAGTCCTGGCTTCTAGGTCTTTCCAGACTGAGGAGCAAACCAGACAGACGAAGCCTCGCCCTCACAGAACTGCCCTTTAGTGAGAAGATAGGTAGTGACCAAGTGAGTGGGTTAGTCGGTACCACAGTTTCAGATAGTGGTGAGTGTCAAGAAAGAAGGACAGTGGGATGGGTGTGTGCAGTGTGGCTGAGGGAGGCTGGGGAGGCAGCTGTTGTGCGTGGGCCTTTCTGAGTGGGGCTTTTGGAAGGAGACTGGGGTGAGGAGCAGGGAGCCCTGCAGCCTTAGGGGACCCACCTTTCAGGCTGAAGGAGTGTGTTGGTGGAAGCAGTGAGCCTCCCTGGTCTGAGAAGCAGGAAGGTGGCTGGGGTGAGGAGAGCCTGCCCGGCGGGGCTGCGGATGTGCATTTCCCATGAGTGAGATGGGAGTCCTTGGAGGGTTTTGCACAAAGGGAATGGTGTGACCAGACTTTCGGGTGGCACTGGGCCTGGTGTGTGGGCAGGTGTCAAAAGCAGGGAGACCTTTTTGGAGGCTATGGAAGCAGTGCACTGGAGAGCCGAACCCGTTCTGAGGCCGCAATGGTGGCTAGAGGGTGGAGAGACATGTCCACATTTGGGGGTGTTTCAGAGTAAGACCAGCAGCTTTTGGAGATGGACTAGAAAAATCCAGTGTGACTCCTGAGACTTAAATTTGTGCAAGAGGGAGCTTTCGTGTCTTGACATGGAAAGGAGCAGGTTGGGAATCAATGAAGAGTTCTGTTTTGGACACCACCCATGAGGCAATGCCAAGTGAGAGTTGGCTGTCCAGGGCTGGAGCCAGAGGAGGAGGCAGAGTTGCTGGAGGTAGGAGTTTGGACATCATTGGTATGCAGATGGTGCGGAGAGCAAGAGACTGGAGGAGGTGGTGTGGGTCAGGTGTCAGTGTAGAAATTATACCCGTAGCATCTTTGTTTCTGACCATCACAGGTAAAGCTTTGTCTAGAAGAGACATTTTGCTCCCCCTGTCCCAATTTCTGTTTTTGACCTGGAAAAAACAAATTTTTTTTCATCAAAAATAGAGAAAAATGAGTTTTATGATTTTTAAAACTAACACATATACACACAGACACATACATATATGTGATTGATTTATCATTAAAACAGGTTCTGATGACTAGTCAGCCAAATTTTCTGGTAGGATTTTCATTTTGAAATTATGGTACAAGGGAGACATCTTACTGTGTATTTTGCCCCCCTTTATTACACTAGGGTATCAAGTACAAGGTCTTATAACCGGAATATCGACAGAAGTGGATTCACGTATTCGTGTCCGCACTGTGGAAAGACGTTTCAAAAGCCAAGCCAGTTAACGCGACACATTAGGATACACACAGGTATGAAAACACTGACTTCTGGATGACTGACCGTGTGGCTGGAAGGGAAGAACAGGTGCCTTTTTGCTAGCTCGACTTGGAATCTGATCCCAGCTTTCTCATAGTTTGCTGGATAATCTTGCTGAAATTAGTTACTCTTTGTGTGATTTTATTTCCTCACTTGAAAAATGTGGCTCTTTTATCTGTATATAGCTGTCCTAAATTATACATTAACAAATATACTTAGTGCTCATTGAAAAGTGCTTGATACATGGTAGGCTGTTAATAATTGGGGGTTGATGTTATTACTGTTATTGGTATGGTATTTATTCCCTCATTTGTTGTTACTGTGTGTCAGATATTATACTGCACTAATTAGAGCTAAATTAACAAAGACCGGATGTGGTGGCTTACATCCATAATCCCAGCACTTTGGGAAGCTGAGGTGAGGGGATCTCTTCAAGCCAGGAGTTCAAGACTAGCACGGGCAACATAGCGAGATCCTGTCTTTACAAAAAATACAAAACTTAGCCAGGCGTGGTAGCACCCACCTGTAGCCCTGAAGTGGGAGGATTGCTTGAGCCTGAGAGTTTGAGGCTGCAGTGAGCTATGATCGTGCCACTGCACTCCAGCCTGGGTGACAGAGCAAGAAGGTCCTGACTCTTAAAAATAATAAAATTAAAAACAAATAAAATAAAAAACAAGGAAGCAGTGGATTTTCATATTCTTTTATAATTTTGCCTTCACTACGCTATGAAACATTGAAATAATAAAACTATTTCTCCATGCCTTATCTTGTTCCTTAGTTTTGCTTGAATATTTGAAAGTGAGTACAGCATTCATAGCTGAATACTCTTTGCCATCTTGTAAAGAGCAGCCTGGTTATAATATTGTATTAGTAACACGCATGATCTCTAGGGAAGGAAAAAGGAAAATTGTACGAATATTTTTAGTATTTGAGGTTTGCAATTAAAATGATCCATGCTTTGTCCTTTTGTTTTCTTCTGTATTTCTTGATTTGGTTTTCTTTTATAGTGATAAAGTAAGAAATCTCACAGCTATTTTGCTTGGCTGCTATTGTTTGTCAAGCAGTTCTATTATGTTACATTGCTTTTTTTTTATTTTTCAGAGTTTTAGTGAATATTTCTATGTAGAGTATTGTGGAGTCATTCAGATGATTTCAATGTTTATATGTCAGCATAAAGTTAATATTTTTAGAGCATCAGTTTTTATTTATTTTCTAGAGTAAGAGAGAAAGAAAACAATGCCTTTGTAAATGTGCTAATACATTGTGTCTGTAGAGTATTCAGCTTTAATGTGTAGTCTTTGAAGTTTTAATCAATGAAAAAATAGTTTAAAAAGTTATAAACTTTACCCAAAGTAGAGATAAAGTAAAAAGTAAAGCAAATCCTTCTCGTGTTCACTTCTCAGTTGTCATTTACCTTTAACAGTTTGATATCTACCCCATTAGATGTTTTTTACGCGTACATAAATATACCGACATCATGAGCATACTCTCACTCCTAGAGAGACACATGCGTGTAGAATCACATACTTAGGTGTCATTTTGGGATTCTGTGATGCTACTCCTCCTGCATTGAACTTGAAGCATGTGTCACTTGCTCCAATTGGCTTGTGAGCTGCCTGGAGAGAGCAGCAGGTCCCAGCCCCAGGAGTCACGTAGGCCGGTGTGGTTTAAACAGGAGGCTGGCGGGCCCGGGTGGAGGTGGCAGGGAGTGCCTGCTTGCTGTTCAGGCAATTCCGTGTTCTGGGCTTGGTCTTCCAATAGCTGTGCCTCACAGTGTGTGTGATGATGTGAGGGGGGTGACCAGAATCCTGCTGGACCATGCCTGGATTGTGTATGCCCCAGCAGGGCTCCTGTCCAAAGGAGGCTGAGTACATTGCAGCATCGTCATCTAGAACAGGAAGGGTATCTCTTCGCAGGCAGTGTCGTGACTGGGCCACACTCTCGCCGTGCCTCCTGCCTGCCTGCCCTCCTCTCCTGTCTGCCCTCCTCTCCTGTCCCCACGTAGGCAGTGCTGTGACTGGGCCACGCTGTCACCGTGCCTCCTGCCCCCCTGTCGTCCTCTCCTGTCCCCATGCGGGCAGAGCCGTGACCGGGCCACACTCTCACTGTGCCTCCTGCCCGCCTGTCCTCCTCTCCTGTCGCCACACAGGCAGTGCTGTGACTGGGCCACACTCACCGTGCCTCCTGCCTGCCTGTCCTCCTCTCCTGTCCCCACGCAGGCAGTCCCATGTCCAGGCCACACTCTCACTGTGCCTCCTGCCCGCCTGTCCTCCTCTCCTGTCCCCATGCAGGCAGAGCCGTGACCGGGCCACACTCTCACTGTGCCTCCTGACTGTCTGTCCTCCTCTTTCACACCCTTGCCCCCTCCGAGTTAAAGCAGGGATTTTTACCATTTGTGTACTGTCCCCAAGCTTGTTATATCTCATTCACTTATTTAACCCTAAAGCTGTTCAGAGAAGCAGGGATCTGATGTTATTATGAACTCAGCTGCTTTCTGTTTCTTAGGGAGTGAAAATTTAGTAAGACTAGAAATTTAAGTAGCCTTGCAGTTAGGTTCTAACCTAACTCGATTTTGTCTTTTTGCTCATTCCTTCATTCATCAGATCCGTACTGCATGCTAGTGTGCACAGGGCCCTGTTCTAGGTGCTGAAGAGCCGCAGCGCACAAGCACTTGCCTTCTTGGAGCGTGCATTCTAGGGAGGGGAGGTGGACATTAAGTAAAATGTAAAAGGTCAAATGCTGAGAAGTCTGCAGAAAAATCAAGCAGAGAAGGGGGCTAGGGGTTCCCAGGGAGGACACAGGAGATTTTAATGTTAAATGGAATGGACCGGAAAGTCCTCAGTGTAAAGACGATTTTGAGCAAAGGCCTGAAGAATCTGAGAGAGCAAGTCTTGGGGATACTGGGGCAAGAACCGCCCAGGCGGCGGATTTCAGAGGCCCGGAAGTGGAGAAACCTGCCTGGTGTGTCTGAGGGCGGTGGCAGAAGTGGGTAGAGGGAGCAAGAGAGCAGGGGCAGGGGAGCTGACAACAGCTGGTGTGCGAAGCACTGCACTGGCGCCTCCTCTACTGAGTATTAGAAGAACTTCGATTTTACTCTAGGGGGGATTGGAAGCCATTGAGGGTTTTCAGCAGACAAGTGACTTGCTCAGACTTAAAGAGGGTCATTTTGTCTGTTGTTTTGAGAGCAGCCTAGGAAGGGGCCAGGGTGGAAGCAGTGAGTCAAGCTGGGGGTGGTTTCAGGAGCTTTGAGTGATAGGGGAGTGCCTTACCCTGGGGTGGTGGTTGTGGACGGGAAGCAGGGCTGCTCTGGGTGTATTTTGAAGTTATTATTGAGTGTGAGACGTGAGAGAAACCAAAGATAAGGATGACTCCAAGGTTTTTTGCCTGATCCCCTGGAAGGATGGCATTGCCTGATCCCCTGGAAGGATGGCATTGCCTGGGGAAGCCCACAGGTGGAGCAGTTTGCGAGATGGTCAAGTGCAGTTTTGACATGTTAATTTTGAGATTTAAAGTAGACACTTGTATATATGCATCTAGAGTTCTGGGGAGACATTTTGGCTGGAGGGATAGGTTTGGGTAACTTCAGTGTTGTTCTTTTCAATCCGTAAGATGCCCATACAATATGGAATTATATTTTGATCATTTTTCTCCCACTCTAGGTGAAAGGCCGTTCAAATGTAGTGAATGTGGAAAGGCTTTTAACCAGAAGGGGGCACTGCAGACCCACATGATCAAGCACACAGGTGAAAAACCCCATGCCTGTGCCTTCTGTCCTGCCGCCTTCTCTCAGAAAGGGAATCTTCAGTCGCACGTGCAGCGAGTCCACTCAGAGGTAAACACGGGTTGGGGGCATAAGCGGTATTTCACAGGGGACAGTAGGTATCTTTTGGGTTAATAAACGGACCTGAGAAATTCTTTTCCATTTAAAAAAATGCAGATTGATTTTGTGCCGAGCAGACCCTGTTTTAAAAAATACATACGTGGGAATTTTTTTGGTTTATTACATGTGGAAGAAATATAAACTACTATCTTTTTTGTCTTCTTGCTGACAGCATGGCTTTGGGGAATAAATATTTGAAAATAATCCTAATACCTTTGTTAGTTATAGTCTGTCATTCTAAATAATGTATTTCATCCCTTTAGCAAACTTGAAACACAGGCAAGTGTAAGAAATTAAAAGATAAGAAATAAAATTGGGAAAAAAAAGTGTTTTTCTTACTGCTAATACTACAGAGCTCATATGGTACATGTCCGTTCCCTCTTGGACAGAGGCCTGCTTTGTTCATTTCCTTCCATGCTGCTTGTCCAGTCTTTCGACTAAAATGATGATTTCCTGTGGTAATTTTCTGTTGTCTACAGAGCATACTGATGTGTAGATCCTGCAAGTATTTCTGTAAAGCAGGTCAACCTTTGCTCTAACTAACCATCGTGACTTATTGATTTATATTCTAATTGTAGAATACAAAGAAATATTTAAACAACACAAATACTTTTATCATGGATCAGTATATCCTATGGAATGATTTTGCAGAATGAAAACTATCATATTCTTGGGAGCAAATGTGTATCTCTTAATTTTTTACTTAGAATAATACCTTAACTAACACTGAAGTGAACTTAGAGTTAATACTCACTATCCAAATTTAATAAAAACAAGTAGAAGCTGTCTTTGATCTTAGATAAACAGAATGTCTAAAATGAAAAAGAGAATCTAAAATGAGAAAAAAACCCTGCACATCTCACGTAGTTTTATGAACAGATTCACAGTTCCATGTTCAATGAGTTAATCTTTTTAGTATCTAAGACCCAGAGACATTAGGAAGGCATGTCAGTGTTAGTGAGGTACTGAGGTTACCTTTAGATTTCGGAAGAATAAATTTGGGCTGTTGTAAGTCATTCTTGTGGTGTTGCCTCTGGGTGAAGATGATTGCATAGGAAGGATCGTCTATTTGTGTAGCACACAGAAATGCCTCACTGGAACCTTAGAGGAGCCTTGTGAGGTACTTGTCAGTACTCCTGAGTTTAGAAAACTCCCCCTATGCTAAAGGGCCCAGAGACTCACCTGTTGCCACTGAGAAGTGCTCTCGGACCTGCACTAGAATGGGTTGTTCCAGAAAGAGCCTCTAAAGATTGGTTCATAAATATTATCCAATTTTGTAAGAATCTAAATTTGGTTCTTAGAGAGGCACCAGAAACAGAATGGAAGTCTTACTCAAGTTCGGAAGGGGCCAATGGGTTTTCAAGCTAGCCTTCATAGTTCTACAGTAACTAACACTGGGTTTTAGTAATAGAGAAAGAATATTTTAGGTATTTTCTCTGTTCACAGCTGTTCTTACTCATTTTACTGGTTTCCATGGTTTCTGGATTTATCATAGCTTTAAAAATTAGTTGTTAGGCCAGGTGTGGTGGCTCACGTCTGTAATCCCAGCACTTTGGGAGGCTGAGGTGGGTGGATCACCTGAGGTCAGGAGTTCGAGACCAGCCTGGCCAACATGGCAAAACCCCATCTCTACTAAAATACAAAAATTAGCTGGGCACGATGGCAGGCGCCTGTAATCCCAGCTACTTGGGAGGCTGAGGCAGGAGAATCACTTGACCTGGGAGGTAGAGGTTGCAGTGAGCCGAGATCACGCTGTTGCACTCCAGCCTGGGCAACAGAGCATCTCAAAAAAAAAAAAGAAAAAAAGAAAATTAGTTGTTGATACAGAATATCAAAATTGATGAAAAGTTCATATATCATTATGACCATCTTTCCTAACCTCTGTGGTTTTGGCCATCTGAAAGCATATTTGGTGTAATATGTATTTATATATAACTGTCTGGCCTTTGCTATTGAACATTGTATTCAACTGTTTAAAAAACTGAGAATATCTTATGCCTGACAGTTTGTTTTTGTTAAATTACAATAATTGAAAAATGTGTTTTCTCACTCTTGAATAATTTCTATTTTATAGAAAAGACTGAAATTTCAATTCATCTTATACCGGCAATATTGTTTAAAGAGTAGGGTCATTGATTCTAGAACTATCTAATTTAAAAGAAAAAAGGTAATGTTGAAGGGTTAGATTATTTCTGTCATTTTGAATGGAATGGTAAATTATGATTTGCCATAATTTAGATGTTTAAATTTAACAATTAATTGTAAAACATCATTTTTTTCCTTTTTATTCTTTAAGGTCAAGAATGGTCCTACCTATAACTGTACAGAATGTAGTTGTGTATTTAAAAGTTTAGGCAGCTTAAACACGCATATCAGCAAGATGCATATGGGTGGGCCACAGAATTCAACAAGTTCTACAGAGACTGCTCATGTTTTAACGGTAAGTTTAGTAATTTGGAAGAACTTCTTTTTAAACTAAAATCTGTCATTTTAAATATGACCTTTACAATTGAATATTTAGTAGCAAAAAGGTGCTATGAAAATTTTTTATATGGAGAAAAGGTGCTACTTTTTAAAGAATTAAAGTCAATCTTTTAAAATTTGAGAATAATAATTAGATGACTGATTCAGACTGTCATCTGAACCTGTGAAAATAAGACAAACTGTAATCATTAATTTGTGAAATGATGATTTCTACAGTGTTATTGATGATTATTGAATATTCTTTAAATTATAATTTAAGAATTAATTATCCTTTGTAGGTAATATTTCTCTTTTCTTATGTGACAGTGATAATTTTTCCTAAGTCTTTGGACTTTTGAAACTAAATTATATTTTTCAGTACATGTAGTTAAAAATTGTATGACTCTAAATACATATGCCTACACACAGAGAGACACAGGTGCGCACACACACACACACACACAGGGACATACACCCACTCTTATTTTTTCTGTAGGCGTCTTTAGCTCAGTCTCATTTAGTTACTCGTACTGCACTACCCTCTCAACAGATTAATAAATGGTAAAATTTAAGCATCAACTATAGGTATCTTAATAGTAGTAGACATTAAATACGAAAGTGTCGGAAGTTTTAATGTATGCTTATGAATGCAGTTACTTGGTTGTATTATGTCAACAGCTGCCTCCTACCAGTATGGAAAATAAGTCTAATTAATACTTAGTTTTTAAACATTAGGTTTACCTTTAGTGTTTGTTTTTTCTTTTCTTTTTTCATAATATTTGCAGTGTGGGATGGTTCCTCAATATATTCTTGACCAGGTAGAATGTTGTAAAATGAATTATAAAGCTGGAGAATAGAGTCCAATAATTATGTCTTCAAAATTCTATTTTGGTCTGAATTTTTTTAAATACAATTTTTAACGTTGTGTAAATCAACCGAGTATTAGTTTTCATCATTTCCTTTGGCAATATGCAAATCAAAACATAGATGTAGTGAATAATCTAGAAAAATAGTCCAGATCATTTTAAACATTTATATTCTCAATAAAAAGAAATGTAATTATAGGGATTTAGAAACCTGGAATCTCCCTTATACTCTTACTTGGGCAGGTAAGAACATAGCAGTTTTTACAGACAATTTGGGCAGAAAGTACAGAGAGCTACCATATACTCCTCTTCTCTTGTGCTCAGTTTCCCACATTTCTGACATGGTGCATCGGTCGGGTACATTTGTTACAACTGGTGAACGAATGTGGATATATTATTATTAGTAACCAAAGTCCATAGTTTTTGTCAGGGTTTACTCTCAGAGTTGTCCATTCAACGGGTTTTGACAAAGGTAGAGTGTCCTGTCCACACCCTCACAGTGTCGTATGGGTAGTTTCCCTGCCATCCGTTTTCTTCTGGATGGGACATTTCGGATTCCCGAGCCCTGCAGGGGTGGGACTGGCTCTCTCTCCCATCACAGCCCTTTCCTCTGACTTAGGTTTTCTTGGCTGTAGCATTACAGCGCCTTTATTCCTCCAGTCTCCTTGCAGGAAGAATTTTTTCACAAATGTGTTGAATTATTTTGACTGCAGTGGTTTCTTTCCTACTTTTTAAATTTGTGTAACTTGATATTTTAAAAATTCCTTCACTTCAATTTTATGGGCTAACAGGAAGGTGAGGGTTCACGTGCTCAATCTGCCATCTTGAGTCTCTATGCTCACTGGAAAAAACTGTACAAAATTGCATTAGAACAATGTATTGAGTATATTAAGAGCCAATATCGTGCCAAACACCAGAATCAGTGAGGCATTATATTTAAAATTTATGTTTAGGATACTCTTAGATTTTAACACCCTTAAGGAGGGTATTGCCTGTTTTTTTTTTTTTAATTTTCCTTTTTAAATTGAAGAGCAAAATTGTATTTTTAATGAAAATGTTTCTGTGTTTCAGGCCACACTTTTTCAGACGTTACCTCTTCAACAGACGGAAGCCCAAGCCACGTCGGCCTCAAGCCAGCCGAGCTCCCAGGCGGTGAGCGACGTCATCCAGCAGCTCCTGGAGCTCTCAGAGCCGGCGCCGGTGGAGTCGGGGCAGTCCCCGCAGCCTGGGCAGCAGCTGAGCATCACAGTGGGCATCAACCAGGACATTTTACAGGTGAAGCACGCTTCCCTGCGGTGTGAGGCTTACGTGCTCGTGCTGGGTCAGAAACCAGGGATGATAATTGAGAATAAATCTGCAGGGCTTGTCAAAGTCAGGGTATCCTCATGAAAAATGTGCCTGAACCGAAAGAAATTAATATGCCTACTTAATTGCTTATGGACGGCGCAACATTCAAATGATTTATTCATCTATACATTAAAAAAAAAATCACAAACTTTTATTTTTTTTCCATAAGTGAACTTTACTTGAAAAGAACAGGCTTTTCCGAAGTTGTATCTATTTATGTTGACAGAGGTGGAAAAAGCGTTTTATTCTTTCTTGAGGTTCTGGTTTATGATTTGGAGACAGTCATGGGTGTTGACAATTCTGAGAGCGTTCATACTGCCTGGCCTTCTCTCGTGGGTGTGTGGGCAGCACCTGCACGTGTGGGAGAGGAGGGGGGCAGGAGCGCAGAGCCCCCAGCTTTCTAGTCCACCGTGACTTCACACTAACTCTTCACTCCTCCTGTCTCTCTGTTACTTGTTTAACCTTCCTCCTGTACCTTCATGGGGAAGAGCTGGCCAGGGGTATGAGGAATCTCAGGGTGTCGTTCTACAGCCGATACCTGAAAGTTAAACCCAGTGTAACTCAAAAGCCTTAAAATAGGGATTCCCAAGACTATTTAGAGACAACCAAAGTTGTGTGAGGTAAGATTTCTGAAAGTCAAATAAATTTTAATTCCCTTTAATTTAGAAATGTAAATGCTTATATTATTTTGGGTGGGAGCAAGATGTCATATCATCAGAAAGGACGTTACAGCCTCAAAGGGTTGGAAGCCTCACTTATAAGTGATGACTTGGAATTGTAGATTCTTATTTCTTGGAGTGGAATTAGAATTCTATAGGTAAAGCTTTTGACTGATTTTGGTAGGCAGAGTTGGGCCATCGTTACCTTCTAACCTTTTAGTTTTGTTCTGTCTTAGCAAGCCTTAGAAAACAGTGGGCTGTCTTCAATTCCAGCTGCAGCACATCCTAATGACTCCTGCCATGCCAAGACCTCTGCACCACACGCTCAAAACCCAGATGTTTCCAGCGTTTCAAATGAGCAGACGGACCCCACAGACGCAGAGCAAGAAAAAGAACAGGAAAGCCCGGAGAAACTGGATAAAAAAGAAAAAAAAATGATAAAGAAGAAGTCACCGTTTCTACCTGGTAATTTTCCTAAACTTTAAAGTTTGGACATTTGGGATAGCATATTGCTGGTTTTTAAGAAATGTGCCCTTCTTTTTTCCTCTGAAGGTGATAGGATATGTTTGTTGAATGTTTTGTAGCTAGCTGTAGTTGGTTGGTATTTAAAATTAAAAAGAATGACAGCCATAAAATGCCTGAAACTTATCACTTTTCTTTAACCTGGCTTCTTTCCTGTATTCAGTTTCTCCTGACTCCTCGCCAGGGCTTGAAAGCTTCTTGTCTCTGTCTGTTCTCTTGAAAGCTTGTTGTCTCCGACTGTTCTCTCTCTGCCCTGCTTAGGCGCCTCCTCTCCACTCAGATCCATGGCTTTGCTTCAGTTCTTCTCACCCTTGGTGCTTCTGGCATCCAGCCATGTGATTTTAGTAGCCTCTGACTAGTCCTTTCCTCTTCATCATCAAAGGACCCCTGCAGCACAGCTCCCTCCTCCACACCTCACCATTTCCCATTACACACCAAGATCCATTTCTTGGCTCCTGAGTATCCTGTCACCTGTCCCCTGCATTTCCATCCGCCCTCCCTCTGTGCTTCTAGGCACAAACTTATTAGACATCATACTGAAACTGGATTCCTGCTGTTTCTAGGCATCCCTGTGTTTCTGCACATCATGCTTTCTGCAGGCTTTCTGCAGCAAGGATGCCTTCCTTCTACCTCTTCCTCTGGTCTCCGTCAAATCTTGGCCGTCATTCAAGCATCTTCAGTGCTCCGTCATTCAAGCATCTTCAGTGCTCCTCCTCGTGGATGGACTCTGAGGGGTGCTTTTCCTTGTCCTACCTCCCACAGCACTTAGAGTGTTTAGGATTCCTGCGTTCTCTCATGTTAATTGTGCACAGATGCAGTCTAATATCCCTTCTAGGTAATAAGCTCTTTCTGGCCAGGAATACAGCCTTCTCATTTCTGAACACCCCACAGTGCTCAATATGGCTCTTTCTACAGGAGCAGGAATTTACTACATCTTTCTTGAAAAAGACAGATTCCTGTGTTTTTGGCAAAACTGTTCTGTGAAAACCTTTCCCAGTTGTCTTGGGGAACAAGTGCATTCTTGCTACAAAGCATGGAATAACATTGCCATTTCTGTTAACACTTCTTTCCTAGAATACATTTTCTCATGTATAACATGATTCTGAAGTTCTTGTTTCTCAAACCACACTAGTCAGGCTCTTCTTCCCCTTGATCTGGACTTCTTCTCCCCAAGGAAAGACAGGATGCTGGAATCTAAGCAGTTTCTCCCGCACAGTTTCCTGGTATCTGGCAGGGCAGGAAAGGAAAACAGGAGCCATTTCCGTATATTTCGATTAGCTGTGTGGTAGTCTTCCAGGTTACAGGTGTGTTTTGTATTCCTGAGAATCTGATGCAGATTTATTACCTCTGTGCGAGTGCCCGCCTGAGCCCCACGGGCTACTGTCTCTAGTCATTGTGCTAAATCGGATGCTTTCACATGGGCAGCAAGCCACTGAGTGAGGAGCCACGTCAGACCTTCTCCTTCCTGAGAGTACACATAGCCATGGTCCTTAGACCGAGAAGGTGAGCACCACCCCGTGCTGCTCCTTCCAGACCTTCACCCGCATGTGCTGGTGAAGCAGCTTTCTCCCTGCACCAAGTACTAGCCAGGGAATTCCACATGGAATTGCAAGAAACCTTCCTGTACGGTATTCTAGTTTGGGGTGCTGTGTTTACAGAGTTGGTAACAATTAGGTACTTTCTGGACTACTTGAATCAATCAAATACACATGTAGAGTACTGAGCAAGTGCATGCAGTTCTAATAATTTCCCATTACATTCATGGGATCCCTAGTACAAGTTGGAGCCAGTGCTTTTTTTTTTTTTTTTTTTTTTTTAAGTGACCTCTCTAATATGGTGATGAGAAAACCATTGGGGATTTTTATTTTTTTTGAGACTGGGTCTTGCTGTGTTGTCCAGGCTAGAGTACAGTGGTGCAATTATAGCTCACTGTAGCCTTGAACTCCTGGGCTCAAGCAATCCTCCTCCCTCGACCTCCTGAGTAGCTGGGACTGCAGGCATGTGCCACCACATATGGCTAGTGAAAAACACTTCTTTTTGTAGAGCTGAGGTCTTGCTATGTTGCCCAGGCTGGTCTTAAATTCCTGGCCTCAAGTGATCCTCTTGCCCCAGCCTCCCAAAATGCTGGGATTACAGGCATGAGCTACCACACTTAGCCTGGGGACACGTTTCTATATAAAGATGTTCCTTTTAATTAAAACTTTTCAATTACTAGTGTACTTTTAACATAGTGATTATATCTGAAAATACCTCTCCAAGGATGGAGTATCATTTGATATCTTAGAAAGACCATGAGGAAAACTATTCTTGTCTCGTAAGTCATAACATTAATTGCTTATAACTAACCTTCATTACGTTCCTAAGTTAAGCATACTCCGCCATGTAAAATTATTGCTTTTGATTTATTCACTTTTATCAGAGTGAATGTTTTCGGCGGGATTTGCTTGGTTTGAAGAAGTTATATTAAAAATTTAACAAATGCTTTTATAGTTATCATGCAACTTGTGACACATAAATCATTGTGAATTTTTAGTAAAGTTTGAAATTTATGACCAGGTGCAGTGGCTCGTGCCTGTAATCCCAGCACTTTGGGAGGCCGAGGTGGGTGGATCATGAGGTCAGGAGTTTGAGACCAGCCTGGACAACATGGTGAAACCCCGTCTCTATTAAAAATACAAAAAATTAGCTGGGTGTGGTAGCGGGCACCTGTAATCCCAGCTACTCAGGAGGCTGAGGCAGGATAATCGCTTGAACCCGGGAAGTGGAGTTTGCAGTGAGCCGAGATCATGCCATTGGACTCCAGCCCCGGCGACAGTGTGAGACTCCATCTCAAAAAAAAAAAAAAAGAAATTTATCGTGGTGAAATATTGCCTATCTAGAAATCATGGTGAATGGTGTTTTGGAAAGCTGATGATTGACTCCTTTAAGGATGAAAATGGTATGGTATAGTGAAACTATTGTGTGTGGAAACTTTTCTAAAAGTCCTTGCATACTTTACCTTCTTAGATCAGAGTGTGGTCTTGTTAACTTAGCCACTTCTTGATGACCTGGGGTCACTGCCGTGAACTTCGGTGTACTCTACTGGGCTGTAATTGGCTGGCATCCTACTGTCCTATTTCAGTCCACGGGCTCCAGGATGGTGTGGCTCTTAGACTCATCTGCTTTTTGAAATTATTATCTCTGCAAGTGTGCTTTTTAAACATTCACTGTAACAAACCTCCCACGTTCTTCTTTTGTTGTTTGTGGTCTGCCAAGTTCTTACAGCTCAGATAAATTTGATTTTTATAATTGCGTAAAAGCTAAGTGCAGGTAGCCTTTCTCCTTCTCCGTGGGGTCTGCATCCATGAGTGCAACCGACCTCATATCAGAAAATCCTCAGTAAGTGTACTGCAGTAAGCCCAAAGCAGTGTTAAAAATACTAGTGTGAATGGCACACAAAAATTGCTTTTTTCCCCCCTAAATTATTAACTGGAATTCTCATTGTGAAGTAGACCCAGGGAGATGCAGTCCTTAGGGTTCCCGCCCTGGAAGAGTACCTTTAAAGAATTCTCATAAAACTTTAGCCTCAGGCTGCTGAAGCACTTGACAAAAGTCCTAAATCATTCCTGGGGCGGCGTGCGAGGAGGGCAGGTTTCCTTGGTGAAGATGCTCAGTGCATCCTGGGCTGCATCGGAGATGCACTGTTCTCAGTGTCACTGTGTAACCACATAAGGCAGTACTGTTTGTGCATCTGCCAGGACAGAGATTTGTTTTCAAGGTTCTGGGAACCACATGGGGGCAATGCACTTATAAACAGGAGCAAGAAATCCCACAGTCCCTCCAAACCTCCCTGAGGTTCTCAACTTTGAAGGACAAAACCCGTTTCTGTGCACTTGGATCTGGATATTCAGCTGCTCCTGTGAGACAGTAACCAGCACTCATTCTCTGTTCTCTGTACCTTCACTCATTCCACTGCCTGTGACTGACAGAAGGGAGGCAAAGTAACTCCTCGGCAGCATCTGCCTTTCTCAGCAGCAGACTGGTTGTTTTCTTCTGCTGGTCAGAGCAATTCTTCAACAACTGCATGAGCAGAGGCATGAACATCTGTCGTAAAATGGGGATACCTGTGTCTTAGGCTTGGCTGTAATCTGCTTGATAAAAGGAATGAGTTCCTGGGGGTCTCTTCCTTCATAGTCTTTGAGCACATGTCTGAGCAGACAAGAGGAACAGAAGGACTTCTTCCTCCAGGCAAGTAATCATGCAATGAGGAAGAACATGGGACCTCTGCTTCTGAGCATATCCTTCTGTAAGGCACAGCTGAGGGCTGATGAGAATATCTGTAAACAGTTCAGAGCCTCTGAACAGCCACGCCATTCCCCAGTCTGCTCGCTGCTCTGGCAAGTCCAGCACCATGGTTGAAGCAGTCTGTTATAGATGCCTGCCTTTCTTCCCCTGCGGTCAGCATCAGTGTTCCTAACAGAAGTTTAAACTTTTCCATCAGTGGAGTCTACAGATTCCTCAATTAATGCTTGCTTCCTTTTTGATGGGTGTTTACTGTCAATAATTGGTATTCCGGCTGTCTTGTAAACAAATAGTTGATTATTGTTCTTCAGTAAGGACTGCTAACCATTCTCAGTGGAGAAAGCCCTGATAAGTCTTCTATTCTATTGAGAATATCCTCAGTGAAAGGATTCATTGTTTCTTGAGAGATCTGACAAATCTAAAGAACTGCCAAGCAGTTCCGCTGCACGCTTTTGCGCTACAGTGTTGCAGACCCCCTGTGATCTAAGAAAGCCATTAATACCCACGGAATGTGTTGAGATTCAGCAGTAAAGAACTTTCCTGTCTGACAAGTTCCGAAAAACTCATGTCACACATAAGAGCTAACTCCTGACATTACCAACGGCTGTGTCATATTTGCAGAGCACTAGCCATTGAACCAGCACCTGAGAAGGGGGCACCATGAGATCCTGGAAGAGCTTCTGTCAATTTCTATAGCAAGCCTGCTGCTCCTGCAGCTTCTGTAAACCGTGTAGCCTACCAGTGCTGTGGTGTCGAAATATAAACTGCGCAGGAGTCAGCAGTACCTTGGTGAAGCTTGAGCTAGCCGGTCCAACAGTAACTTCTGTTGTTTTTTATAGTTGACAAACATGGCTTCATCGTTACTCTCGTTTTCAAAGATAGGGTCTTCATCATAAGTTCCTTTGTGGCAACTGACATGATTGCCGCTGCACCGGCTTTCTGCTGATCTAAGATGTTTCAAAATCTGAACATAATCACAGCAAAAGCCAGTATCTTAGAGGAGGTCCCGTCATCAGGAGCTAGTCACCGCAGCGTCAGTGCCATCCTTGTTTCAGCAGCTTCTAGTGCCTCTTGAGCATTCTTGATATCCCCATTCTGAATTCACGTAGTCCAGCTAACTATCAGTGACTGTCTCTCTCCTGTGACCAGCTGAGAAAACCTGGCCAGGAAATCAACATCATCTTCGTGGTCAATGCTGAAAAACCCAGCAGACTGTAGTACTTGTTAAAAAGATTCTACTGGCTGGGCGCGGTGGCTCACAACTGTAATCCCCGCACTTTGGGAGGCCGAGGTGGGTGGATCTCCTGAGGTCAGGAGTTCGAGACCAGCCTGGCCAACATGGTGAAACCTGTCTCTACTAAAAATACGAAAATTAGCTGGGCATGATGATGCGCACCTGTAGTCCCACCTACTCGGGAAGCTGAGGAAGGAGAATGGCTTGAACCCAGGAGGCAGAGGTTGCAGTGAGCCGAGATCACACTACTGCACTCCAGCCTGGGTGACAGAGTGAGACTCCATGTCTAAATAAATAAATAAATAAATAAATAAAAAGATTCTACTAGCTCCATTTCATCAGCAGGGTCCGTTCCTCGATTTACAGTTTCAGATATCCAGTCACGTGCTTCTATTAACCCAGTCCTAGCAGCATATCTATAAACCTATCATTGGTTGAGGGCCAGGTTTATGTAAGAGGCTGTATTAGTCTGTTCTCATGCTTATAATAATGACATACCAGAGACTGGGTAATTTATAAAGGAAAGAGGTTTAATTGACTCATAGTTCCACATGGCTGGGGAGGCCTCACAATGATGGCAGAAGGTGAATAAGGAGCAAAGTCACATCTTACATGGCTACAGGCAAGAGAGACATGTACAGGGCAACTGCCCTTTATAAAACCATTAGGCCCCGTGAGACTTATTCAGTGTCAAGAGAACAGCACAGGAGAAACACACCCGCATGATTCAGTTACCTCCCACCAGGTCCCTCCCACGACATGTGGGGATTATTAGCATTCAAGGTGAGATTTGGGTGGGGACACAGAGCCAAACCATATCAGAGGCTTTTGTGTGAAGCCCCAAGACCCAGCACTGACCTGTTGCTTCTGATTTGTATAATGATTATTTGGTAAGATTTGCTGCCGTGGTTCCACCAGGTTTGAATGCACTGTTCCCAGTGTTCTAGTAGGTCTGCTACTGAGAGAGTGTTCAGAAAAAAAAAAAAAAAAAAGCATAAAAAACAAATGCCGGGCACAGTGGCTCACGCCTGTAATCCAGCACTTTGGGAGGCCGAGGCAGGTGGATCACAAGATCAGGAGATCGAGACCATCCTGGCTAAAATGGTGTAACCCCATCTCTGCAAAAAAATTAGCCGGGCATGGTGGCGGGTGCCTGTAGTCCCAGCTACTCAGGAGGCTGAGGCAGGAGAATGGCATGAACCCGGGAGGCGGAGCTTGCAGTGAGCCGAGATCATGCCACTGCACTCCAGCCTGGGCGACAGAGCGAGACTCCGTCTCAAAAACCAAACAAACAAACACTTAGGCTGTGCAGTGAGATATTCTGTAACAGAAGTCAAGAAGGTGAGTCAAGCTGTTGTATTTCACGTGAAGGTCTCCTGTGGCTGAGGAGTCTGCATTTGTGCGTGACGCTGAGATATCAGTCCCTCTCTAATTAGATGTTGGACAGTAGTTACTTCTGAATATTTGATGTTCTGGTCCTTGAAAGCAGAAAGACTTTGTGTCACCCTGACTGTCGTCTGGGCTAGAACTTCTGTGTGTACCTGTCAGGCGTCTGGGGGAATCTTTTGATGTTCCCAGCAGGCCAGGGTCCTTTGTTGGAACCAGCATTTGGATTTTGTCCCAAAAGAGCAGGCTATCCATCCCAGGTGCTCTACTTGGAGTTTTCTGATTACAGTAGGTGCTCTCCGATCCCACAGAAGAACCCACAGATGTTTCTCTGGTCACTGCATTCCCCCTGTCTGTCTCCCCTACCCATGTCTGGCCAGTGGTCTTCCTCTTTGGTCGTCCTTGTCCTCCTGACGGCCCAGCTAATGCTGGAGATAAAGCTGGCTGGGTGGTCTATGGCACCTTCTCTTGCATGGGAGCTAATTGAAGACTGAAGAGAACACGTCTAGGCTTTTTTCCTCTCCTGCCAAGAAACTTTCTGCAGCATGTAAGGCTTTCTGTAATTTAGCCCTGCCTGCACTTCTGACTCTTGCTAGTCCCACCAGGCATCCTGTACCCCAGCCATATTGAACTGGAGGTTTCTGGGACTCACCTTCACACCTGGCTTTTGCTGCTGCTTTTATCTGATAAATATACCTCAGGCCGTGTCCTTCTTGGCAAATATCTGCCTTCGAAGCTCACCGGCAGGGCCACCTTATTTCTGCAGAAGTTTCTGAGCCTCCTCCTATGGAAGTAATCAGCATTGTCTTTGCATTCCTGGTGTGCATCCATGCACACATCTGTCTTGGCACCTCTGATGCTCTGCCATACATGCTTGGTTACGCCATACATGCTTGGTTACACTGCCCTACCCGCTTCTCCCCTAGACCACAGTCCTTTCCAGGGCAGATACCTTTTGATGCCTGGCATGGTGCTTGGCACTTGTCATGCTGTGCTTGAAGTAGCACTGGGAAGACAGACCTCCTTGAGAAAACTGCACTTAGGCGCTAGGATCACGTGGACCTCACTGGCCATCTGGTCCTGGGCAAGTCAGTTAAGATGTCAACTTCTCATCTGTAAGGTGGGACTAAGGATAGAATAAATGGAAGATAAACGAATGGGAGGATCCATGTAAAGTGGATAGCATGGTGGTAGCTGACCAATAATAAGTGTTTAATGAATATATATGTTTTTAAATTATTTTTAAATAGGTGAAACATGCCCATGCCACACAATTCAAAAGACACAGTGGTGTCCACAGAACTTCTGTGAGGGGTCTTCTGCCACCCCTCCCCAGGGAAGCGCACCACTACTGTCTTCTGTGTCTTTTAAACAAGCACAGGCATCTGTGTGATTGTTTTCTAGGAGGATGAGTGGCTTCCTGCTAGAGGTATAATATAATGTGATGTTATTTTTTAGGTTACTTTTTTCCACTTGATATCTTATTTTTCAAAATGCTTGAATAGTGTTTCATTTTATGAATGTATCATAATCTAACCAATCTGCAGCCATTTGCTAACATGAATGATGCTGCAGTGGCCGTGTGTGTAGCTGCATCATTTCACACATGTACGTTTATCTGTAAGGACATTTCAGTTTAAAATAATTTCAGTCTTAGTGGAAATGTTTCAAAACAATACAAGGAATTCCCATATACCCTTCATCCATATTCCCCCAAATGTTAACATTTTACTACATTTGATTTCGCTGTTTAGCTATTTTTTTCCTGAATTTTCTGAGAGTGACTTGTAGATATAATGCCCTTTTAACTGTAAATATTTTTTAGTGTGTATTTCCTAAAATCAAGGACATCCTTGTACATAATCATAGTAAAGTCATCAATATCAGGAAATTAAAATTGACCCAGTACTATTGTCCACTGTACCGACCTTATTGAAATTTTATCATTGGTGTCAGTAACATACTTGATAACAAATGAAAAGGATTTTGTCAACAGTTACACTTTCCTTTGGTAAAAAGGAATAAGTTTTGATAAACAGTTATACTTTCATGTAGTCATGTAGATTTACCCTTCTAGGAGCAATTATTGGAGCACCTGTTTCCTCACAGCCTTTTCAAGAAATTATCAAAATTTGGGGATTTTTTTTACTCATCCAATGGGTTAGAAAATGGTGTCTTATTGTACGTTTAATTTGCATTTTTCTTACAAGGAGTAAGGTTGAAAGCTTTTCAAAAGAGTACCTATATTTTCCTATAAGACTAATTCTTGACTTCTTTTGTCCATATGGTATTAAAGATGATAGCATTTTGTGAGCTATATTTGTGGGATACAGTTTACTCCTAGACAACACAAATTTGAACTGCAAAGGTCCACTTATATGCAGGTTTTATCCTGCCTCTGCCACCCCAAGAGAGCAAGACCCCCGACTTCCTCAGCCTACTCAACATGTAGACAAAGAGAGGAAAACCACTTCCACTTAATGAATAGGAGATATATTTTCTCTTCTTTATGCTTTTCTTAATAACATTTTTTCTCTAGCTTTATTGTAAGATTATAGTGTATAATACATGTACAAAATATGTGTTACCTGTTGATGTTATTGGCAAGTCTTCTGGTCAACAGGAGGCTATTGACAGTTAAGTTTTTGGGGTATCTTATAGGCAGATTTTTAACTGCATCGGGGTCAGTGCCTCTAACCTCCGAGTTGTTCAAGGGTCAGTTGTACATTTTTTTCTAATTTGTTTGCCTTTTTGAGCTGAAAAACTTTTTTAACTGGGGAAATATTTATTTATATGTATAGCTAAGTTTGTCAATGTTTAATGACTTTAGGCTTGGGTGATATTTAGACTTCATCACTGACATTATGGAAAGATAACCTCTTCTCTTATATCTGACTTTTATAATTTAATAGGTTTTTTTTTTCGAGACAGGGTCTCTGTTGCCCAGGCTGCAGTGTGGTGCCACGATCATAGCTCACTGCAGCCTCGACCTCCCAGGCTCAAGTGATCCTACTGCTTCAGCCTCCTCAGTAGTTAGGACTATACGTGTGCACCACCACACCTAGTTAATTTTGTTATTTTTATTTTTGTAGAGACAGAGTCTTGCTCTGTTGCCCAGGGTGGTCTTGAACTCCTGGCCTGGAGCAATCCTCCTGCCTTGGCCTCCCAAAGTGCTGGTATTACAGTCATGAGCCACTATGCTTGTCCATAATTTAATGTTTTAAACTAAATCTTTGATTTAATTTTTTTTTTTTCAGGTGGCCACCCAGATGTGCAAACATCATTTGTCAAATAAGTCATGTTTTCCCAATTGAAATGTAATGCCACCTTGATCACACTCCCAAATCGATATATGTCTTTTCTGGACTGTTCTACTCCTCTAATCTGTCTTTTTATTCAAGTGTTCTGAGTGTACTTTGATAACTAGAAAGCCAGTCTTCTCTTGATACTCCTTTTTAAAAGTGTATTTTTCACTATTTTCACATATTTATTTTTCAGATGCACTTTAGAATCTTCTGCTAAAGTTCCAAAAACTTTAGTTCCAAAAAACAATCTTATTGGTATTTGTATACAGATGATAAATTAAACCAGGGAGAATTGATGTCTTTGTAACTTACAGTCTTTGTCCCAAAGAATAGGGTATGCATTTCCATTAATTTATCTTTTTTTTTTTTTTCTTTTTGAAATTTTCTTCTGGGTTTTTTTTTTTTTTTTTTTTTGTAAATAGGAAGCGTATTGATTTTCTTGTATTAAAACTTGGGTATCTTTCTGAGTTCTAGGTTTGTTAGATTATATGGTAATATCATTTGAAAATAATGACTGATGCTTCATTTCTAGTGTATACTGTATATTTCTTTATCTTGACTAATGTCATTGACTAGTATCTCTAGATCACAATAAATTAATGGCAGTGATAGTGGACTTTTCTCCCTGACTTTAATATATTTTTCTATTAAGTTGAATGTTATATTGAGATATGTTTTATTCACCTTTTCCTGTTTTTAGACCTTTTTTAAGACTAGATGTTGAGTTTTAGCAAATGTCTTTTCATGTTGAAGATGAGTATATATCCTTTACTTTTCTATATTTACTAATATATATATATAAACTTATTGAGATGGAATTTCGCTCTTGTTGCCCAGGCTGGAGTGCAATGGTGCAGTCTTGGCTCACCATAACCTCTGCCTCCCGGGTTCAAGTGATTCTCCTGCCTCAGCCTCCTGAGTAGCTGGGATTACAGGCATGTGCCACCACGCCCAGCAAATTTTGTATTTTTAGTAGAGACGGGGTTTCTCCATGTTGGTCAGGCTGGTTTTGAACTGCTGACTTCAGGTGATCCGCCCGCCTCGGCCTCCCAAAGTGCTGGGATTACAGGCGTGAGCCACCGCACCTGGACTTACTATTTGAAGAGGAAAGCTACTGCCCAACTCCAGGAAAGCTTGCCATGTGGGATTGCAGATCTAGCTTTCCGGATCTTTCCATTTGTCAGAGTTGGAAATCTGGATTCCATTTTCTTTTTTAACATTGTGTGGGTGAAACAAAACATATGCAGGCCAGATTTGGAGACAGCTTCAGGACTTCCAGTTCGTAGTCTCTGTTCTAGTCTATTCACAGATATTAGAACCTGGTGGCAGATTTAGATTATGTCATCCTGCGTAACTTGAGATATAGTTTTATTTTGGTTTGGAAAAAAATCTGATTTCTGGGGAATGGTGTCCTAATTTTTACTAGTAGATATTATAGTCTCTCATACCCTTTTTATACCTTGCATTTTTGATTTGTCATGATAAAGCCTTTAGGTAATTATGCACATTTGTGAATTAATTTTTACCTGTTAATTTTAAGCAGTCTTAAATTTTAGATGTCTTTATGCACTATCACCACAAAACAAATGTCTCACCTTTTAAAACCAGTTCCCTTATTTCCTTCTCCATTTTTACCCCCGTGATTTGTGTCTGTACCTTTCTTTGTTTTTATTTACATTCTGTCACTGTGTTTAAAAAATATATTATTTTTCATTCTTTTTTTCTACCTTTCTTTCCTTTTTTTCTTTTTGAGACAGGGTCTGGCTCTGTCGCCCAGGCTGGAGTGCAGTGGCACAGTTATAGCACACTGCAACTCCTATGTCCTGGGCTCAAGCCATCCTTCTACCTCAGCCTCCTGAGTAGCTGGAACCACAGGCATGCACCACCGCACCTGGCTAATTGTTTTAAAATTTTTTCTCAAGAGATGGAATTTTGCCATGTTGCCCAGGCTGATCTCAAACTACTGAGCTCAAGCTATCTGTCCGCCTTGGCCTCTCAGAGTGTTGGGATTACAGGCGTGAGCCACTGCGCCCGGCCCACCTTTCTTTTTTATGTGAATTATTCTTGCAAAGAATATTGTATTTGAGAAAATGGTTTCTATCTTTACAGATTTACTTGCATATATGGATAATTCCTTATGTTTAGTGATAAGAGAGAAGGAAACAGAAGGTTTTCTTTTTCCCTAAGAAAACTATGTTGGTACAGACACAGTTAAATAAATTTTAGTTAAAAGTGTTCTGGTGAAATTTCATTAATGTGGGAAATCTTTCTGATTTCATGTGGATTCTTTATGTGAGTTATCTATATAGTCACTGTAGATGCTACCTTAATTTCAGATGAATAAATCTAATCAAAAATTTTAAAAATAAGGTGATTCTAAGTTTTAGTTACCTGCATTCAACCAAATTCCCAAAAATATTAAATGGAAAATTCCAGAAATAAACAATTCATAAGCTGTAAATTTCTTACCATTTCACCTTCCACTGTCCTGCTCCATCCTGAGAGGGGTGAGGGAGACACGGGTCATCCCTTTGTCCCACGCACTCACGCTGCTGCATTCACCACTCAGTAGCTGGCTTGGTTCTCAGATGGAACCACTCGGGTCTTGGCAGTATTTCCTGCTGAAAACAGAGGGACAGGTGTACTTACTATATTTCCATCAATTTGTGATTTTTTTTCTATTAGAAATAGTTTTAAACTTGATTCAAAATTGAGTAATAATATGAGACAGATCCACTTATATTTTATCATGAATTGATATATACTATTTGTCTTAACTGTTTACCAATTTCCTTTTATAGCATATAGATTTACTGTTTCTTAATTATTTGCATTTATATTTTTTTAATTGGTGATATCCAGTAGGCCCAATAAATACTTATTCCAGTGTCATTCCTTCTCTTCTCGTTCCCTGCATTAAGCATGAGGTCATTCGATCCCATCTGCTTTTGTTCTCATTGAGAGGGAGCCAGCTGTGTCCTGGTGCCGCTGGACCTACCGAATCAATCACCCTGTCAGTGGGCGCTCTTTTTCAGAGACTGAATTGTGTTTTCCCCGACTGTTAGGGGTTTCAGCGAGATTAACTCCTAGCCCTCGATAATGTCAGTGATCCTGGGAATTCCAAGCTTTCCCATAACTGATCATGCGTGCAGCTTTCTGTGGGGACCACAGGGGGTCCTGGACCTGACCCTAGGCGGGGTGTCCAGGCCAAGCGGGACGTGTCCTCTCCCTTCACAGGCTCCATCCGCGAGGAGAACGGCGTGCGCTGGCATGTGTGTCCCTACTGCGCCAAGGAGTTCCGCAAGCCCAGCGACCTGGTCCGCCACATCCGCATCCACACCCACGAGAAGCCCTTCAAGTGCCCGCAGTGCTTCCGCGCCTTCGCCGTGAAGAGCACGCTGACAGCGCACATCAAGACGCACACCGGCATCAAGGCGTTCAAGTGCCAGTACTGCATGAAGAGCTTCTCCACCTCTGGCAGCCTCAAGGTGCACATTCGCCTGCACACAGGTATGGCCTCAGGGCTGGGCCCACACGGGCACTGGCCACGGGGGCCACACACATTACTGCGCACATATACCAAACACAGGTATGGCACACAGTAGGCACACAGGTACTGCACACAAGTACTGCTCACAGGGACTGCACAAAGTATCACACACAGTACTGCACGTAAGTGTGGCCCGCAATGCAGCACCCACACCGGTACTGCCCACAGGGACTGCACAAAGGTCTCAAACACAGATACCGCACACAGTACCCAACACAGCAATGTGCACAGGTACTGCACACGAGTACTGCCCACAGGGACTGCACACAGTACTGCACACAGGTACTGCACACAGTATGCAACAGGGCACTGTGCACAGGTACTGCACACAAGTACTGCCCACAGGGACTGCACACAGTACCCCACATAGTACTGAACACAGTACTGCTCACGGGTATGGCCCACAGTGCTGCACCCACACAGGCATTGCCCAAAAGTACCAAACACATAGTACTGCACATAGTACCCAGCACAGCACTTTGCACAGGTACTACTGCTCACAAATACTGCCCTCAGGGACTGCACACAGTATCACACACAGGTATGGCCCACAGTGCTGTACCCACACTGGTACTGCCCACAGAAACTGCACACAAGTATCAAAGGCAGGTACCAGACACAGTACCACACACAAGTATGGCCCGCAGTGCTGCAGCCACGTGGGCACTGGCCACAGGGACCGTACACAGTACCAAACACAGGTACTGCACATGGGTACTAAACTCAGTATCAAGCACAGTACCAAACACAGTACTAAATACAGGTACCGCACACAGTTACCAAACACTATACCACACGCAAGTACAGCTTGCAGTGCTGCACCCACACAGGCATTGCCCACAGGGACCACACGTGGTACCAAACACAGGTACTACACACAGGCACCAAATTCAGTATCAAACACAGTACCAAACACAGTACTAAATACAGGTACTGCACACAGGTACCAAACATAGTACCACACACAGGTACAGCCTGCCGTGCTGCACACACACAGGCATTGCCCACAGGGACCGCACACAGTACCAAACACAGGTACTGCACACAGGTACCAAACTCAGTATCGAACACAGTACCAAACACAGTACTACACACAAGTACCAAACACAATACTAAATACAGGTACCACACACAGGTACCACAGTACCACACACAAGTACAGCCTCAGTGCTGTACCCACACAGGCACTGCCCACAGGGACCACACACAGTGCCAAACACAGGTACTGCACACAGGTACCAAGCACAGTACTGCACACAAGTACTGCACACAGTACGAAACAGTACTGCACACAGGTGTCATGCACAGTGCCAAACACAGTACTGCACACAGTACACAAACAGAGTACTGCACACAGGTACAGCCTGCAGAGCTGCACTCACACAGGCACTGCCCACAGGGACCACACACAGTACCAAACACAGGTACCAAACACAGTACAGCACACAGGTACTGCATACAGGTATGGCCTGCAGTGCTGCACACAGGTACTGGCCACAGGGACCACACAGTACTGTGCATAGGTACTGCACACAGCTACTGCACATACTACCAAACACAGTACTGCATACAGTACCCAACACAGTACACACAAGTACTGCCCACAGGGACTGTATACAGCATCACATACAGTACTGCACACAGTACAACATACACAGTACTGCACTTAGGCATCAAACACAGTACTGCACACAGGTACCAAACAGTACTGCCCACAGGTACTGCACACAATACCCAACATGGTGCTGCAGACAGGTACTGCCCATAGGGACTGCACACAGTACTACACACAGTACTGCACTTAGGTACCAAACACAGTACCAAACATAGTACTGCACACAGGTACCAAACAGTACTGCCCACTGGTACCGCATAAAGTACCAAACATAGTACTGCACACAGGTACCAAACAGTACTGCCCACTGGTACCTCATATAGTACCAAACACAGTACTGCACACAGGTACCACATACAGTACCAAACAGTACTGCACACAGGCATCATGCATGCTACCAAACACAGTAATAAACAGTACTGCACACAAGTAGTACATAGAGTACCAAACACAGTACTGCGCTCAGGTACTGCATACAGTACTAAACACAGTACTACACACAAGTACTGCCCACAGGGACTGCATACCGTACCACACATAGTACTGTACATAGTACCACACACACAGTATTGCACTTAGGTACCAAACACAGTGCTGCACACAGGGACCAGTGCTGCCCACAGGTACTGCACACAGGTGCCACACACAGTACCAAACAGTACTGCACACAGGCATCATGCACAGTACCAAACACAGTACTGTACATAGGCACTGCCCATAGTACCAAACACAGTACTGCACACAAGTACTACATATAGTAACAAACACAGTACTAAACACAGTACCACACATGGTACCAAACACAGTGCCACACACAGGAACTGCCAATAGGTACTGCACACAGTACTGCACACAGGTGCTGAGAAGGGATTGAGTCACAGCACCTGGGGGAGCAATAATTGACTACTTGGAGGATATATTTCTGTCTTTTCATCAGCACTTGTTGAGTCTCTTCTATAGGCTGGGCATGAAGTATCTACAGGTAAAGAAAACAGATGCAACCTTGATCTCCATGGAGCTAAGGATATGCTGGGGGAGGCATTAAAAACAAGTAACACTTATAAATGAACGTAGAATTGCAGAGGGTGAAAAGAGACTTCTGTCCGGATCAGATTTGGATTTAGACTGAGTGAGCCTTTCTGAGAATACAACATGTAATCTGCATTTGATCTGAGAAGACCTGAAGGCTTTAGCTGGGCCAGGAGGAGGACCGGGGACCTGTTTGTACTGAGGCATGAAATCTTTCATTACGGAGCTCCATTTTTTTTAATGACATATTTATTGAGATGTAATTTACATATAATATTTACCATTTTAATGTGTACACTTCTGAATTGTGCACTCTACACCACTGTCTGATTTTGGAACATTTTTATCACCCTGCAAAGAAACCCTGTACTCATTGGCAATATCCCCCAAATTCCCTCAGGGATCCTCCTCTGGGCTGACAATGTGGATGAGTATTTGACAAAGCTGAAGTTACTCAATTTTGTTGTATGTGTTTCTTTGGAATTTACATTTTCATTTGCTGATAAAATTGTAAAACAAGGAAATATTCTTTAGAAGTGGGGCACAGTAGTAAGAGGATCATTAAGAAGATATTAGTACTATTATCATCATCATTTACAATCAGTGACAACTACCATTTACTGTTTATTTGCAAAATGTGAGACATTGCTAAGTGCTGTTTAAATGTTAGCTTACGTAATCTCAGCAGCAGCCCTGGAGGCAGGTGTCTTTAAGCCACTTTACAGGTGGTGACTTAAGAGAGAGAGCATCCTTACATACTGTAAAGTTCTGAAGAACTACTGTCCATATTTTACAATGTAAGACTTTGTCCTAAAAATACTAAATGTTCTTTTTTTACTTAAAATGCTCTTATAACATGCCTTAATATCTATAATATGCACTGTATACAAACAAGGGAAAATAATTTACAATATCCATTAAATTATAAGCATGGCCTAATAAATTGAAGGTTCAAATCAGTATTGGAAATAATAACATTTTATGTTAGCATTTGCTGTTGAGATGTAATTTCTGGAAATAATTCTAAAATGTGATTTCATTTTTATTAGGAGTTAGACCTTTTGCTTGTCCTCACTGTGACAAAAAATTTCGAACCTCAGGCCATAGGAAGACTCACATTGCTTCCCACTTTAAACATACGGAATTAAGGAAAATGAGGCACCAGCGTAAACCTGCAAAGGTCCGTGTTGGCAAGACGAATATTCCAGTCCCTGATATTCCTTTGCAGGAACCAATCCTCATAACTGACTTAGGTAAGATGGATTGTAGGGCGTCTTTATAATTTATTGAGTACTATTTTCTTTGACATTTTGTGAATTGTGTACACACATTATGGTCTCTGTAGTTAAATAGTTTTTTAGGCATAGTATTAATGAAGTCTGTGTTAAGCCTTGTTTTGCTTTATGGACTAGTATGTTTTACAGTCAAGATTAAAATCTAAGTTGTATCCAAACTACTGCTCAAATTGTTTTCTCGGATTAGA
Source organism: Homo sapiens (assembly GCF_000001405.40). Classification (NCBI taxonomy): domain Eukaryota; kingdom Metazoa; phylum Chordata; class Mammalia; order Primates; family Hominidae; genus Homo; species Homo sapiens. The sequence continues at coordinate 76,899,453 of NC_000018.10, forward strand.
GACAAATAATGTGTAAGTGAAAACAGTAGCGTGTAAGTCCTCATTGAAGAAACATTGCTACCTCAGTGGAACCATCAAAAGTGAGAAGGGGTTTTTATGTGAAACACACAGTGCACGTTGTTGTTTTCATCTTTAGGTTCTTTGTACTGTGTTACAGATTATTTGGGCTACTTTAATCTTTGGATTAAAAAGGAAAAGAAAAATCTGCCTGCTTTTCTTTTTAGGTTCAGTGTTACTATAACCAACCCAAACTATGATTTTGTTGATGATCTAGAAAGAAAACACTGCTTGTTAGAATCTTTAGAAAAATTATATTTGTTAGTACTAGAACAAAATTTAAGAAACCTCATTGTCTTAGTTTGTTTGAGCTCCTGAATCAAAAATACCACTAACTGTGTAGCTTGTAAATACTAGGAGTTTACTTCTCACAGTTCTAGAGGCTGGGAAGTCCAAGATCATGGTGCTGGCAGATTGAGTGTCTAGTGAGGTCTCTCTTCCTCATAGATAGTGCCTTCTGGCTATGTCCTCCCAAAGGTCCTACCTCTTACTACATGAATTTTGGAGGACCACAAACATTTAGACCACATCACTTACTAATGTGTGAATTTACATTTTTATGCAGTTTCTGTATTTCACTACTTTCCTAGGAAAGATAATTCAATCTATAAGCAAAATTAATATTAAAATATAATTCCTTAATTCCAAAGCATAACCTTTATTTACAATAATTGTAAATTATTGTATAGAGAGATTTTAGATTGTTATAAATTGGGGGCCACCAGTAAGATGATCAACAGCCATAAACTTGTGTGAATCTGAGAGTTTAACATCAAAATATTTAAACTAAAAAAATTCAAAGAAAGGAAATACTCAAATTCTCAAGTGCAGTGAAAGATCCTCAATTAGACAGGTCAACTTAAACACCTTAAAACGGAAGATTTGAGCACACAAATAAAAAGAGTTACTTAATAGCTTTATAGAATCTTTTGCCTTAAATTACATACTTTTAAATATGCATGAAACAGAAGTTGATCACATTCTAGGATACAGAAAAATTTCAATAAATTTTCAGAAGTTGATTTTGTATAGGATACAATCTTTGATTACAGTTCACTGAAAAACTTATAAAATAGCCATCCAAAATTTCATTACATGAAAAGAAGGACTCGAAACAGATACTGCATACTACACATGTGAGTATTATGTAAACAGATTGGATGGACCAAAGCCGTCCTAGGAAAAATTAAGACTTTTGAGTATTATTAGAAAATAAGACAGATTGAAAATAAGTAAAATATTTAACTAAAAAAACTAGGAAAATTAAAAGAAAGTAGCAGAAAGGAATTAATATAGCAGTTCCCAACCTTTTTGTCATCAGGGATTGGTTTTGCAGAAGACAGTTTTTCCACAGATTGGGGGTCGGGTGGGAGGACTGGTTTCAGGGTAAAACTGTTCCACTCAGATGTCAGAGAATCAGACATTAGATTCTCGGAAGGAGTGCGCAGCCTAGATCCCTCACATGCACAGTGCACAATAGGGTTCGCACTCCTGTGAGAATCTAACACTCTTCGGATCTGACAGGAGGCGGAGCTCAGATGGTAAAGCTTACTCACCTGCTATTCGCCTCCTGCTGCGTGGCCCGGTTCCTAACAGGCAGCCTGGGGCTTGAGGACCCCTTAATTAATACATATAATGGAATTGGAGATAGAAGACAAAACTGTAGTGAACTGAAGTTTTACAAAACTTATAAAAATGAACAGAAAATATAGATGACTTGTCACTAATAAAGAAACATGAGAAAACATAGGAATGAGAAAGAAGTTGTAAGCACAGATACAAATGAGGTAACAATTGTTTGCAAATACTCTACAACTTTTTCCTAATATATTTGAAAATTTTGATGAAATGAATCTTTTCTAAAATAATATGCTTGGCAGAATTGACTGTAGAAGAAATAGAAAACTCCAAAATACACAACAAATTGACAAGATAGTAAAAGATCATCTTCTCCAAAACACCAGTCTGGTTGGGCGCGGTGGCTCACGCCTGTGACCCTAGCACTTTGGAAGGCCGAGGTGGGCGATCACTCAAGGTCAGGAGTTTGAGACCAGCCTGGCCAACATGGCAAAACCCCATCTCTACTAGAAATACATAAATTAGCCGGGCGTGGTGGCAGGCACCAATAATCCCAGCTACTCAGGAGGCTGAGGCAGGAGAATGGCTTGAACCCAGGAGGCAGAGGTTGCAGTAAGCCAAGATTGCACCACTGGACTCCAGCCTGGGGAACAACAGTGAAACTCTGTCTCAAAAAAAAAAAAGTCTGATAATTTAATATACGAATTGTACTAAGCTTCCTAGGAACTATAATTGTTATGCTATTTAACTGTTTTTGAGCATAGAATGGGATCAAAACCCCCATGGTAGCGTAGAATACTTTGATATCCTTGTCCAGTTTTGGCTGCTCACAAAATGAAGCAACAGACCGGTTTCTTCTTTCAGGTTGCCGTAAATCAAGTTGTACACCCATGGGTTTCTGGACTTCAAGTTTTTGAATCTTCAGTTGAGTTAGGTTCTTGACTCTTCAGCAATTTTTCAGGGTTAAAATGGGATATATTTTGCTTGTTGGCTTCGCAGATACTTGTATCTTAGACCAGATAGGGGAACCTGAATTCTTTGGTTTAGGCTGAGGAAGACACATGAGGGAAATGATTGCTAGAGGGAGCTTCACACTGTAAATTGTAAAATATTGTAACTATGTCTTGTGCTTAATTTTGTTATTTGTATTTGTGTTCATCTCTTCTCTCAGACTCTGGGCTCCTTAGAGGCTATAGAAAAGACTTGGCTGTCATAATCTTTGGGGGACAGAGTTTGATAAAAACATGGTAAGGAGAGGATTAGCATAGAATAGTGTTATGAGAGTAAGTGAAAGTAGAATGCTCATTGAGGAAGCTAGCGGTAGTCCAGGGGAGTCCTTGACCGAGAGCAATGTGGAAGAGGAAACCTGCATCCAGGGTTCTGCCATCACTGTTTTTGAGAACCAGGCATGGCATTCAGTCTGCATGTCTCAGCATGTGTAGGGAAGGTGGTAGGCACGGACTGGATGCCTGCATTTTTCTTTCTTTTTTCTTTCCTTTCTTGAGACAGAGTCTCACTCTGTCACCCAGGCTGGAGTGCAATGGTACGATCTCGGCTCACTGCAACCTCTGCCTCCCGGGTTCAAGCGATTCTCCTGCCTCAGCTTCCTGAGTAGCTAGGACTACAGGCATGTGCCACCATGCCTGGTAATTTTTGTATTTTTTGTATTTTTATTTTTTTTTAAGTAGAGACGGGGTTTCTGCATGTTGGCCAGGCTGATCTCAAACTCCCGACCTCAGGTGATCCACCCACCTTGGCCTCCCAAAGTGCTGGGATTACAGGCCTGAGCCACTGTGCCCAGCCTGCATTTTTCTCTTTTGAGCAGGATGAGTTGTTAGGAAAAAGTGAGGCTGTGCTGTCAAGCACAGGGTGGTGTCAGAGCTGCCTGGAGCGAGGTCTTTGATACAGCTCTGATTGTCCAGAAGGCTTGTGAGATGAGAAAAGGCTTGGTAGTCTTAGGAGTTGTGCTGTGTGGGTTATATCACAAGGGAGGGTTCTGAATACTTTTTGAAAAATAAGGTTCTGATGCAAGCTTCAGGAAGCATAGGTGAATTTCCTTAAATCTAATAATGAGCTAGGTGAAATTGGTTGGGCTGTCAAATTCCCTCCAGCTTTGTAATTGTTTCACTGCTATTTGAGATTGGTGGCAGTGGAAAAAGAAGAGAAGATGCAAGTTTAAGAGACATTGGAGTGGTGTTGATCATCAGGACTGGCAAATGCCGAGTACAGGACAGGGAAGGGAACTCTCAGAGGTCCGGGGCTCCCCAGCCTTAGGGACCAGAAGACTGTTCCAGGCATGCAGCTAGGAAAGCTGGGAGAAGTGGGCTTTAGGGGAAGAAATTGAAACGGAATCTGTATTTTTATGGAAAGTCCGGAAAAACAGAGTGTGTTCAGAGGTGCATCATGCTAATCATTGTATAGCAGTTAAGGTACAAATGAGGGAGGAGAGAGGACCGGGAATGGAGAGCTGTGGGCAGAGGACAAAATCTTGGCCAATGCCTCCTTGTCTTGGCAGGAGGAGCAGCCCAAGGCTGATTAGAGGACTGACTGCGTGTGTCACCCTCTTAACGTTCCAAATGACTCTTAAGGAATTCGAAAGTTTACCCCCAAGCTTGTCCTGAATTCCTGAAATAATGCAGTAGCTTGATCAATTCATATTTATTACATGGTCAACCTGAAGGAATTCTTAATTTAGTAAATGTATATAAAATGAAATATTTAAATTACTAATTTTGTTATTTGTAGATATCCCTTTAGTGATATCTGTGAAAATGCTAACCTTTTTAGAACAAAAGATCATGTTAGAGTCACTTTTGTTTTCAGTTTATTATAGTATCTAGTGTGCAGTATTCATACTGAATAAACAAGGTATTAAAATCTTGCTTATCCTGAATTTTGGACATAGTTATGTAGACTCCATGTCAACAAATGCCCATATAGAAAGTAAATGTAGAAATTCATTAGAAATTGGCCGTGGAATCAAGGGAAGTAATTGTGACTAGATATTTCTCATGTTTAAAAAATGAGCAACATTAATATATATTAATTTATAATGTTTGTTAATTTATAAATTAATTTGTAATGTTATATTATAAATATATTAATTTATAATGTTTCCCCATAGGTATTCTTTGAATAGCCAGTTCCTAACACAATTAAAATAACATAGTTGCAACATTAGAATCTAACTTACCAGAATTTTCATCTTCTGGGTAAAACATGTGCCTTGTGACATTTAATTGTATTACTAGCATTGACAGTGAATTACATCTGCTTTTCTTTTGCTTTGTAGGTCTCATCCAGCCCATTCCAAAAAACCAGTTTTTCCAAAGCTATTTCAATAATAATTTTGTCAATGAAGCAGATAGACCATACAAGTGTTTTTACTGTCATCGTGCATATAAAAAATCTTGCCACCTTAAACAACACATCAGGTAAGGTAACGGATTCACAGATGGAAATTTAGTATAATTAAACTGACTTAGTGACCTGATGACGTCTAGAAGTATTTAGGATGGTAGCATTAGCTTTTGGTATTAAAGATGTCACATTTGACTCCAAAACATTTATTGGTAATTAATATTTTTATTCTTTAATGTCTTGACTAAAATATTTTATCCAGAAATTGCTACTGGAGTTTATGTATATGCTCATTAAATTTCAGTGTTTGCAATTTCCAAGAAATGTCAAAGAAGTTTATTTTATTAGACTTCCTTTTGTGTTTTTCAGATGTATTTATCAGTTTAGATTAATTCTTAGTGCTAGCCACAGTGAAAAGGAAGTCGAACCTTGATCATGAGAGACAGTGTGATGTCATGAAAAAAGTATAGAACTTAGAAAAAGACATGGCTTCTAGCTTCATCTCAGTCGTGTGACTTGAGGCAGGTCGCTTAAGCACTCTGAGTCTCAGGCTTCCTCCCTTGTGAAATGTGGAGAGCTCCGGCATTGCTGCTTAGCTTTAAAAAATGTGATGATGAAGTGAAGCGAAATGCAAGAGTGCATTCTAGTCACAAAGCATTATAAAAGTATAAGAAACATATTCATTAAAATGTGTATTTTTTTTTAAGATCCCATACAGGTGAAAAACCTTTTAAATGTTCTCAGTGTGGAAGAGGCTTTGTTTCTGCAGGCGTGCTCAAAGCACACATCAGAACACACACAGGACTGAAATCTTTCAAGTGTCTGATATGTAATGGGGCTTTCACTACTGGTGGCAGCTTACGGCGACACATGGGTATCCACAACGACCTTCGTCCCTATATGTGTCCCTATTGCCAAAAAACATTTAAGACTTCACTAAATTGCAAAAAGCACATGAAAACCCACAGGTGGGTGTAATTCTGGTGGTCACTTTTTATCATCTTTATAATTTCCAGTAGATGGTGGGGAGTGTTTTTAGGAAATAATTGTCTTTGATTCTTACATTATTATTTCTAGCTCATACTATATGGGCTCAAGAAAAAAAAAAAAAAAAAAAAAAAAAGAAATGTAAGTATTAGTGTCTAAGGATCTAATGGGAGCCATAGACTGAAGCATTAGCATTTTCATTTTTAATTTAATAATGAAGTAGTTTATATTCTGTAAGCTGTCTTTTAAAGCTGTTAGTTGGTAATTAGTTGAAATGCTGGACTGTGTCTAGTACAGTCAGATAGTGAATATTTCAGAAAAGAGAATCTTAAAGACCCTGTGATTTCTAGGCCTGTCATCAGCAAATCTGAATGGTAATTATTCTATGTTGTTGACTTTAAAGAATACATATTTTAGATATTCCATAAACTTTTCATTCAGCCTAGCTTATATTTTCACATGATTGGAAGGCTAGCTCGTCTCTATGTGGATGTAATCCGGAAGAGATGCATTTCTGACTAGTGCTGGGGCCTATTCGATGAGTATTTCTGTGAAGCCACAGAATTCTGTGTGGTACTGTAACACCTGGGTAGGGTGACCACAGCTTAGGAGATGTGAAAGGGAGAGTCACTAGGCCTAAAGCTGCTGCCCTGGAACATTTGCTTTGAGACAGCATTTTAACCCAGATATGTCTGCCTGGATGTCGTCTACAAAGCAAAACCTTAAATATTAGAATAAGTTACCTGTGATAGTGTTGTTTTGATATTATTGATCTGACTGCCTAAGCACCCTCAACAGAATTGACGTTTTTGATTTCAGTATCGTTGATTGCTTAGCTGAGAAATTTACCTGCTGCTTGAGACCACCCAGGGAGTGTGGTATTGGCGGTGTTATATGTGGACTCCTGTTAATTACATATCCACTTACACTTCACTGCATTTTGTGGAGGGAATCCTGTGCAGGGCACTGCATGTGTTTGGGAACTGGGGAACTCGGGGGCACATGGATGTTGAGGATGCTTGTGTTCCTGCTCGCTGTAGCAGGATGACGGGTCCCCAGTTGGCCCAAGAGCTTACCGTGCTAAGAAGAATGGAGCTTGGGCGCTTGCTTGCTCAGTGGAATGTTAAACCAAATCTTTTTCAGTCAGGAAGCCAGCCTCTTCCAGTGTCCTTTCGTAGTAGTATTGGGAATATGGGTGTTCAGGCCCTTGTTTCCGGACCCAGTGACCAATGCTGTAATTGCGGGGTCACCTTTATTAAGTGGTATATTGTGCGACCATTGTTTGTCATCAGTTTCGAGGGACACATGTAGGAGATGAATGTAGAGCTTTGAGAGGACACTAAGCAGATCAGCCTGTTGTTGCAGAGCTGCAGTGCTTTGCTTTTACAGATTGTGTGCACTTGGAATCTGCCTACAAGGAGAGCATCCAGCCAGGGTTTCATTCCTTTGAATTGTTGGAAATTCCCAAAATACCACATATACTCATGCTAAAGATAGGTAAAGAAGGTTACTGTAGTAAAATTTATTGGAAAAAACAAAGAACCAAGGAAACAAACAGAAAACAAGCCTCCATCAGTTAGCGTGAGACACACATGTGCTTAGGTTAGAGTGGCTTTTACAGGCCCCTGCGTGCCACTGCGCTGCTGTGTGGAAGCATCACAGTGGAGGTGCAGGCGTGCATTTTCTAACTCTTCTCTATTATGCGACACATTTTTGTTCTCCCTTCCACAGTAAAAGTAGTTATGAATTGTCTATTTTGGATATTAGAAAACGAAGAGGGAAAATTTTGTTTGGAACTGAGAATGAAATTCTGAGTAGGCAGATTCCTAAGACACTGGAATAGAGCCCATGATGCAGCTTGTATGGTCTGTGTGTGCAGAGGCAGAAGAGGGGACCAGGCGGCTCTTTTTTGTGTGTGTGGGTGTTTTTGTTTGTTTGAGACGGAGTCTCGCTCTGTTGCCCAGGCTGGAGTGCCGTGGTGCAATTTTGGCTCACTGCAACCTCCTGCCTCAGCCTCCCAAGTAGCTGGGATTACAGGCGTGCACCCCTGCACCTGGCTAATTTTTGTATTTGTAGTAGAGATGGGGTTTCACCATGTTGGCCAGGCTGGCCTTGAACTCCTGACCTCAGGTGATCCTCCAGCCTTGGCCTCCCAAAGTGCTGGGATTACAGGTGTGAGCTGCGCGCCTGGCCGGCTCTTTGTCTTAGATATTCTTCGTACTAGCCAGCCTGTTAGTCAGATAATTGTGTGAGATTTTTTTCTTTTTTTTTTTTTTCAAGTTCTCAGTTCATTGCTGAATTCATTGTTCATCTTTTCCTTTGAAAGAGAAATCGTTGACTTTGATGAATGCTGGATACACTTTGTGTATGTAAATGTTGCTGAAAGCAACATTTGGATCGTTGGTCCAATAAAGGGCCTGAGGCCCAGGCTGTGAGAGACAGTAGGTGATGAGGCTGGAGGCTCTCTGCGCACCACGTGTTGTCAGATTTAGATCAGTCTATAAAGGTGTCGTCTCATTTAGTACAATTATTTTTCTGAATACTTAGACTCATTGCAGAACTTGAGTTGGGAGAGTTTTACTTTTAAACACGAGACATCTTTTTAATGTTTTTAAACTATTAGGCATTCGGGTGTGTGTTGTCCTTCATCCTCCGTTCGTGCCTTGTGTCTTGTAGCCGGTGGAAGCACTTAAAGATAAGGCAAACGAGCTCTCTTCAGAGTTACTAATGTGTTCAGTTTTTACCTGAATTGCCATCATGACTTCAAAATGAAATCATTAATAAAAAATGTTATTTAATCAATGACAACTCTTTCACTGTAGTATCCCAGGCAAGTAACCTTTGACAGCATCTAACCTGATGAACTGTTGTTAATTTTTCTGAAGATATGAGCTTGCCCAGCAGCTCCAACAGCATCAGCAGGCAGCCTCGATAGATGACAGCACTGTAGACCAGCAGAGCATGCAGGCCTCCACTCAAATGCAGGTGGAGATCGAGAGCGACGAGCTGCCGCAGACGGCAGAGGTGGTCGCAGCGAACCCCGAGGCCATGCTGGACCTGGAGCCTCAGCATGTGGTGGGCACGGAGGAAGCAGGGCTGGGCCAGCAGTTGGCAGATCAGCCCCTGGAAGCAGATGAAGGTAAATGTTTCAGGATATTTAACTTTGAGTGATCCCAGCAGAGTTTTGCAGCCTTTCCCACTCATTGCAGTCCATTGGTGTCTCCCATCACTGACTTTTAAAACAATTTGTGCTGTATGTGAAAGAGATTGAATTGAGTATTTGATATCATTCCATGTCCTCTTAAATTAGATTTTTACTTTTCAATTTTATTAGATTTCTTAGGGGAAGTTCTTTTTTGAAAAAACAAAAACAAAGTGATCAGACTTCTTGTTAGGAAATATTCGAAATCTTGTTAAGAAGTAGTTGAAATTTTAGGACTGCAGCAAAATCTACCGTCCTTATTTTGATATAGGTGCTACCAATTTTTTTCCATACAAATATGCAGGGGTGTGTGTGTATGTGTGTGTCTGTGTGTGTGTGTGTGTGTGTGTGTGTGTGTGTGTGTGTGTGTTTGGTATGCGTATATAATTATACAAATAAGGCTGGGTGTGGTGGCTCACGCCTGTAATCCCAGCACTTTGGGAGGCTGAGGCAGGTGGATCACTTGAGGTCAGCAATTCAAGACCAGCCTGGCTATGGTGAAACCGTATCTCTACTAAAAATACGAAACTTAGCTGGGTGTGGTGGTGCATACCTGTAATCTCAGCTACATAGGAGGCTGAGGCAGGAGAATTGCTTGAACCTGGGAGGCGGAGGTTGCAGTGAGCCGAGATGGCGCCATTGCACTCCAGCCTGGACAACGGAGTGAGTGAGACTCTGTCTCAAAAAAAAAAAAAAAAAAAATTATACAAATAGGACCTTGCAGTGCATACTATTTTGTGACCTTTTATCCCCGGTATATTGAGAACATCTTTCAAGTGTACATCTGTATGATCTTTAGTATTCTATAAAGTACACTCAGTGTAGATTCAAAGATGAATGTAGGTCAGTGAACTGTGGGTGACTGGTCTGCGGTGAGATGAGGCTCCTGAACCAGAATATAAAGCAGCACTTTGCTTCCTTCATCAGTAAAGTTTGGCTACAAAACACAATGTCAGGTCAACTGTAGACTGTGTGATTAGTGACATAGCTGGCTGCGTCTGGCACAGGCTTCTTATCTCACACAGGCATGTCAGCAAACAGTGTGCTGACCAGTTTACTGTTTTGTTTTATGGATGTCTCAAATGTATTCCGTCTTTGGGGAGGATTATACACTTACCCCTATGGTGCCTGCAACCATGCACACGCAGAAAGGTTTTAAACAATTATGGAATGTAATAGCATTTTAGAATATTGTTTAATGGAACAATGTCTGAGTTTTCAGACAGACGCTAAAGGCTTTCAGGGATGGTATTCTAGAAATGCAAAGAGAATGCTTTAAGCATATGTATGTATTAAATTATCTCCCTGTTTTCTTTTCAAAATAAGGTGTCTGATATTTGAAAACTCGCCGAAGTGTACTTTTGGACAGATTTGCAGTTGTGAAATAACTTCCAAATGTATGCGTCCCCCTTTTTTACATCTCATCCTCAGATGGGTTTGTGGCTCCACAGGACCCTCTGCGAGGGCACGTAGACCAGTTTGAAGAGCAGAGCCCTGCGCAACAGTCCTTCGAACCAGCAGGGCTACCCCAAGGTCAGTGGTGGGTTTTCAATGAAATTTGTAAGTGAGCTATACTTCAGTTGAATTTAATCTCATGACAACCTTACATGTTTTCTCTTAAGGCCCTTCTAAAGTGTATGGTTTCAAACCAAATAACTTTTTGCATGCATTGTAGATTTTTTTTTATTGATGCATACTATTTTGTGGTCTGCTTAGGTCTTCTGGAAAGTGACCTTTGCAGCCATTCTACACGTAGTTTCCAGTCAAGAAAAGGTGGCTGAGTAGAAATTGGAACTTCGTGGTGGCTGGTCCTGTAAAGCCTCCGGTGCTGTAATGTCTGCTGAGCACAGCCTCCTGCCTGTTAGCAAACAGTGTTAAAGCTTGCTAATAGCAGCTAGTCCTAATTCTAATTCAGAAAATAGAAATGCCCCTTTAGACATTTTAAATTTATAAACCTTTTCTTAGAACATTTTAATGTAACTTTAATATTTTTGTAGAACTCCTCTTTTCTAATTTATTTTAGGTTTTACAGTGACTGATACGTACCATCAGCAGCCTCAGTTTCCACCTGTCCAACAGCTACAGGATTCCAGCACACTTGAGTCTCAGGCCCTCTCCACAAGCTTCCACCAGCAGAGCTTGCTGCAGGCTCCCAGCTCTGATGGGATGAATGTAGTGAGTATGGACAGAGGGGTGCATACATGGCAGTATTTAGCAGGTGCTATGTTATTCTTCACTGTCATTATTAAAAATTTCCTTAAGGGAAATTTTAAGAGGCATGCTCACTTCTTGTAGCATTAAGGTTACTGCATTACCTGGGAAATCCTCAGTGTTTAGTACACAGGGCTTTCTTTTTCCTTAAAACATTTTAATTTTGCTTAAAGGTTTCACTGCCATGGTGTGGCCTTGCATTTGTGATTAAAAACCAAAAATTGACTAGAGTGCTATGTAATAACACGTTGAAAGGTACTATGTTGCTTTAGGCACAAAGCCTCAACATTTTTATTTGTGGACTTTTAAACATGTTAGAAGGAAAATATAATGAATGCTGACGTTAAAAAATATTTAAATGCATCATTTAAAATTTTATCTCTTACTCCTGGTTGGAGACATTTTAATTTTGGTTTTGGTTTTCATTTTCCTGCTTTTGGAAATTTCTTAATAGTGATGAGAAATTGACCAATTGTTATCCCTCTTTAAAATCCACCGCGGGTAGCTTTGCCCAAGTGGTAGGGCTGGACCCTCCCGTGAAAATTTCAGAACATTTTTCTCATAGGTAGAAACTACATAATTGGCAGCAGATGCTGAATCTGGGAAGTGGAGAACGTACTTCTTAGCAGCTGACTTTACTCCAGAGCTCTCTAAATAAAACTGTGCAAATCCAGTTCTGTTGTTGTGGTTTATCTAAGTTGGTTTTGGAAGTCAGGTAAACAAATGCGACACAGGCCCTTGCTTATAGCAACGTGCACTTGCTGCCCAGGGGTGGATGACTCTACTGTTCGCAGTCTGTCCTGTGACTCCAGGCCTTCTGAAGGTCAGTGGAGCTTATCCTCTACTCAGTGTGAGCATGGATCTATTATAGAGTGGTTAGAAAACATTGACCAGATTTTTGTTTTGTCCTTGCTGTGGTAGCATGGGTTGTAATGCCGCTGTCAGGAAGGGATGGGGTCAGTGTGACTGCCCTATATGTGCGTGGTACCGTTCTTGGGGATGGAGAGCATGTCTTTCTCACCCTCTGGTTTGTGTGACAAGAGGAGACATAATATTATACTCTCTGAAGGTGGGATTTTATTCACTGTCAGTAAGAGTAGAGCAGATGAAAGAGGAATCTCTTATTAAGATATATAAAATAATCAGTTTTATGGTTGATTAAGCTTTGTATTAAGGTAGGGTAATAGAAAATAAATAGGTCTTCATTTAATAAAATCTGTATAAGTGATCTTTATTATTGCTCTGGCCTAAATGATTACAGTGAACTATTTGGGGTTTCTCTCTCTTAGATCCACATTTTATGAATGTTCTTATCCTTAGTTCTTAGCTGCTCAGTTGTTTTATGTTTATTCACAGATATTCAAGTAGTTTGCTTTATACTTCTCTTAAATTTTAGACAACTCGCTTGATTCAGGAGTCATCCCAAGAGGAACTGGACCTGCAGGCACAAGGTTCCCAGTTTCTGGAGGACAACGAGGACCAGAGCAGGCGCTCTTACAGGTAGTTGTCTGCACAGACCAGCTCATGGTATTGCCGGCTCCCAGGAACGGATGCTGCTGTGTGTTTGCCCCGCTCCAAGGGCTCTGCGATTTCATTCTCTCAAAACTGTTCAAAACAGTTCCATTGTCATCCATATTCTGTAAATAAACGATCTGAGACAAAAGAGATTAACTTGCTAAACTTTTTACAGCAGATAAGTGAGCGGGCCAGGATTTGGATACGGCAGTCTTCAGTTTGTCTGTTTGAAGTACTCTGCTGCAGCTTCCCGTCACTGTTTTAAGTCATTATTATTCCATTTTCGAAATTAGTTAAATTTATATTATGCCTTTTAGTTCAAGACTCTTCATGTGCTTTACATATAACAATCTGTGTACCAGGATACAGCACAATTAGAAAGACAGCTTTTTAGATGTGTCCGTCCACTGGCTCAGCAGTACATACTGAGCACCCTCTGTGCACAATGTACAAGTAATTTTTGTATTTTTAGTAGAGATGGGGTTTCACCACATTGGCCAGGCTGGTCTCAAACTCCTGACCTCAGGTGATCCACCTGCATCGGCCTCCCAAAGTGCTGGGATTACAGGCGTGAGCCACCGCCAAACCAGATTTACAAGAGTGAATTTTCAAAATGTATTCAGACACTTCCAGCTTTTAGTTTAATTTGGACTTGAGAGGAAAGTTAGTTGCCTCTACGTGGGCACCCAGTCTTGACTTAGGTTATAGTGTAGGGACGTCACTAACCTCTTGCTGGAGATTAAAACTTGAGAATGGACAAAAGAGACATACTAATGGAATAAGCTTTTAATAATATGTGAGTAGGAGTTTTGAAATTTATAATTATTTTAATCCTTAAGATAACATTAGTCTATTCAGTAACAACTGAAGGGGAAATAATACTGCATATTTATATATTATTCAGCATAACTCCAGTATACTCTGTTTTGTATTTTGTAAACCAAAGGAGTACATGGATTGGCATTTCCAAGTGACTAGATACAGGAGTGATTCTGCTTCTGAGGCAATGGAAGGATTCATAGTGTCTAACGACTTAATAAAGAAAAGAGTGCATACATTTTCTTCCTATTATGCTTAGAGAGAGTTTCTAATTAATCAAATATTATGTCTGCTGGGGAGTTATAGGATTTACTGTTTTTTAAGTAATACATTTAAGACTGTAAATACTCTAAGCAGAATTTGGTCTAACAAATGATTGTTGGCAATATTTTATACTTTATAATTTCTTCAATGTTGGAGAGCACACCTAGGTTCTATAACAGTTGTGCCTAAATGTTTCATGGTTGTTGGTGAAGCTTGTTTGCTTTTCTTCCCTTTTCAGGTGCTGTATTTGTAATTGTGCTATGAATTAACGTGGTCTGAGTTCTGTATGTTTGCTTTGTAGGTGTGACTATTGCAACAAAGGCTTTAAGAAGTCCAGCCACCTGAAGCAGCATGTGCGGTCGCACACCGGGGAAAAGCCCTACAAGTGCAAGCTCTGTGGACGCGGCTTTGTTTCCTCTGGGGTCCTCAAGTCCCACGAGAAGACACACACAGGTCACTGTCTGCCTTATACTTGGAGATTAGTCCTTTAAAGAAAAAAGCTTTATTGAGATATAATCCATATACCATTCAGTTCACCCACTTAAAGTGTACAATTCAGTGATTTTTAGTATGTTCATAGAGTTCTGCAACCATCAAAACTGTAATTTTAGGACATTTTTATTACACATAAAAGAAACTCTGTACCCATTAACAGTCACTCCCCATTTCCCCTCAATGCCCAGAACCTCAGGCACCCAGTATCTACCTCTGTCTTTATAGATTTGCCTGTCCTGGGTATTTTATAGAAGTACGTGGCATTTTGTGTCTGCTTCTTTCACAGCACAGTGTGCTCAAGTTTCACCTATGCTGTATGGGTGGATCAGAACCTCATTCCTTTCCATTGTAGGATATGCCACGTCTTATTGATCCATTCATCGGGTGATGGACATTGGAGTTATTTCCATATTTTGTTTATTATGAGTAATCCTGCTATGCACATTTGTATTTAAGTGTTTGTGTGGACATGGGCTCATTGCTCTACCTAGGAGTGGAATTGTTTGGTCATATGTTAACTCTGTTAAAACATTTGTTTTCCATTGTGGCTGTCGGATTTGACAGCCCACCGTAGCGTGGGAGGGCTCTGGTTTCCCCACATCCTTGCCAATGGCTATTATTGCTTCTCTTATGACCGGCCTTGTGGATGGTCATGAGCCTTCCCACGTGCCATTGTGGTTTTGCTTTGATTTGCATTTCTTCGATGGCTAATCATGTTAAACATCTTTCACAGACGCTGAGAAATGTCTGTTCTAATCCTATGCCCATTTTAAAATTGGATTATTTGCCTTATTGAGTTGTAAGAGGTTTTTATATTCTGGCTACTGGACCTTTATCAGATGCATGGTGTACAGTTAAAAATATTTTTAACATATTCTGTTATCTGTTACATATACTCAGTATATTCATTATAAGTTTAATATCAATGTATATTTTGTATAAGGCTTTATTTGAAAATGAAGATATACTGCTTAGAAACATAGAGCCAAGCAAAATAAGGAAAAGTTTTATTGACTGGTCCATAGGTTGATGATTGAGGAGTGGTTTTAGTGGATACTGGAAAGATTGCTGGCAGTAGTTTATATGGTACTTTGAAGGACATGCTACGGAGGCAGAGAGCAGCAATATATGACTTTTATAAGGAACGGTGGAAGAAAGACAGAAATAGGAGGAAAATAGCTAGTTACTTGGTTCTGTGTCATCGGTCCAGAGGAGAGAGGGCCTTCTGTATGGGACTTTATTTGAAAGTAAAGCTGTATAGAAGATTTATAGACTAGTTCTTAATGCCTAATCTACCTCATGTGCTATGGGAGTGATGAAAAGATGGATTGGAGAAAACATTTCTGGGGTAGAATCCACATGTTGCCAGTTTAAATGTAAAAGACCAAGGAGAGAGGGGACTTGATTTGTTTTGAAGACTGTGACTTCACAGAGCCTGCTGATTTCAGTAGAGAAGGCAGTAAGATGTCCTATGTCAACTTCCATGTTCTTAAAACAATCCCATTTCTAAAAATTGGAAACCCACACCAAATAAACTGTCTATAATTTTGTAATTTACTTTTTTTTTTTTTTAACCAAAGTCTGTTAAGCCTCAGGATAATGTTGTAACTTATTAAACATATCTTTGTTTGGTTTTGACTGCTTCTGGTTTTAAGGTAGTGAAATAGGATTGGTTCCAGCCGTTTTTTCTGTTTCTGTGCTTGCAGGAGTGAAGGCGTTCAGCTGCAGTGTGTGCAATGCTTCCTTCACCACCAATGGCAGCCTCACCCGGCACATGGCCACACATATGAGCATGAAGCCTTATAAGTGTCCGTTTTGTGAGGAGGGTTTCCGAACTACAGTGCATTGTAAAAAGCACATGAAGAGACACCAAACAGTCCCCTCTGCTGTGTCAGCCACTGGAGAGACAGAAGGAGGAGGTATTTTCCATTTGTTGATTCAAGGTGTATTAACCCGATGCTAATTTAGGAATAAATCCATTCACAAATCACCGTGAGTATTTTGACGTGGCTATATATAGATTAGTTCAGTAGCACCCTGAGTTTTTAATAATTTTATTTTCTGATTATGAAAGCCATACATGCTCTTGGAAGAAAAATTCAGAGGTGCAATGAAGAAAACATCTGCTCTTACAAATCACCACGCGCTGAATTGGCATTCACTCTCACACTGTGTTCTTCCTTTCATGCTTGGGCGCGCATGTTGCTAGAGACTTGAATGTTTTTAACAAATATGGTATCTTGCTCTATATAGTGTAGTATGCTTAATTTTTTGTCTACTGAAGTTTATTACAGGCATATTTAATTTATTGAACACAGGCCTACATCAGTTCAGATGACTCCGTGGAATTCCATCATATTTTATTATATAATTTTCTGTTGATGGGTTGATGGATGTGCAGCTAGTATCTGGTCTTTCACTGAAATGGTAATGGTAGCAGTTATGGACTGCTGTAACCCTTGGTAAAACCTGTGCTTGCCATTACGTTGTCTCATGTAATAGACACAAAACACCGCATAGTTGGAGGGATTAATCTCATTTTGTACGCTAGCCAGCTAAACATTAGACACGTTAATTCGCCCAAGTCCCATACCAAGTGGGAGATCCTGAGTATTATTTTTGTGCTTATACTTTTTGTACTTATAAGACAACTTCTTTTTAGGAAGTTCCACGATGAAATTATACAGTTACGAATAGAGCACATTTTATATTTTGACACGTTGCGCCAGCACACAGATTGCAGTTTTTAAATCCGTGTGTGTTCTGACACTCTTGGAGGTCACGGCTGGTCTGAGTGTATGTGTTGGCCTGGGCTCTTGCCTGTGCCGCGGCCATCCTGTCCTGGCACAGTTGGTGCGCAGTGTTGTCAGTGAATTTTGTGTCAGTGGCTGTGTGGAGACAGGGGTGCTAAATGGGGACTGTCATCGGAGGTCAGACCTGCTGGTGGCCCATCATCCTCTCTCAAGGTACTGCCCCCTCTGTCTGCTTTGCCACCATCTGACCGAAAGACCACAGTGAGACCATCTGGGGTCCCCGGTGGGTTATGGCAGTCTACCTTTCTCTGCTGTTTTGAGGAATAAGTCTGTAAAACTTGCCTAAACTCCCTCAAAGTAACAAAAACTGCGACTTAACCATTGCCAGAGCCATTGTGCACCTCATTTCTTTAGTAGATAATTCTGGAATAAAAGTTTCTGACCTGTTAAACTGAGATAGTTCAAACTCTTTAATCTGATGATACTTAGTAAAGCCTTCATTTCCATTTTTAAAATTCTGTCATGAGATTTCATAAAGTATAAAAAGAAAATGACCCTTTCCTTCAAATGAGTTAAAGGCTATAGGACATCCAGGCATTATTTCTAGAACCCCGTCATTTGGAGAGTGTTAATTTATCAGCCAAATACAAATAATCTCTAAGCCGCTTTACATATTCTTTCCTGTCAATTAATAAAGCTTCTAATGCTACTGAATTCTAGCATCGATTTGGGAGTTCTGTTTGGGCTTCATCTCACTGCTACATATTTATTTAGATTCACCTTGTATGCCTTGTTTTCCTTGGATCATTGTGGGGGAAACTGCAGATGAACTCTTGTCCATAGGAGAAAAGTCACGTGTTAAATTGCGTTGTTTTGCCCAAACCTAGAGACTTGGATAGGGGTTAAATTCCCTCACATTTATTGTGACGTTAGCCTGCTTGGCCTAACACTTGCCGACTGTTTCATGCTGTCTGTCTGTCGTGCTTAATTTTGTTGTTCTCTGTCTCCAGTCTGTGCTATACTGATTGTGTTCTCAGTTCGTTAAAGAATGTTAACAGAGTTACCTCCTTATTTCCTCATGTGTGTTGGTGGGGCCGCTATCTATAAGCTGCCCTCAAATCATTCCAAGCTTTATTGGTATAATGCGGACTTTCAGTTTGCTGTATCTTTTTCTGGAATTTCTACGAGATGGACATTGAATCCACTGGCTTTATCCTCCATGACTTTCTCCCTCAACCCACACCCTCGCTGTCCTTTGCTCCCCTCTCTTTCTTCTTCCCTCCCCAATCCCCTCCCATCTCTCATCTTTTTTCCCTTTTATGTGCTAAGAAAAATTATCCAGTTTGTTTTTAAATTTACTTATTTGGTGAATTAACCACTGTCCACTTTGCAATTTAGTGTTTCTGTTGAGTTGTAAGTTTTTTTCAGTCAGTCATACAATAATGACCTCCCTGCTCCCAGCCAAACTTTTTTTCCTTCTCTAGTATTCTTTTTTAATCAATTGGAATGCGTCCTTATTTTTCATTTAGGAATGAATACTTATGCATATAGTTCTCTCTCAGTATCAGCTGAGGATTGGTTCCTGGACTCCTGAGGACACCAAAATCTGCAGATGCTGAAGTTCCTGATATCAAACAGCATAGTATCTGCATGTAACCTACACGCATCCACTTGTATACTTTAAGCCATCTCTAGATCACTTATAATACCTAATATAAATGCTATGTAAATAGTTTGGGGTTCTTTTGAGAAACAGGGTCTCACTCTGTCACCCAGGCAGGAGTACACTGGCACAATCATAATTCACTGCAGCCTTGAACTCCTGGGATCAAGCAATCCTCCCACCTCAGGCTCCTGAGTAGCAGGGGCTACAGGCTCACCACCACGCCTGGCTGATTTAAAAAAATTTTTTTTTGTAGAGACGGGGTCTTGCTCTGTTGCCTAGGAGGTCTTGAACTTCCCTGCCAAGCCCCACCTTGGCCTCCCAATATGCTGGGATTACAGGCGCGCGCCCCCATGCCTGGTTAATTTTTAAATTTTTGGTAAAGATGGACTCTTGCTGTGTGGCCCAGGCTGGTCTCACACTCCTGGCCTGAAGCAATCTTTCCATCTCAGCTTCCCAAAGCGGTGGGATTACAGGTGTGAGCCACTGCACCTAGTTGTAAATAGCCAGTATAGTGTATCGTTTATTGAATAATAACAAGAAAAAAAGGATCTGTATTTTCTAACTGCAGTCGGTTGAATCTATGGATGTGGAAGGCACAGATACAGAGGGCCAACCACATATATTTTTAAAGTTTTATTTTCTTCTTTATAGTAATTGTTTTTAGTTGGGGGCTGTTTGCTAATTTATTAATTTGGTCTCCCATTTTTGGGCTTCTGGTTTTAAAAAATCTGATGGTAATTCATTTTTTGCCCTTATTAATAAATGAATATCTATATTTATGAATACCGGTAGCTTGTGTGGACACTGTCAGCCTCAAAGCTTACTCCTGAATTTTCAGGGAGGTGTAGAAGCAGGTCTTTAATCTGAGCGTCTTCCTAATGTTGGTCATCACTCTCCTAAAGGATGCCCTTCACTTGGCTTTTTTTTGGTTACATAATATTTCTACATATTTATGACGCACATGTGATATTTTGTTTCATGTATAGAATGTGGAATGATCAAATCAGAGTACTTGGGGTATTCATCACCTTAAGTATTTAGCAGTTTCTAAGTATGGGAACATTTCAAGTTCTCTCCTGTAGCTACTTTGAAATATACATTGTTGTTAACTAGTCACCCTACTCTGCTATCAAACATTAGAGCTTATTCCTTCTATCTAAGCGGATGTTTTCACCCCTTCACCAACCTCTGTTCATCCCCCGCCCCCCACTTTCCAGTACACTTGGCTGTTTTCTTTCCATGACCTAAGTTTCTCAATAGAGGTGGGAAAATATAGCAACTCTCTACCATCATAAAAATAGCTTGGTTGAGTTATTAATTTTCATTACATACATACCTATTTAGTTTTAATTGTTTTGCTAAAAACCTAGGTTTTCTTCATTACGATTTTGATCCCTTTTCCTTGATTTTGTGTAGACATTTGTATGGAGGAAGAGGAAGAACATTCTGACAGAAATGCATCACGGAAGTCTCGTCCTGAGGTCATCACTTTCACGGAGGAGGAGACAGCCCAGTTAGCCAAGATCCGGCCGCAGGAGAGCGCCACGGTGTCAGAGAAGGTCCTGGTGCAGTCCGCGGCAGAAAAGGACCGCATCAGTGAGCTGAGGGACAAGCAGGCGGAGCTGCAGGACGAGCCCAAGCACGCCAACTGCTGCACATACTGCCCCAAGAGCTTCAAGAAACCTAGCGACCTGGTGAGGTGAGGGCATGGCTACGCCGCGCGGGTTCCGCTCTGAAGACTGGAGGTGCAGGCAGCTGCTCCTTTGGTGATTTTCACTGCAGCAGGGCCATTAGTTTCTGAACCTGGTGTCACCTGAGTGATGGCAGCTTACTTACTTGAATGTATGGTTTTAAGCTTGAATTAGTTCTCTGTAGTAAACTCATTCAGAATATTAATTAGTCTGTTTTCGGCTGTGCATGGTGGCTCACACCTGTAATCCCAGCACTTTGGGAGGCTGAGGCGGGAGGATCACCTGAGGTTGGGAGTTTGAGACCAGCCTGACCAACATGGAGAAACCTGGTCTCTACTAAAAAATACAAAATTAGGTGGGTGTAGTGGTGGGTGCCTGTAATCCCAGCTACTCGGGAGCCTGAGACAGGAGAATCGCTTGAACCTGAGAGGTGGAGGTTATGGTGAGCTGAGATCATGCCATTGCACTCCAGCCTGGGCAACAAGAATGAAACTCCGTCTCAAAAAAAAAAAAAAGTCTGTTTTCTCTATAGATTGCTTATGCTTATTTCTGTATGGTTGTCATAGTAGTAAACAATGAAAACAAATGTATCCATTGAGGAAGGCAGGGCTCTAAGCTTTGTGGACAGGCAGAAGAGCAGCAGGCGCCCTCCTGCCTCTGAGGCCTGCCAGTCAGTGTGAGGAGTGGGACACAAGCGTGTGACAGGAGGGAGACTAATTGGCAATCGGCCAAACAGCAGTGGCTGATACATGAGATCGAGTTGAGCAGAACCATGAAGAATCTGGAAACCAAGACCCATGGTAAAGAACAGAAGGGGCTCTCAGAATGTCCTTCCTTTCTGGAGAAAGGAAGACCAAAGTATCAGCGTTCTCCTGAAGAATCAGAAGTGTTTCTGTATATAACAGGGATGCTTATGTTTTGCTCTAGGAGATAGAACTAATTATTCAGCAACTTAATAAAACAAACCGTGAAGATTTTAATATTGCAGGATGTTTCAGAAAACCAAAGGGTGTGTTCCTTGTACTCTGTTCTACAGAGGACAGCAGCAGGTGCTGCAGGGAAAGGGTAGGTGGTTTCAAGGAGCTGTTGGGTTGGCAGTGCCACCCTAGTGAGCACACACCTTGACTGCTGGCCTTCATGTTTCGACCACAGCAGGAAGGGGAGGTGTGTTCAGCTAGAGAGTGACAATGAGGGAGGTCACTGGAGAAGAGAGAGAGCCCAGGTCCCACTGGGTGGTGTGGCCACAGGACCCTTCAACAGCGAGCTCTCGTTGAGCCATGCAGTGAAGTTCCGGGGTAGGATCTAAGTTGATGGTGTGATCTGAGGTTGGGCATAAGACATAGAAAGTTAAACTAAGGAGAGGAGGAGCTAAGGGGTTGTGATGGAAAACTTGAGATGTTTATAAGAAGGAGTCCAGTCTGGCCAGCAGTTGTGTGTGGCCTGGAGGAACTCATGAACTAACTGATAGGGTGAGATAGTTTTCCAGTAGGGGTTAGTGGTGGAGTCATAGATGAGAAAGTCAGGCCTGGCAAGGGTGTCACATGGAGGTGTTGAGACAGCAGTTTGTGACCTGCCTGTGGGTGGGGCGTGCCAGCCAATTAGCAGAGACAAAATGCTACCAAGGCGACATAAAGTGCTAAACATGTCTCCATCGACTGTACCTGAAGACCAGAAGAGTGGGATGTTCTTTTTTTTTTTTTTTTTTTTTTGAGTTGGAGTCTCGCTCTGTCGCCCAGGCTGGAGTGCAGTGGCGTGGTCTCGGCTCAGTGCAAACTCCGAGAACGGGACGTTCTTATAGCTGTGTTTTCTTCTTCTTGTCCTATCCTTCATTTTAAAAAAGTTCAAGGTTCAGACTCCCAGTGAGTAAGTGTGATGAGAAACAAAAAATGGTACTGAAGGGTGTCCTGCTCCCCAGAGATAAGCACTGTTAACAGTTTTTTGAGTATTTTTTTCGGAAATGTCTAGACATATACCAATGTTAAGTTGTACGATTCTGGTTTTCAAATTTTTACATATCAATGAGTCATAGGTATTTTTCTTCGTCAGTATCTATAAACCTATTTTATTCTTTTTAATGGCAGTGTAGGGTTCTGTTGCATGGGGATACCAAATTAATCTTACCAGACCCCTCCCGACGAACACTGAGTTTCCACGCTTGGTGACTGGCAGGGCGCTGTGGTGACTCTTCCGTGAGCCTGTGTGCCTCTGATGGCTCAGTGAGGGTAGAGTCTGGCAAAGGCCACCAGAGGGCCGTGTGCCTCTGTCTTTCA
The DNA here is from genome assembly GCF_000001405.40 of Homo sapiens. NCBI lineage: Eukaryota > Metazoa > Chordata > Mammalia > Primates > Hominidae > Homo > Homo sapiens. Next base: position 76,922,321 of record NC_000018.10, read on the forward strand.
GAGACTCCGAGTGCCTGTTTTACAGCTGCAGCCAACAGGATGGGGGAAATGATATCTCGTCGTTTTCATCTGTTCTTCTTTGATTCTAAGTGTGATTGAACAGCTTTGCATATGGTTTTTGGCTGTTTGTATTTCTTCTGTAAACTCTCTGTGCATTGCCAACTTTTCTACTCTGATATCGTTTGGGTTTTCCTGCTGATTTGATTTGTCAGAGTTCTTGGGTTTTTTAAGGAAATTGTCTTTTTTTTTTTTTTGAGACAGAGTCTGACTTTGTCACCCAGGCTGGAGTGCAGTGGTGTGATCACGGCTCACTGCAACCTCTGCCTCCTGGGTTCAAGCGATTCTCCTGTCTCAGCCTCCTAAGTAGCTGGGATTACAGGCGCCTGCCACCACTCCCTGTTAATTTTTGTATTTTCAGTAGAGACAGGGTTTTACCATGTTGGCCAGTCTGGTCTCGAAATCCTGACCTCAGGTGATCTCCCTGCCTCAGCCTCCCACAGTGCTGGGATTACAGGCGTGAGCCACCGCTCCTGGCCCTAAGGAAATTATCTCTATTATTATTTGTCCTGCAAATATTTTCGTTGTTATTTGGATTTGTTTATGGTATTTTTTGTATGGAGTGAAGCTTAAAGTTTTTCTTGGCCAAACTTAAGCAGAACGTAGTAACACCTAATTTTAATTTATATAGTTATAAATTTCAAATCATGAAGTCGTTTGTCAATATGTCTATAATTAATGCTTTTTGGATAGGCATGTTCGAATCCATACTGGAGAAAAGCCATACAAATGTGATGAATGTGGAAAGAGTTTTACTGTGAAATCCACTCTCGATTGTCATGTGAAGACTCACACAGGTAAGGAAAACATGCCTGCGTCATTGGTAGAGGTCTTAGGATAGCATTTCGTATGTTTTGTTCCTATATATTTTGTGTACATAAATACTTTCCAAATTATAGAACGCTTAAAAATGAGGCACCAAGAAGGAAGTGATATAAAAGATTTTTTTATTCCTGACACAGGGAAAACTGTCCAAATGACACTAAGAAAAAAAAGGATTAGGTCTCAAAAGTTGAATTTTTCTTAAAAATTGTCACGTATTCTTACTCATGCTTAAATAACTTTGTTAAAAAGATTACCTCTTAGTCTCATTTAAGCCAAAGAGGTTTAGTTTGTTGAGGTTTTGTAAAACCTGGCACTTAGCAAATCTGATGGCAGTTATCATTTCATAATTATTTTTATATGGGGAGAAACTCTTGCAAAGGCAGAAATGAATGTCCAAGTTTCCTGGCCTTTTTCTCATCTTCATCTTGTCTGTGCCTTTGCTTCTGGAATTCTGCACAGTGCCTCCTAGCGGTGGGGAGGCTGCCTCTGCCTCTGCCTGCTTGGGAATCCTGTAGTCCTCCTGTGAGCTCTGTGGTCCTAGACAAGGTTCTCCTCTCAGCCACAAGTTTCTTCTGCAGAAGATGGGGCTAATAGTTGTACCTCCGTCTTTGGGAGTTCAGACATTTAAATAGCTTTAAGCATTAAGACATTTAAATAGCTTGGAAAAGTGTTTGGCCTTTGGTAAACACTTAGGAATGGATTGGCCTGTGGTAAACGCACAGTGAATGCAGAGCTGTTGTTATAATGATTCATAGAATTATGATTATGAGACTAATTTACATTCTTCATTGTTGGTTATAAGCAGAATTCAACAGACAAGAACAAATGGACTTTCACACATTTACCTGAAGCCCTGTGATTCTTTTCTGATGGGTTAATATTTGTAACTAGATAAACAGATCCCTGAGCTTGTTTATATGACTGTCCTGTGTGCAGTTTTTCTGTTGTTTCATTAGGCTCCCTGTATTTATCTCTTTTGTGTAATGCAGTGAACTTTTTGTGGATATGGAGGGCCCGGCATCACTTATCTTTGTGCCCCCAGGCCTAGGGCACGGCCTCTCATGCAGCAGGTGCCCAGTGACGTCCACGATGACTTGGTGCACGCTGCTTCATCATTTCCTTGGTTTTGGAGTTCAGCGTAGGCCACGTGGATAAGGACTAGAAATGGAAGTCTCTGGATAAATACCTTTTGGTGCCTCTTTCTCCATTCTGAAGTAGAGGTGTGATTTCTGAGGAACCCAGGGCGGCGTTGGGATAGCAGGTTGCACTAGTCCCTCGGTGGATCCTAGTGTGCACCATCCTGTAAAAATTAGCATTTGTTCCTGGACAGTAGAGGGGAAAAGCCAGCCAGGAAGTTTTTCAGCTCCCAGAGGCTCTTGGAGGGTGGAGCCTATGCTCATGGTGCTCCGAGCCTTCGTGGCCTTTGATATACCCAGTAATCATGAAAAGAGCCTAAGGAACTAGGTACATGACACTAGGCACACAGCCCTTTGACCCTAGCATAGAACTTTCCTTTGCATATTCTCCCAGTGTGATGCCTACCTGTGCTGGCATTGTGGTTGCCCCTGTTTGGCAGAAGAGAAGATAGAGAGATGCTGAGATGTTAAAGTACCACTTGTAAAATTAAAGAAAAGTGACAGTAATTCAGAGCCGGGCTGTTAAGTCATACCACCCATTAGCTTCTGATAAATATAAATCAACTACTCCAATCAAGGTTCAGAATAATGCAGTGGTTTAGAAACACTGTAAACCTCAAAGGCTTGTGAAAATGCTAAATTCAAATTGTAAACAATACACTGTTAAATTTACAATACTGCAGCAATTGCCTGTGACGTCCGTAACATCTTATAGGTGAAAGGGATTCTCATTAAAGTACTTCCATCCACTGATTCAACATATTTACATCCATAGTGACAGCTGAGTGGGGTGGGGGTGAGTGTCGCGACTGCCATCGCCTCTGTTGATTCTTGGCTGGGCTTTTCACAGGTCAGAAGCTCTTCAGCTGTCACGTCTGCAGCAACGCCTTCTCCACGAAGGGAAGTCTGAAGGTCCACATGCGCCTGCACACGGGAGCCAAGCCCTTCAAATGCCCGCATTGCGAGCTGCGTTTCCGTACCTCGGGTAGAAGAAAGACACACATGCAGTTTCATTATAAACCAGACCCAAAGAAGGCCAGAAAGCCTATGACTCGAAGCTCATCGGAAGGACTGCAGCCTGTAAACCTCCTCAACTCCTCCTCTACTGACCCAAACGTGTTTATCATGAACAACTCTGTTCTAACAGGACAGTTTGATCAGAATCTGCTGCAACCAGGACTGGTGGGCCAAGCTATTCTCCCTGCCTCTGTGTCAGGTAAACGCTGAGCCGAGGGAATGAGAGCAGCACAGTGATTGAACTGTTCTGTGCTGCTTCTGTCTGTTCCCACGACAGAAGAGATGTTGTTTACCGTAGCACCACGTTTCCCTTCTTTGAGCCTTTTCCTTATAAGGCATTCGGAAAAATTGGAATTCCGTCTTGCAGACATTGCTCCTTTCCATTTCGCATTCTGTCTTCCATGCCAGCTGCTTTTTTACACTAAGCACTTTGTTTAGCTTTTGTTTTTAGTGGGTGTAAACCTGTTTTTACTCAGTTGGCATTCTCATAAATTTAGTAGTGAGAAGTGTAATTTATAAATACTCAATAGCATTGTTTTTGATATAGTGCAGTTTTCCAGTTGTTCTTGCGTCTCATAGTGCTTGAGAAGTGTTACATTTTAGCTAGTTGTGTTGATTTGTGTGCCTGTGAGTAAATGCAGCCGTTGTACATGGCAGTCAGATGTCCTGTGTGCCCTTCTTTCTGTTTCTGTGACTCGTGGCAGGATTGCAGCCTGACCACCACTCAGTAGTAGTGGTTGTTTTGAACCTTTGGCTAATCAGTAGAATCTTTTTGAGCTACTTTTCTGATACGTTTAAAGTGGGCAATATGAGTATCCATTTCACAGAGTTCTGGGGTGATTAGACAGTGTGTGTGTATGGTATAAAGTGTATCTGTTTCACAGAGTTGCTCTGCGGTGATTAGACTGTATGTGGATATAGTAAAAAGTAGGTTTCTGAGGTGATGAGACAGTGTATGTGTATATGGTATAAATGAGATTTCGCGGGTGATTAGACAGTGTATGCGTATGGCATAAAGGAGTATCTGTTTTACAGAGTTGTTCTGGGGTGATTAGACAGTGTATTTGTGTATGGTATAAAGTAGGTTTCTGGGGTGATTAGACATTGTGTGTATATATGGTATAATGGGTGATTAGACAGTATATGTGCGTATATGGTAGAAAGTAGGTTTCTGGGGTAATTAGACTGTGTGTGTATATATGGTATAAAGGGTGATTAGACAGTGTGTATGATTAGACAGTGTGTGTATATATGGTATAAAGGGTGATTAGACAGTGTGTGTATATATGGTATAAAGGGTGATTAGACTGTGTGTGTATATATGGTATAAAGAGTGATTAGACTGTGTGTATGGTATAAAGGGTGATTAGACCATGTGTGTGTATGGTATAAAGGGTGATTAGACAGTGTGTGTGTATGGTATAAAGGGTGATTAGACAGTGTGTGTGTATATGGTATAAATAAGGGGTGATTAGACAGTGTGTGTATATGGTATAAAGGGTGATTAAACAGCATATATGTGTATATGGTATAAAGTAGGTGTTCGTATTCCACAACAACATTGTATTGACATAATGTGTACAACTTATGTATTTAAAAATCCCTATGTAAAAAATGAATTACTTTAGTTTTAAGAAGCATTCATAATATTTGATCATTCTCTTTCTCTTTCTCTGGCCAGCTGGGGGTGACCTGACCGTGTCTCTGACAGATGGGAGCCTGGCTACCCTAGAAGGCATCCAGTTACAGTTGGCTGCTAACTTGGTTGGACCAAATGTACAGATTTCTGGAATCGATGCTGCCAGCATTAATAACATTACGTTGCAGGTATGACACCTTCCATGGTCTCCTGTGCTGTAATTCTCTTGGCATCACAGAGAAGCATGAAGTTTTCATTACAAGTACCTGTGCTGCTTTTCAGATTGATCCAAGCATTCTGCAGCAGACGCTACAGCAGGGCAACCTATTGGCTCAGCAGCTCACGGGGGAGCCTGGCCTGGCCCCACAGAACAGCTCTCTCCAGACATCGGACAGCACGGTCCCTGCCAGTGTTGTCATCCAGCCCATCTCAGGCCTGTCCTTACAGCCCACAGTGACCTCTGCGAACCTGACCATAGGCCCGCTGTCTGAGCAGGATTCAGTGCTGACCACTAACAGCAGTGGTAAGAGCCACTCACTTTTGCTTATTTTGACAGCTGGAGTTTCAGTTTCTTGCTTGTGATTACATATTTGAATTTAGGATGTTATGATGTCATTTTCTTCTCTTTGTAGAAGAGAATAAATCAAATGTCCTGAGAATAAAATAAGCTTTTCTTACAATTAATGATATGTATTTAATATATGCTCTTAGATTATTACTACCTTCATTTAATTACTCTTTTCATCCTGGCTTCATTTCCTCACAAGGCTTTCTTCTTAGACGAAGGAATTAGAGATGACTGATGCTTTGTTTTAAATCTTTGTCTTATTGAAATATGTAATAACAGTTTAATTAAAATATTTTTAATATAAAAACAGGGGAAATTGGTTATTTTGAATCTCAACTTTGTTTTGCTTTGTAATGACAATCAGGGACCCAAGACCTCACTCAAGTGATGACTTCGCAAGGTCTAGTGTCCCCCTCCGGCGGTCCCCACGAGATCACCCTGACCATTAACAACTCCAGCCTGAGCCAGGTCCTGGCACAGGCCGCTGGGCCCACTGCCACGTCTTCCTCGGGGTCTCCACAGGAAATTACCCTGACTATCTCCGGTTAGTAAGTTATAATTTTAAACATCTTTTCACCCTGCAATTTAAGTACTGTATATCTTACTATCTCTTTTCCTACAATACTCTGCTGTGCATAAAGCCCGTGCTCAATATGTATTTATAATTTATGGGAGAAATTGAAGTTTAGTGAAAATAATGTATTCTAATTCAGATCTGGCACCAGAAATGAAAAATTATAGTTTCTCATGTCACTTCCAGTTTGAGTACAGTCAGTTATTTAATTATTTCATTCATTGACTCATTTTTAGAGAATAAGTTATTTTTGTTTAGCAAACAGCAGAAAGCGTAGCTTTGTGGTTCTCACTCATGCTCCATGAAACTGGTATAAACTGTTTACATTAGGGCATTTTAGATCCGCATGGCACTCTCTTTACCGTATGTCTTCAGAATTCTATTAGGATTATATAGGAAAATTGAAACATAGGAGAACATTGAAAAGTAGATAAACGGGTAGGAAATACCCTTTGGCAGTAAAGCCCACCTAAAACTGGCAATCTAATTCTCTCTGCCAGTCACCAGGCTGACTCATTCCCTGTCTTAGGGCTATGCTGCTCGCATTCTGACTTTTCTCCTTGTGTGCCTTCCTTGGTCCTTACGTATCATTAATTCCCATAGTGTGTTCGGATCTCAGTGAGCATTGAACATATTTTCCTGGTGTGCTTTGCTCACGTGACTCTTAACTATAAACTCTTTGTATTACTAAGAGTCATTTGTTAATTCAGCAATTTTTAGAGCCCTTACTATGTGCTTGATATTATTCTAGTAACTTCCACAGATATTAACTCATTCAATATTAGTTCATTTAAGACTCGTAACCTGATGATGATGTTAACAAAGACATTTTGCTAGGAATCAAAACACGCTCCGTGGAGATCTGATGTGACAGAGGGAAGCAGCCCCACTTCCCTGAAACACACCTGTGGAGAAGGACAGCATTCTAGATGGACTCAACCATGAAGGGCAGGATTTCTGCTGTTTCAGAGATATTTCTGCAGAAATTAATTTCAGAACTGAAAGAAAAGGTATTCATAAGAAAACCAGAAGCTTTCTTTTTCAGGAAGGTGTCTTTATTTCTTTTAATACATTAGTGAGAAATTTGAGGAACTGTTTTTAGGTACAGCTTTGCTTTTAAATGAGATGCAGTGGTTTTTAGATGCTGTTGGACAGCAAAAATTAACATTGAATTTTATATAATTCAGTAACCTTCCTCCTTTTAAAATTATATTTATATCTGAATTTTAATGTTGGAAATACAGAAGAGTTACAATATTTTAGGAAAGCTATTTGGTTGATCCAATTAACTTTCTCGAGTACACTTAATATAAGAAGTATTGTGCTAGGTCCTATCAAAACTACATAGTGCATGGTTCTTGCTCAGAGTTAAGAAAATGTATTCTTCAGTTTGTGGATTGTGCCTCTGTTCTTCCTGTGTGTTATTATTGGCCATTTGGTTATTTTGTTAGTATATTTGAAAGTGTAGATGAATATAACTAATATTTTAAGAATTTGGCTTCAGCTGTTCTAGGAGAAAACCTTAAATGAGTTAATGAAATAAGTTTGGTTTCAACTTTGGGCTTCAGATTGTTTTTTCTCACTTATTATGATGGATAATGAGAATTGGCTATACAGTTCCTTATCCCATTTTGAAAGGGCTGCAAAAAGCATTTAATTTATGGTAACCTGTTAAAAGCATCTAGATATTCCATAGAAATTTTCAAAGATTTCATAGTGTGTTCTTTTTTCCATTAACACATAGGATTATAAATGCATGCAAGTACTAGAGAATGCACAAATCACTTCAGCTAAGTTTTGCAGACTTTAGGCAGTTCATGAGTCCTAGCATTCAGAAAAAGGTTACACGTTGAGTGAAAAGCAAAGACAGTCCTTTGCCTCCCGGAATTACCCTGTCCAGATACAATGAAAGTCCTTTTACCTGATGTTTTCAGCCCAGTTATTAATAAAAAGGTATATAAAATTGGGAACCAAACAAGTGACATCTGCATACTTTGGAGATTCATCCACGGATCTTTTGAATATGGGTCTGCTCAGGTGATAATACATTTTCTACTTTTTAAAATTTTTGCCTGTACTCATGTTCATCATGCAGTTTCATCTCCTGTTTCTCTTTCTTTAGCATTGCATGAGAATGTAGGTCACTATAAAGCAATCATAGTGCAGCATACTTTTGTCTTTTGAATCTTTTTCTCTCTGATTTTGTGTAGTTGTCTTGCCTACACCTATTTTGACAGCAGAATGTTTAAAGTATCTTGTCTTTACCAAGTTTTTCCAAGGCATTCAATTTGGTTTCCATTGGATGTCCAACAGATTTTTTATTCTCATATTCATTTCTAGTTGCCATACTATTTGATTTCATTATATCATTACAGTAGCTGATGAAGCTGGCATAAACGGGTTTTGAATCAAGCAAATGTGTTTTAGTAGGAATGTATTGCAGGCATGTTAGTGTGTACTTGAGAGCATTCAGAACACATAGGATAGGAACACAGCACACGGGAAACCGCAGCATCGTGGGCTCGGCAAGCCTGCCCAGTGGAGGGCAGGGAGGGGAGGTTCTGTTATCGCCTGGTGATGCCCCTCAGATCCTTTTAACATGCTTTTGCTATACCTGGCAGTGCACTATATTTGGAAATATTTTCAATTCATTGACAGTTTCATTCCACACAGTGTGTGATTTTTAGGGCCTAAATACTGAGTTAAAGTAAAACTCATAAGAAGTATTTTTAAAATACTTCACAGCTTAAAAAGTGTGAACAAATACTGTCATTTAGGGAAATGCATTTTGTGGTCTCATTTTCATTTTTCCATAAATTGTACTGAAATGACAATGAAAACTTTGAGGATAGAATTATATGTTTAACACACTTGCCAATACGCATCTTAGAATGTTGTTTTCAGATACCACAATATTAATTTCCATTTAGGTCAAGAACTTATTCAACACAATTCTAATGGAAATAGTGAACTATTAATAAACGGGAGCATAAGATTGTTAGCGCCTGAAATCAATAATCAATCTACAGGTGCCACCCTAACAATAAGCAATGATCAGCTTCTCTCCCAGAGCACAGCATTGAGCTCTTCAGGCACACAGCACACGAGTTAGCCAAGAAAGACATTATAAGAGGTCGGAGCTAAAGAGCTCTGCCCACAGTCAATGAGGAGTTAAACTGTCCTTAGCATGACAGGTGTGTCAGCGTCATGCTTTGTCACATGGATTATCATTCTGTAAGGATTACTGGCTTATGTCTAATTCTAGGATACAAAATTCTCTCTAATGTTACCAACCAATCGATGATGTTACTTTTTAAGCCATGAAAGTAAATAATTTTATTCAACTGTACAAAGCATCGTATATTTATACAAGTTAGCATGTTAATAACTCCATGTACAAAGCTGTCCCTTTCTAACCCAGCGCTGGAAGACTCTTACTTAGCTCATTACTTCTGCCCTCCAGTGAGAATTTTCTGACACCAGCTGAAAATAGAATAGAAAAATGGAAAGGAGGCAGCTTTCTAAGATTTTAAAGCATAGAATTTTATGAAAAATAAACATATTAATATTGGCAGAAACTGCAATTACTTTTGCACCAACGTAATAAATGAGCTCATGTAAGATAAATGACAGTTTCATAAGTAACCATTAACAGTTTAGGATAACATACCTATCTCGTTCTCTTCACCTTGTAGAGATTGCATTCACTTCTTAGCCTTGTTATTTTCCAACTATGTATATCACTTTGTGAGGAAAAAAAAACTAATCTTCAGATATGTTTGTACCCAAAAGCTAGACCTCTTTTCATGCTTCATTCTTAATTGAAACGACCTCTTGTCCCGTAGTTCATTTATTCCATAAAAGATTATAGTGTCTGCTGTGTGCTAAGAATTGTGCAAAATCTGGGACTGTGACTCTGGGCAGGTCAGAGCTGGCCCTGTGTTCTGGATCTCAGAATAAATGGAGTGCAGACATTTTTTGAAGAATCCACAAGTGACTATAAAATTACAGCTGTAACCATATATAAAGGAGAGGTGATGGCACAGAGAGCACATGTCACAGGGGGTGGCTCTGTGGCTTCTTTGAGGACATCCTGGCTGAGCTGAGAGAGGGGCTTGGGAGTGTGGTGGCTTTTCTCCCAACGCCAGCCACTCAGCTTTGCATGGCCCATGGTGGCCTTTAGCTGAAGCAAGGAGGTGTGGATATTTTAATGGGTGGAAGGTCCAAAATATATGATGTATTGTTGAAGTTAACATAGCAAATGTTTTTCTCCAAACGTTTTCTAAAACTCATAGTTTGTGGTTTTTAAAGGATCAGGCAGTGTGTTCTTCTCATCTCTAGAATTCTAATCTTAGGCTGTGAGTTCATCATCTTTCCCCCGCTGCATGGTTCATGTTGCAATGTGAAGACGTGCTGTTTGTGTGTGGGCCGAAGCGAGTGGTAGTCGCTCGTGGTGCAGGGCTCTGGGTGAGATGTCTGGATTCATGCCCTGCTGGCCGGCCTCACTGAGCAGGAAACTGGCCGTCAGCAGTGCAGCCTCATGTCTTCCTGGAAACTCTGCTGAACATCCTTAGTGAGCCCCTGGCACATTGATGGAGAGACAAGTTGGGTTGTAGAGGTTTCAGTTTGAGTGGAGTGGTGTTTGTGCCTCTTGGTGATCCTGGATGTTTGTAGGCGCAGCAGATTGCTTGATTCGAAATTGGGGATGTTCTGACCGAAGGGAGAAGTTGGATGGAATGAGGGCGCACGCACTCCAGGGCTCTGCTCTAGCTGCCCGCGTTTCTTTAAACTCCTGTGATCTGGCTAGTTCGGTAGTAAGTGCTGTACCTATAAATTCACCTCCACAGACGCATGTTGGAAGTGTCACACCAGCATCTCACACTCAGGTGAGGGTCCTTTCAGGGCAGGCGAGCTGTCCTCAGTCAGTGGGTGCAAGGCTCCCACATGTTATGCAGCTGACATTTCTGTATAAACAGCAACATACCCACTTTGCTGATTTGCATTTTTTAAATTATTATTCTTTTAGACCTTTTTTTAAAGAGCCAGCCGAGGCCGGGCATGGTGGGTCACGCCTGTAATCCCAGCACTTAGGGAGGCCGAGGCGGGCGGATCACCTGAGGTCAGGAGTTTGAGACCAGCCTGGCCATCATGGTGAAACCCCGTCTCCATTAAAAATACAACAAATTAGCTGGGCTTGGTGGCGGGTGCCTGTAATCCCAGCTACTCGGGAGGCTGAGGCAGGAGAATCGCCTGAACCTGGGAGGTGGAGGTTGCAGTGAGCCGAGATTGTGCCACTCCAGCCTGGGTGACGAGCAAAACTCCGTCTCAAGAAGAAAAAAAAAAAGAGTCAGCTGAGAAAATCAGTCTCTCTCTCTCACTCTCTCTCTCTCTCTTAGGCTACTTTAGCTTATATCCCACTTGTTAAATTAAAAAAAAAAAAGCTTTTCAAGGGATTGGGTGACATTATAAAATAAAAGATGAACGCATAATTAAAGAATATTTGTGTATTAATGTGATATCGGCTATTCTTAAATACAGGCTTAGTTTTATGTGATCAAGTAAGTTGTCTTATGTTCTTGAATACCTTTGGCATCTTTGAATAATCCTGGGTATAGGAAGCAATTGTTCATATATTGACCCACTCAATCCTTGATATTAAGCAGATGTTTTTAGAGTGGCTTGCACATCCCATTTGTCCTAGTTATAATTATGTAGTGGATCTCAACTGTATAGTAGTAGTTAGGAGATTGCCTCTTAGTGAGCAATATTTATCTAGAGTCAAAGTCAGTTTCAGATCTAGCTTGAGGCCACACCACTAATAATTGAAATTAAAATGACATTATTTTGAAATTAAACATGACTCTTCTAAGGTAAACACTCAAAAACCTCTAATGCCCATACAAAACTTATGTTGAGCATAATGAATATGTATATGGCTATTATTATTTTTTGATTCTCTATGCAAGCAAGGTTTGGTTAAGACTCATCAGCTTCTAGGTTAACTCTGGCTGTTTCATCTTAATCGAAGGCATTGAAAGAAGTGTATCACCACTTAGGGATTTGCGATGAATCCAGGCGAGACAATTAGTCAGAATTTCACATGCAGGACAAAAGCACATGCTTTTGTTGAGATTCGTGATGCAGGAGTTGAAGACTATTTCAGAGTTTCATCCCAACATCCATTCCCAAATCTGACACAAAGAGTTTTCCTTAAAAAGTGATCCCATAGAATGTAAGTACTGTCTCAGAAGCAGATCGTAGTCTTGATAGAGGCTTGAGAAATTTAGCACAACTTTTTAAGGAATTCATCTCAAATGAGTATTATCTTTTTGTTCTTACCTTCGTCCACTTTTAAATTTAAGATAATTTTGATGAATAAATTGAGTTCTGCTTTTGATGAAAGAAGCAAAGACCAGTATTTGTTTTCTATTTATTTGTAGGGTTATTCTAGCCTTAGTTTCTTCTAGATTTAAGTATAATCACTTATTTTATTTTTAAATAGTTCAACAATTTAACATTTCCCATTCCCCGGTGTATATTAAAACTGAAGAGGACGTTCTCATCCTCACGAGTTGTCCCTCTGAGTGACCTGGATGCTTGGGAACGAGGGGCTACCCCGATGCTTCTCTCCTGTTCTGCCGCCCCCACCTCCTGTCTTCCCACATTTCAGTTAATCGCAAGAAAAAACTGATATCATATCTTTTAAATTATTTTTAGAACCTTACAAAATTATGTTTTCTTAGAAGCTATGAGGTGATATCCCAAGAGATTTAAGACAATGTTGGGTTTGATGAGCGTACAGTTTATTAATCTTTTTAACTTATTTTTGAGTCGGAATCATAAAGTCAGACTTGTATTGCTCTATACATGCTGGAGGAACAGTGGTTTCAGAAAAATAAGTGAAGAATAAAAGTAAGAGTCTACAATCTTCACTTCAGCATGGGATCTTCATTTTCATGCTAAGAGTATTTAATTTGAATATAAGATTGTAGCTTTTAACAAATGGATAGTTAAGAGCTATTTGTAGCTTGTAATTTAACTGCATGCTTAAGAAAATTTCAGCTTTTTTCTGCTCTAGTCATGTGTTCTTTTCAATCATATTGAGGACAGTTCTACTGGAACCGGTATCATCCTCTTTGTGGAAAATCCATTGAATTAGGACATTATTAAAGGTTCACTGTTTGAGTTGAAATACGAAATTTGGCCCTGTCTGAAGTTGTTTATTATTTTCATTGAACTTTGTGTCAGGTTTCACTTTAATCAAACACAAGCCTTCTCTATCTTTTTACATTTTTCATGCTGCACAGTCCCGGAACCTCTGATACCTTAATAATCACTAGAAAGTCAGGATTAGTTGACTGGTGGGAGTGGGGAGAAGATCTTTGGTTCCTTTATTTCAGCAGTTGGGGTGAGGTTTGAATTTTTGCTGTGCGCTGGCTTCGCCTTGGCTCTAAGTGTGATCCTGGGCGAGATTCACAGGCACATGCATCTCTTCCCCGTCTTCCCTCTGTGCAAGCTCATTGGCAGCTGCCACCTGCCCGCCCGCCCCAGTCTCTATGGTTTTGACCACTCATGTTAAAAACGTACCCGCAGGCTAGTGTGCGGTAAGGGTGTGTGGAGGGAATTTTAGGAGGACAGCTATTAGGTCAGCTGCTGTACTGGTCACTGGAACGCTTAGTGCATGCAGACGTCCTCCACAAGGCCACACTCCTCGGGCTCCCACCAGCACTCTGTGCGGATGCTGGAGCAGGCGGGAGGGTCTGACCTAGCTATCTGTGGAGCCCCGGCGGCTGCTTCAGCGCTCGAGCCTCCCAGCCTGCTAATGGTTCTACTGCTTTTGAAGGTTCCAGGTCTGTGCAGCACAGTGTGGGACCCCAGGAGTGTGGATCTGTGGAGGCATTGTATTTGGAGAACTCCAGCGACAAGTAAGTAACCTAGTTTTCCTGTTGGCCCCTGACTCCTAGGAGAGCGCTGGACTGATGTGACCCAAGTCACAGCAAAGTGCTGACAGGCGCGTGTTTCTTTTGTTTTGAAACCTGGTTAGGCAATAGCTTTTTGAACTTTCCTTTGGTCGTCATCTTGGCATCCTTAGCAACTGGCACAGTGGCTGGCACAAGTGGATGAGGAATACATGTTTCAAATGAATGGATGGCTCGACTGTGGGATAAAGTGAGTGTGCGTGTGTGTGCCCATGTGTTTATACTTTCAACGTTGTGTTCACTGGTGCCCACTACAGGACTTTGATAATCCCATGCTGAACCCGTCTCATCTGCCAGCAAGGTACATGAGTGTCTGTTTTGTAAAAGAAAAGCCCTTTCTTCACCAGATACTTTCGTTTCTCTTAGTATCGGCTGCAAGGGGAGATATTTCAGTTTTGTTGTCTTTTCTGAAGAAAATTAAGATGTCATGCAGGATAAATGAATATTTAAAGGATTTATGAGATGTATTTTGACCTCCTGTCTTTTAGAATAAGAATCAGTCAGGGTGATGAAAGTGAGAAAATGAGCAGAGATGGTCAGATTTATCCCGTAAGCTCAGGAGCTAGTTATTCCTCAGTGGATCACACTTGCTTCCTTTCTTCAGCTGGTCTCTTCAGTTGTGGATGGGTAAGCTCCGGAAGTAGCTATTCCTCAGTGGATCACACTTGCTTCCTTTCTTCAGCTGGTCTCTTTGGTTGTGGATGGGGACAATGCACTGGAAATTCTTGTCTGAGTTTTCATTCTACAGTAGTAGCTGTGACTGAGACTATGGGGTCACATTTTCACTCTTTGTTTACTGGTTTTTCTCTGTGTGTGTTATACTTAAGAAGCACAGTATATTCATATGTAAAGATGTTTAAAAACTAAGAAAAGCCTTATCCTAAAATTAGAATTGAAGACCCTGTGATTTCTTTGGTGCAGCTTGGAGACCTCGGGCATGAATGCTGCTTCCTGCAGGTGGGAGCATCGCTCTCCCTATGCCCTTACACCTGGACTTGTCTGGCCTTCCCATTGATCTACTTACTTTGCCTCTTTTGTAGAACTTAACACTACAAGCGGAAGCCTTCCTTCAACAACACCGATGTCTCCATCGGCCATCTCGACTCAGAACCTGGTCATGTCCTCGTCGGGCGTGGGAGGTGACGCTAGTGTCACGCTGACGCTGGCCGATACTCAGGGTATGCTATCTGGAGGCCTGGACACTGTCACACTCAACATCACCTCTCAGGCAAGTGCTCCTCAGAGAGGGATGCGAAGGTCCTTTCAAAAAGTGATCTTTGAAAACATTATTCATTGACTCCTTCCTAAATAAATAGTCTGAGCATTTTTTTTCCCCAAAATCGAAGCATTTTTTTTCTGATTAAAAAATACGGTAAATATAAAAGGGGATAAAAATTCAGATAATGTAGAAGAACATAAAAAATAAGGTAAAACATAAAACCCAAAGCTGTAATCCCACCACCCAAATGGAACCACAGTTAACATTTTAATGTATATATCCTTCTACACCTTTATATGAATGTATAAGGTACATAGTTATAAATTTCTGCAGAAATTTATAAAATGATGTACACATCATGTAGATGAGCTTTATTGAAGGGCATTATGTTGTATTCATGGTTTCAATAAGTAGTATGGAATTTTTCATGCCCTTAGTCACTGAGATTCTTAGATGAATTCCTACCAGTAGAAGTGCTGTGCCAAAGGGGTGTACATTTTTAAATGATTCGTTGAGCTAAGATGCTGAAAAACCTTTCAGACTTTAATTAGGAAAATCATAATGATACATTATGATTAGTTATAATGAAGGTGAATTATAACAAAGCTATGCCAGCATTTTGATAGTTGAAGACTAATTATAATAAGGCTGTGTCAGAATTTTCATAGTTGACTGTAAAAAAGTCTATTCTTAGTTGATGTAAATTGTGATTTCTATGTGTCTGTTCCTGGCTGTAATAGAAGCAAAATATGCAGCAGAATTAGAAAGCTGAGGCTGGACACAGGTGGCTCCTGCCTGTAATCCCAGCACTTTGGGAGGCTGAGGTGGGAGGATTGCTTGAGTGCAGGAGTTTGAGACCAGTCAGGGCAACGTGGCAAAACTCTGTCTCTACAAAAAATAAAAAATTTGGCCAGGCGTGGCAGTACACACCTGTAGTACTAGGTACTCCGGGGGCTGAGGTGGGAGGATTGGGTGAGCCTGGGAAGTCGATGCTGCAGTGAGCCATGATTGCACCACTGCACTCCAGCCTGAACGACAGAGTGAGACCTCTCTCTCAAAAAAAAGCTGAGGTTGTTTTCACCAAAACACATTCCTTGATTGTCCTGTCTCTGCTTTTTAGGCTCACTGTACAAGAAAAACAGATGTTGGCATCTAGAGCAGGATTGGCCCTAACACTATTACAACCACTTGCTGAAGAAATGGCCTCTTCTGAGCTCTAGTCCCTCGCATTGGTGAAATAGCAGCATTTCCTCTGCATCGCTTCAAGGCAGAGTTCAGTCAGTCTCCCTTGGTTGTGGGATGCTCACATGTTGTTGGCAAATAGGCTTTGCCTAGAGCTCCTCACCGAGGCCCCCTGCACAGCCACTACCCTCTTCTGAGGTGACCCAGGCGCACCGCACGCCAGGGTTCCTGCTCACTGGACACAGGGGCTCCCCTTTGGCTGACCTGCCTGTAGCCAAGCAGCCCTGCCTACGTCGTGCCCCCAGGGACCTGTCGGGCAGCCCCTGTCAGCCACATGTGGTGCTGGGAAGCATAGCTTGCATCTCACTCAGAGGCATTCCTCCTGAGCTGTGCGGAGCGCGTGACTGCTTATGGAGTTTAACACACCTTCTTCACCTGCCCTTACGCACCATCAACTCCTGCTTGTCACATAATTAACCTTCTAAATGTTAGCAATTCGTATCATGTTTTAAAATTGTAGTTGGAACAAAAGTAACCGACTGGCTGGGCGTGGTGGCTCACACCTGTAATCCCAGCACTTTGGCAAGCCGAGATGGGCTTGAGGTGAGGAGTTTGAGACCGGCCTGGCCAACATGGGGAAACTCCGTCGCTACTAAAAATACAAAAATTAGCCAGGCATGGTGGTGGGTGCCTGTGATTCCAGCTACTTGGGAGTCTGAGGCAAGAGAATCACTTGAACCTGGGAGGCAGAGATTGCTGTGAGCTGAGATCGCACCTCTGTACTCCAGCCTGGGCAACAGAGTGAGAGTCCATCTCAAAAACAAAAACAAACAAACAAACAAAATACCCATCCTAAGGTGTAAATGACTGGGGTGTGCTTTCCTAGATGCAAGAAGCATGATGATTATGGTGGACCAGCCAGGTCTCCTTTCCTACCTGTCATCTTGGTCACTGTATCTCAGGGCCTAGTGAAGCCCCCTGAGGTCTGGGGCAGGCAGTGGGCAGGGGGAGGCTGGATGGGAGAGCACTTTTCCTTATTTACCATTCAAGGAACACACTTCAAATCCAGGTACAGGAGTCTGTACACTAACTCAGAGTCATTTGTCTTTCCCACGTTTTTATTTGCTGCTAAGATGTTGTTTTTATATTTAAATGATGACGGCTGTAAATATGACCTTACACTTCCGGTTGTCTTGTAAAGCCTTAAGGGTGTAATGTGCATTGGGCTTTGGGAACTCGGTGGGCGACCCTAGCACTGCATTTGGGAACACGGTGGGCGACCCTAGCACTGCATTTGGTAACACAGTGGGCTACCCTAGCACTGCATTTGGGAACACAGTGGGCTACCCTAGCACTGCATTTGGGAACATGGTGGGCTGCCCTAGCACTGCATTTGGGAACACGGTGGGCGACCCTAGCACTGCATTTGGGAACATGGTGGGCCACCCTAGCACTGCATTTGGGAACACGGTGGGCTACCCTAGCACTGCATTTGGGAACACGGTGGGCTACCCTAGCATTGCGTTTGGGAACACGGTGGGCGACCCTAGCACTGTGTTTGGGAACACGGTGGGCGACCCTAGCACTGCATTTGGGAACACGGTGGGCTACCCTAGCACTGCATTTGGGAACACAGTGGGCTACCCTAGCACTCCATTTGGGAACACAGTGGGCTACCCTAGCACTGCATTTGGGAACATGGTGGGCTGCCCTAGCACTGCATTTGGGAACACGGTGGGCGACCCTAGCACTGCATTTGGGAACACGGTGGGCTGCCCTAGCACTGCATTTGGGAACATGGTGGGCTACCCTAGCATTGCGTTTGGGAACACGGTGGGCGACCCTAGCATTGCGTTTGGCAACACGGTGGGCGACCCTAGCATTGCATTTGGGAACACAATGACTGTCCTGTTATATGTGTGAGTCAGCTCCCAGGGTCCCTGGTGT
This sequence comes from Homo sapiens, assembly GCF_000001405.40. NCBI lineage: Eukaryota > Metazoa > Chordata > Mammalia > Primates > Hominidae > Homo > Homo sapiens. The sequence continues at coordinate 76,940,464 of NC_000018.10, forward strand.
GTTTCTTATTGTAGACTTTTAACTATCATAATTAAAGACATAGTAAAGAAGTAAAAATTATTTAAAATATAAATTTTAATTAGTTAAATGCCTTTGAATAACTTTTGGAGTGTGGGATTGAGTTTGATGAGAAAAACCCAGAAAGGCATTTATTTCAGTGATTATGAGAGCGTATTTTCTGTATGTTAAGTTTTATCACTTTGAGAATTATCCACTACAATTAAAGTGAAAGTTCAGTAAGTAGTTCTCAGTATTGTCTAGGTTGTATTTTTAAAGTCTGCAAATATTTGCCAGGATGTCCCATGCCTTTTTTGTAGAACAGGGGTCCCCAACTCCCAGGTTGTGGACTGGTACCTGTCCATGGTCTGTTAGCATCCAGGCCGCACAGCAGGGGTGAGCGTGGGCCAGAGAGCATTACTGCCTGAGCTCCACCTCCTGTCAGATGAACTGGGGCATTACATTCTCAAAGGAGCATGAATCCTATTGTGAACTACACATGTGAGGGATCTAGGTTGTGTGATCCTTATGAGAATCTAGCTAATGCCTGATGATCTGATGTGGAAAAGTTTCATCCCGAAACCATCTCCCCAACATCCCCTACCTCAAATCCGTGGAAAAATTTTCTTCCATGAAACCAGTCTTCCTGGTTCCAAAAAGGGTGGGGACTGCTGGTGTAGTGCACAAGGGTCACCCAGGAGCCTTGTGAGCGGGCAGGTGGTTCTCCAAGCAGGTTCTTGAGGAAGGGCTGTAGAGTGAAGCTTTGGTGGCAGTGATGACCCTGGGATGCGCTGTGGCCCATTTCGGGGCCTGCTGTCCTCACCAGCTGGCAGCTCAGGCTCCCTGGCTTCACACCAGTGGGGTCACTTTCTCATTTAGGATGCTGCTTTTGGACAAAAGTCCTGTGGGTCCTCAGCGCCTCAGGACAAACTCCATCAGCTGCCCCTCTGGCTCCTGCCTGGCCCCTGCTACGCCACGTGGACTTGGGCTCTGCTGGCTGAGCTGCCAGTACCTCGTTTGCCACGCCCTCTCCCTCCCACCCACTGCACAGGTGGCTCCTGTGCCTGGCATCCAGGATGTGCCTGCAGCCACACACCCTGCCATTAGCGCTTCCCTGCTGCCCCCCTCAGCCCTTCCACTCTGGCCTGCGGACATGGGAGCAGGAGGCTTTGTGAGCAGCACGAGCCGGGTGGGTCTTCTGGAGCCTGTGTCTATCCAGATACATTAGTGTTTCTGTTAAGCTTTGGTGGGTTAAGTTCATTCTGTATATTCTTTTCTGTACTTTAAAAAAAATTATCAAATACAAAATTTTTAAACCAAATTGATTAATTAGCATGCATTGTCCAACAAGTAATTTAAAAATATCCAATAGAAATTGTGTAGCTTTATTTGAATCTTTTTTCTATTAGCTGGCAAACTTAGACTTGTGCTGATTTAATACTCTGAAAACTTGCAAAAACCAGATGAAAACTTTCTTAGCTTTTTGAATGGTATTTTTCTAAACATAATGAATCCTTGGTAGCAATAAAACCACCATTTTATTGTCAAGAGATTAATGAACCTACAAGAAAATGGCTGTAAATATGTAAATTAAATTTGACCTGAAAATTAGAAGGTGGTCAAGAGAAATTAACCGGTGTCTAATGATGATTGTTCAGTTAAGAGTTATTCACTAGGGGATAAATGTCGAATGATTTAATATTACTTCCTTAAAATGACATGTGCTCCTTGAATTTAATGAGGAAACGGACTAATAGCACGGGGAAGAGATCCAATGTGAAGAAATCAAGTTGTTCAGCATTATACCACCCTGAACACTGCACTCTGTGCATGGAAAAATAAGAATCTCCCTAAATGGACTGAAGGAAACAGTAATATAAACATAGAAATTACTGTACATATTTAAAAGATAGGAAAGTCATGTAAACTTATTATGTATTATTTTTTGTTTCTTTGTAAAATCCATGAAAGATGATGTTCCTAAAAACAGAGAAAGGTGGTCTTACTTTACTTAAATAGTATTCTATTTTATAATTTTTTTAATTTTTTATTTTTTTATTATTTTTTTTGAGACGGAGTCTCGCTCTGTCGCCCAGGCTGGAGTGCAGTGGCACGATCTCCGCTCAGTGCAAGCTCCGCTTCCCGGGTTCACAGCATTCTCCTGCCTCAGCCTCCTGAGTAGCTGGGACCACAGGCGCCCGCCACCATGCCCGGCTACCTTTTTTGTTATTTTTTAGTAGAGACGGGGTTTCACCATGTCAGCCAGGATGGTCTTGATCTCCTGACCTCGTGATCCGCCCGCCTTGGCCTCACAAAGTGCTGGGATTACAGGCATGAGCCACCACGCCCAGCCTAGTATTCTTAAATAATGGGCAAATTTGGCTGGGTGCAGTGGCTCACGCCTGTAAAACCTAGGACTTTGGGAGGCCGAGGCGGGCGGATCACGAGGTCAGGAGATCCAGACCATCCTGGCTGACACGGTGAAACCCCGTCTCTACTAAAAATACAAAAAATTAGCCAGGCGTGGTGGCGGGCACCTGTGGTCCCAGCTACTTGGGAGGCTGAGGCAGGAGAATGGCGTGAACCCGGGAAGTGGAGGTTGTAGTAAGCCGAGATCGTGCCACTGCACTCCAGCCTGGGCGACAGAGTGAGACTCCGTCTCAAAAAAAAAAAAAAAAAAAAGAAGAGCAAATTTGAGTTCATAATAGCAAAAAATTTGGAATATATATGTTTTTATAAGTCCATAATTCTAATTTAAAACTTGAAAAGGGCCCAATTTTGGAAGAATATTGTGGGAGTAAGTGATAATTTTAATTCAGAGAAAATTGGCTAATTTTGAAATGTAATTCTGATTTATTTGTTCCAAACTTTAGACTCTTCAGGGGTGAGGAGGAGCAGGCCGGTGGTAGTTGTGTGTCCTGCTTGCCCACTGAAGTCTGACAGTTTTATCAGGAGGTGTAAACGTGCATGCAGAAAATCTATTCAAGAAAGCAAAATGATTTTTAGTTCTTATTCTGAATACAAGAAGAAGCAATTTACTTATTCATGAAGGGAATTCTCTTTTATACTAATTCTTGTCATAAAAAAACAAACTTATTATTACAGATAATTGGTCAGGTGCAAAACATTTAAAACTTTGTATTTAGGTATATAAATGTGGCTTTTTAAGTCTAAATTTGACTGTGGAGTGACCCAGAAATTGGCAAATCTTATTACAGACTCCTGATGGGAAAAGAAGCCAATTCTGAAGTAACAAGTTAGTTGTAAGTTTAACACTGAGAGTCATCTGGCCCATGCTGTTTAAAGCTTTCTTAATTTTGTGCCTTTCTTAGCCTTGATCTTCTACAAGTCGTTCATATTTACTCTTGTACTTGTAAATATCTTGACATTTTTATTGAGGCACAATGTTTTGTTTTAAGTTTATTAAGAGTTGTGTATAGGCCGGTAAAATTATGAACTGCTAAGAAAAATATTTCTAATGAAATTGTACATGTGAGCAGTAAGTGAGGTTGATTTATGGGTACTTGACAATGGTATAGTGAAGTTTGTTATTGCATAGAATGCCTTTCATCAGTATCCAGCCCTTGCTCATATTTTACAGCATTTCCCAGATTCAGTCGAACATTGACATTCCTGGGTCTCAGCAGGCCCAAGTTAATTCAGTAGTCATGGGTGGGGCTGGCGTCTGTGCTGTTCATTACCCACCTTCCCTGTGACTCTGACGCAGCTGCCCCAGCTGCCAGGGCCAACAGCTGTTGCGCCATTCCTCTCTGCTGGGGCTTGGTGCTTGCTGTTACATTCTCATGTTGCAAAATTCATGTGCTCCAGGGAAATGCAAATTCCTGTAATCTTTACCTCAGTGTAAACCAAATATAGTAAAGAAACCAACTGCAAATAATAATACAAACCAAAAGTAAATAACCTTTAGATTATATTGTTTTAGCTGATTTGTGTATCACTTCCATAAGTATAGCTAATCGTTGAGTATAGCTTTTATTGGACACTGATTTTTAAATCAGGGTATTTGCATTAAGAATACTTAAGGTTGGCTGGGGGTGTGGTGGCTCATGCCTGTAATCGCAGGCCGAGGCGGGTGGATCACCTGAGGTCAGGAGATCGAGACCAGCTTGGCCAACACGGTGAAACCCCGTCTCTCCTAAAATTACAACAAATTAGCTGGGTGTGGTGGCATGTGCCTGTAATCCCAGCTACTTGGGAGTCTGAGGCAGGAGAATCGCTTGAACTCAGGAGGTGGAGGTTGCAGTGAGCTGAGATTGTGCCATTGCACTGTAGCCTGGGTAACAGAGCACGACTCTGTCTCAAAAAAAAAGAATACTTAATTAAGGTTTGCAATTGAAACACAAATGATAAGCTAATAAATTACATTGTATTCAAGTTTTTTTAATTTAAGTTTTTATTTTGAGATAATTGTAGACTCATGGGCAATTTTTAAAAAATAGTACAGAGAGATTCCACATACACTTACCCAGTTTTGCCCAACAGGAGCATGTTGCAGAACTGTAGTATAATATCACAAACAGTTGTTATCATTGATAAGCCAAGATACAGAATATTTCCATCATCTCAAGGACCCCTCATGTTGCTTTTTATAATGACTTCAAGACCCTCTTAACCCTGACATCTGCCACTCTGTTCTTTATTTCTGTAATTTTGCTATTTCAAAACAACAAGAAGTTGTAATTTTTCCCTTGATATACCTATACAAGCTAAGACTCTCAAATATCTTACCTTTAGTTTGGGAATATATTAATTTATTGAGCCAATTGGTTCTTATGTGCATCAGAATTTCTGACCAGCAGTTTTTTTGGTCTTTGATTAATAAAACAAATGTGAATTAATAAGTCCAGGTTGATTAATACAGTTTTTCAAATTGGGTAGTCTGATAAGGGTGGTGGCAGCAGCTGTCAACAGACATGTCACAAAAAAGTATAGCATTCACCGGTATTTGAAAATAGCAATATTCAATCAACTTCTCTATGTAGGGAGGTAGGGAACATGAAGCTTTGTTAGTATAGGTAGGAACTTCAGGTGCAGTGGCTCACACCTGTAATCCCACCACTTTGGGAGGCCAAGGTTGGTGGATCTCCTGAGGTCAGGAGTTCCAGACTAGCCTGGCGAACATAGTGAAACCCCCATCTCTACTGAGAATACAAAAATTAGCCACACGTGGCGCATGCCTGTAATCCCAGCTACTTGGGAGGCTGAGGCACAAGAATCACTTGAACCCGGGAGGCAGAGGTTGCAGTGAGCTGAGATTAAGCCACTGCACTCCAGCCTGGGTGACAGCGCAAGACTTTATCTCCAAAAAAAGAAAAAGAACTTTTCAATTTAGATCATGTTTATGTAAAAAATTAGGCTGATATATGGAGATACCTAAAATAGCCTAATTTTGCTTTTTTAAAAAGCTGCATATGGGAAGTAAGGAACCCAAATCAAGTTAGAAGCTCTCTTTCTCTGGAATCCCTGATGATGACTGTATGTTTTTGGCTTCTATTTTGCCACCTGCCACTCTTTCCCTTAAGAAGTGAACCTAAAATTCTCTGATGGAGGAAGTTTTTAAAAATGCCATCTCAGTCCTATTTTTCCTCCACTGTGTCTGATATAGTTTGGCCGTGTCCCCACCCAGATCTCATCTTGAATTCCCATGTGTTGTGGGAGAAACCTGGTGGGAGGTAATTCATTCATGGGGGCAAGTCTTTCCCTTGCTGTTCTCATGATAGTGAATAAGTCTCATGAGATCTGATGGTTATAAAAAGGGGAGTTTCCCTGCACAAGCTCTCCTCTCTTTGCTGCCATCCATGTAAGATGTGATTTGCTCCTTCATGCCTTCCACCATGATCATGAGGCTTCCCCAGCCACATGGAACTGTCAGTCCAATTAAACCTCTTTCTTTTGTAAATTGCCCAGTCAAGGGCATGTCTTTATCAGCAGCGTGAAAACGGACTAATATAGCATCCCCTCCTCAATTCTTAATTTCCTTTTGGGGGCTCAGCTTGTGTAGTTCCCTAAAACATTGAGAAACACCCCTCACCTTAAAGCACAGGAGCCAAGAACATCAGCCATGCTTCCTGTGGTCAGCCACGGTTTTAACTGTGTGTAAAATATGTTTAGAATCAGTGCTGATTACAGCAGTTCAAGTTGCATGCTGAATTATTTCTATAAATTTGCAGTAGATATTCAGACCTTTTAAGCTGCAGCTTCCTCTCTGCTCTTGTGCCCCATACCACCCTACCTTTCTCATTCTCTCGTATTCTCTCAGATCTGCTCTCATAGCTAGAGGTGTGCTGGGCTGGTAAGAAGACTTACAGTAGTTTTCTATAGCATAGCAAAATTGTATATGTGTTTCTAAGCAAATAAGTGTTTTTTAAATATACACACATGTAGAGACTCTGAGATGTAATTTATATAAGTTCACCTAATTATTTAAAGTATACAATTGAATGGTTTTCAGTGTATTTACAGAGTTGTACAACCATCACCATGGTCTAATTTTAGAACGTTTCATCACCCCTTAAAGAAACGTGGAGCCATGAGCCATCACTCCATGTTCCCCCGACCCCCGGCCCACCCTCACCGCTGCCCCTGGCAACTGCCAGTCCACTTTCTGTCTCCGTAGATGCATCCGTTCTGGGTATTTCATAGAAATGTGATCATCCGTGTGGTCTTTTGTGACTGGCTTTTTTCATTCCTTAGAGTATTTCCAAGGCTCCTCCATGCTGTAGCATGTACCAGAACTTTGTACCTTCTTATTACTGAACAATATTCCCTTATACCACATTTTCATTTGTGCATTTATCGGTTGATGGGCATTTGGGCTGTTTCCATTTTTTGGCTATGGGTAATTCTCCTGTGGACATTTCTGTACAAGGCTTCTGTTTTCACTTCTCTTGGGTTGCTGGGTTACATGGTGACTCCACGGTTCACTTTTTGAGGAGCTACCAGCTTGTTTTCCAAGGTAGCTGCACCATAAAAGATCTTTTAAATTATTGCTTGTTTTGCTAAAGTTACAACTTCTGAAATAGTACTAATCTTTTGCCAGGGTCAGCAGTTCCCAGCGCTCCTCACGGATCCCTCTCTCTCGGGCCAGGGTGGAGCAGGCTCGCCGCAAGTCATACTAGTGAGCCACACGCCACAGTCAGCGTCTGCTGCTTGTGAAGAAATAGCCTACCAGGTACAGGATATTCCTTCATTCACAGAGCTTTTGTCGCTTTTAAAAACATACAGATTCAGAAGGGATGGTGGTAGAGGGTTATGGGCGTGCTGTGTGACCCAGGTGGCTGGGGCTGACTTCTGAGGTGTCCCCGGCTGAATCCTGAGTGGACATAGGCCCTGCGGGGGCGTGTGTTGAATGACAGGTACGATATCTCATTCGTTTTGTGATTTGTTTCCTAGGGAGTGAGGTTTTAATACCACAGAATTAGATGTAGCCACAGTGATACGTAAATCTAATTTTAAATTTATTAATATCTTATTATATTTGCCTGCTGATCAGACTTCACATATCCAGCCACTTGCACTTAGTTCTTCTGCAGATTTTCTAGTAACACCTTTGCAGATTCTGTTAAGTGTCATACACATTTTCATATACGTGTGTGTGCGCGCGCGTGTGTTCAAGATCTGTCATTTGGCTAGTCTTTTTTCTTAAAATACATGTTTTTGGGAGCCAAAATATTTAGTAAGCAATAGTCTAAATATGGAAGAGTCTAAAATCTCTTTCCTTAAAAGTTTCCAGGGTCAGAATTAAAGCACAGATGATGAATAATCTCTGAATTTAGGAAGCATTAAACATTTTTAGCAAATGAGTTTTCAAAATAATGACTTACCGGTTTTTCTGTAGAACAAGGGCTTTTTCACAAAGAGATGAGATATAACGAGCACTGGGGATGTCCTGC